>NC_000004.12:185588047-185891077 GCF_000001405.40 Homo sapiens | reverse complement strand
ACATTTTAGATCTGAAAGGAATCTCAGAGGCAGTCTGTCCTGACGCCTTTATTTTATAGCTGAAGAAACCCACACAGCTTAAGTGATTCCCTTTCTTTTATTTCATTCATTCGTTCATTCATTCATTCAATATTTACTATCAGCTCTGTATAATGCAACATGTTCAATACTATAAAACATACAAATGTTTCTTATAGTTTTGTCCTACCCTTAAAAAGCCTGTTTTCTAGCAAGGCAGAAAACCTAGGCATTGGAATTCCACACATATGGAGCCACTCCTACGTTCAGGCCCATGTGCTAGGATGTTGAAGAGGACACCAAGATGAAAGGAGGGTGTCCCCATGCTCCTGAGTGCATACAGCTGTGAAGGAGCAAGAGAAACACACACTGTGCTGTTAGAAGGGGTCTGAGCAGGGCACCAGAAAGCATCTGGCCTCAGCAGGCAGAGGTGAGACCACTGAGTGGAGCGTGATCACGTCATGAAGCCGTCAGGGTGAGACTGTGGGGGAGTCCGGAAGCGGGTGTGAGTGGAGGCGGCCTTAAAGATTCTCTTGTGGGCTCTCTCATTAGGCTGTAGAGATAGAGACACACAGTTCTAATCCTGGCTAAACCTCTGGATTCTCACTGTGACACTCAAACAGTACTGAGCCTGCCACACAGTCTTCTTGTCAGGATAAGAGGAGATAACATCTGTAAGTGCTTCAGAGTCCCCAGAACATACCAGAATTCCATAGATGTTAGCCACGGTGACTTCTGTACTGTAAAGAGCTTTGCAATGACAACTGAAGTAAATTGAATGGAATATACTTGATTCAATAGAAAATGGGTAGCCACAAAAGGATTTTATACAAAAAAGTGATATATTAATAAATACACTTAAAAATTAATCTGGTCCAGGTGCGGTGGCTCACACCTGTAATCCCAGAACTTTGGGAGGCTGAGGTGGGTGGATCACTTGAGGTCAGGAGTTCAAGACCAGCCTGGCCAACATGGCAAAACCCTATCTCTACTAAAAATACAAAAATTAGCTGGGCATGGTGGCACATGCCTGTAATCCCAGCTACTTGGGAGGCTGAGGCAGGAAAATTGCTTGAACTTGGGAGGCAGAGGTTGCAGTGAGTTGAGATCGCACCATTGCACTCCAGCCTGGGGGACAGAGTGAAACTGTGTCTCAAAGAAAAAAAAGAAAAAAAATTATTCTGGCAGAATTGTGGGGGAGTGAGTGGAATGAAGGAAGGCAGGAGGTGGAATGAGTGTCAGGAGGAAACTGCAATAGCTCAGGTGGCAAGTGAGTGATGAGAGCCTCATTATATCCAATGGAGTAACAGTAACAATAAATTATATAGATGTTCAGGGCGTAAAACTGTCAGGCGGAGGAGGAGGACAGAAGCACAGATTGGGTGGAAAGAAGGGGAAAAAGCAAAGATGAACACTTGGTACCCAAGTGAGAGACTGAGAGGAACATGAAAAGATAAATTGGAGATCGGGGAATGATACCGATTTTAAACATTTTGAATCGAAGCAGAGATATCCAATATGCAGGCCACAGCAGAGTTAGGTGCAACAGCATCATGTCCCAGAAGCAGTAACTGGACTTCATAACTATGAAATCACTAATGAATTTGAAAAAAAATAGCAGAGGTGAACACGGAGACCAGGTTAGAAATGATTTAGAATGCGTGAATGGTGAGGCATCGGAAGCAGTCTTAAAAAAAAAAATGACTGTGGAAAAAATCAAGTAGGGTGGGAGAGAAAGGGAGCAATTGCATTTTCTTTCTCTATTTTAACATTGTTGCACCTCATTCTGTTTTTCAGTTTAGAAGAAAGTGCAAACAGAGAGGGATTGATTGAGATGTTTTCCAGAAGGAGAAAATGGCTAGAGGCTCCAGAGGAGGCGCCAATGATGAACATTAAAACCTAGTTGGAAAGTTTAACCTTGGAATGGAAGAAAAAACCCTCTTCCTCTAAGATAAAAGTAAAACAGAAAAGGGATGATAGAAAGCAAAGGTGTTAGGTGAAAAAGAGGGAAGCTTAGGAAGCTCACTCAGCCCCGATCGCCTCACAAGGCATAATGACAGCAGTCGCCTGCTGGAGTGTGTGCTGGGAAAGAGATACAGCTATGCACTGGCAATTTGGAAGGCGACAGGTGGGCCGAACACCTACTCTGCCCTGAATACAATGCTAAATATTTTCAGTTTATCTCATGCAGTTTGCAAACAATCATGAGAGGGTTTTCAGATGAGACAATGAGGACTCCGGGGCTTTCCCTGTGTTGAGTGTTCAGAGGAGGAGTTGAGTGACTCCCAGTCATGCGGGTTGGGGTGGACACAGCAGGCTGCTGGGGCCACACCATGTGAAGCTAAGCCTGGAAGCACTGGCAGGATTTTAGAACCTAGAGATGGGGAAGGAAATTCCCAAACATTGTGTGAGCAATTTAGAGTTGGGAGAAGGTAGGAAAACAAACTCTAGAAGAAAGAACACTATTTGTTTCATATGGTTGCTGTAACAAGTTACCATGAACTGGATGAAAAAGTAAAAGAAATTATTCTCACACATTTCTGGAGTCCAGAAATTCAAAACCAAGATGGAGGTGGGGTTACACTCCCTCTGGAGGCCCTAGGGGAAATTTAATCTTTGCTTCTTCCAAATTTTGGTGGCTACCAGCATGCCTTGGCTTGTGGCCCCATCACTCAAGTCTCTGCCTCCATCTCCACATTGCCTTCTCCTCTGTGTGTCTCTCTCCAACCCCCCACCACCCCTCGTTTCTAGGGACACATGTGATTGCATTTAGAGCCCATCCAGATAATCCAGGATAATCACATTCTCCAAAGACCATGTTTTCAAATAAGGTAACATTCACAGATTCTGGGGATTTGTATATAGATGTATCTTTGGGAGCCATTACTAGCACGAGCATTTTACAGAGTATGATAAATGCAATGAAAACTCAGAATAAATAAATTGGGACAGGCAATATATTGAATGCCAGAAAGCAAAATAATAATAATAATAATAATATAGAATGTCAGGTTTCATACAGTTTATGCTTCCAATAATTATAATGAAAAGATATGAGTTCAATGTACACACACACACACACACACACACACACACACATATATATATACTATGTGAGAATCCATGATAATTTAGTAAAAAGTCAAACAAAAAAGCAACCTTTTCTATCCAACAACAACTTAAGGGGGAAAGTTTTGAGGAACAAAATTACAGATAATAAATTGGATAATTTGTTATTAAGAAGATCAGCAACCCCATCTTCTTAATAACTCTCCAGAAGATATGAAATGATTCTAATAATAATAATTACAAATAATTGAAGAATAGTTTCCTATAGTAGGAGGGTGCTACCACCCCTCAGCTTCCAAAGTCTTGCTAGGTTATAGTTTGCTGCTTGAAACTATTGAATAACTTGTTTAACTTAGGTTACAGTAGCTCATTTTGCTGAAATATCATAAATAGCATACTTCAAATCACTTGCAAAAAAATATTTTTAACATACCACAAAATCTGCAGTCTATAAATCTGCAGGCTGCATGGTATATGCATTTCCAGTGTCAAACCATTGAATAATAAATGCCACGGTCTGCGATGCCCGCAAGTTTTGATTTTTCCTTTTCCTGAAGCCACAGCGTGGTTCTTAACGAAGCAGTAGTTTTTCAACCCTTCAAACAACCAAATCTTTATAACAGTTTCGGAACTGTATAAAAGAGGGAAGTGTGTTTCTTCAAACACTGTAATTTCGCTTGCTCAAAGACTTCCTCCATACACAGAGCACCTTCTCTTCTACCCGGCCCATGTAGGGTTCTACTAACAGAAAGAAATGTGATATTATTTCCATCATCAATTGAACTGTGAGCGCCTATGTAGGTGGGTGCCAGATTCTCACTCAACAGCCAAGTTTATTATATGGGCTCGTGGACCCTCTTTTACTTCTACCTACTAAATGCCTTTTCCGGCTTCCCCGCAGACAGCTGCCCAGGCTGTTTGTGCAACTCAAGTGTGCTGCAAAGCCAGCCTCACCTCTCAAGGCAGCCTATTCTGTCTTCAAACTGGCTGGAAGGTCCTTCCTCTTTGGCCATTCTATCGCTGCCCGCTGGAAGGTCCTTCCCTTTACTGAGCTGAAATCTGTTTCTCTGTAGTTTCTGACCATTTGGTCTAAGTTATACCCTTTGGGGCAAACCAAACAAATCGCTTCAAAGCCCAGCTTTTCAAATATTTGAAAAGGGTGATATTGTCCTTTCTTGCACTGAGTCTGTTCCAGGCTAAATGATCAGACCTCTTCTGTCATCCTTTACGTCTCCCAAGTCCCGGTTCTCTCATGGTGCTGCTATTCTTTTCTTGGTACAGATCTTCTAATTTCCTTTTAGCATGTACTTTCCCACACGGAATCCCATGTTCCAGATTGACCTGAGCCGTGGATAGCAGAGCAGAACCAGACCAGGCCACAGGCCACGTTGTTTTCTTTTCTTTTTTTTTTCTTTTCTTTTTTTTTTTTTTTTTTTGAGACAGAGTCTTGCTCTGTTGCCCAGGCTGGAGTGCAGTGGTATGATCTTGGCTCACTGCAACCTCCGCCTCCCAGGTTCAAGCAATTTTCCTGCCTCAGCCTCCTGAGTAACTGGGACTAAAGGCAACCGCCACCATGCCCGGCTAATTTTTTGTATTTTTAGTAGAGATGGGGTTTCACTGTGTTAGCCAGGCTGGCCTCAATCTCCTGACCTTGTAATCTGCCCACCTCGGCCTCCTGAAGTGCTGGGATTACAGGCGTGAGCCACCGCACTGGGTGGATTGTATACTTTTCTTATTGCAGCCTAGAACACCTTAGCCTTTCTGCCGCCCACCTCACATTTCCTTTCATAAGAGTTTCTAGCAAGGAATTTAAACCTCTCTGGACAGTCCGGGAACAAGTCACTATGCCTAAATGCTTTCTCAGTCAGTCCATCGTTTTCCCCAATCGCCCAGGGGCTTGCTATGTTCACCTGTAACACATCGTATTTGCTTGTGAATACTTGTATTTACCAGCTTGTCATGTGGTTTACTAAGGGGCGCAGTAACTTACAAGAGACATGTCTAATGCTGTGGATTTTCTCGGAACTTTTAAATAGGGTGACAACCTGAGAAAGTTGCCTGTTGGCACCTACGCATCAAAACAGAAAGTTTAAAAATCATGCATTACTTACTTTATGGAAGCTTAAATGAATAAGACCGAATTCGTATTTTCTAAAAAGATGTGCCCAGAGTGTCATGGGAAGTGGAGTGGGCGTGTGTGAAGCACGATTTGGCTTCTTTTCATGCTACCTTTTTTCTCTACAGAGATGCCAAGGATATTCTAGAGGAATCTTAAAGAGCCAAGTGTTCAGGTTCATTTATGCATTGTTATATATTTTATTCTTGCCTAAACACTTTGAAGAGTAAAATGAGAGATTATAAAAATAGCTAGTTCATCCTTTTATCATTTGAGTTTATATGTGTAGTTAGTAGGCCTAAGGAGATCATGAGAAAGAAACTGTGAAATGTTACGCTTTTGAGCTGTCATTGGCAATGCAGGTGACCTCAAAAAGTGAATGGAGTCTATGTGTATGGAAGTGATCTTGGTGACATTTGGCCTCTGAGCTGTAGTGGGCATCCCTAGACACTTCTGCACTCTGAGTTAAGCCTTCATTATGTTCTTGGCTTTCCCTAAAATGCTTATTTATTCAGCAGTGTGAGAAAATGAAAAGACAGCAGGTGCCCGGGGGTGCTATGTCGTATTTCAAGGGCAGAAATGTGAAAGCACAAGAGCGGGCTTTTCCTCGCCCTTGGGCTCTGCAGTTCACATAAGAGGATTTGCTAACTTTCCCATCCCCAACGAGCCATCAGAGGGCTACAAAGACCACTTACTTCTAGCTTACGCCTTAACAGCTTTGAAGAAGAGGCCTGTGAGCTTATGAGTATCTGTAACTTCAGTTTTGCTGGATTGCACCTTCTTTCCCAGCAACATTAATTAAACATTTTGATTTTTTTTTCTTCTTGTTGCTCTCCTTCTCAAGATAAGTCCAGGCAGGTGTGGAGGAGCCGCTGCGTACATTGAGAACAGATGGTGGATTTCATGTATCAATTTATGCCGTGCCACCACTTCGGCTGCCTGACTTTCTGTAGGGAAATCAGCAGTATGACTGTAACTTGATTACTAAAATCATTGCATAAAGTATGTAGTAAATTCTCCCAAGAACTGAAAGAGGAGTATGCCAATACAATACGAGAACTATCTAAAGAAACTCCCTACTGTCTGAGCATTCCGGGAATACACCGACTCCATATAAGTCTGTGTGTTGGAAACCTCTTAGGAGTCAAGAACTAAAGGCAGTTGAGAGATCATTGTAGGAAAGTGGTCCTTTACTGAGGAAACCATAGTCTAGATGATAGGTCAGTGGTCAACTGCCTGCTCAGATCCAGTCCTGAAACCCAGAAAGGCCAAGTTGATGGAAATCATATTCTCACCTCTACTCAGCTCTGCTGGGCCCTCATTGCCATTCCGGATTTCTTTTGTTCAGATCTTACTAATCCTTTATTTTTTGGAGCCTTTATTTTGAGCCCTTAGCAAAAATAAAACTTTTTTATTTTAAAAAACAGCACATGCTTATTTTAAAAATCAAGAAATACAGAAATGCATGAAGAAGAATTCAAAATGTCACTCAAAGTCCCAATCACCCTACTATAAACATCAGGAATGTTAACTGATACATGTTAACATTTGTATTAACAAAGATTTAAAGATTAATATTTATGTCTATAAGAATATCCAGATAGAAATGATAAATGGGAACAATTCCCATATATAGGATCTATAAACATGCCAATTTAATTTTATAGTCAGGTTTATTGAGGTATAATTTATGTACAATAAAATTCAACCATTTTAGATATATAGCTCTATGAGTTTTGACAAATACAGTCATGTAAACTTCACCACAATCCAGATACAGAATATTACCTCCACCCCGTGAAGTTCCCTTTGGAAGGTACCTTGAACCTTCTTCCTCCCCCACCTCCTGATGAAAACTGATCGGACTTCTGTCTCTGGGGTTTTGCTTTTTCCAGAAAGTCTTATGGATAACATCATACAGTATGTGGACTTACGTGACTGATATCTTTCGCTTAGCAAAATGCTTTTGAGAGTCCTCCACGATATTGTGTGTAATGATCATTTGTTAGTTAAAAAAATTATTTTTAGATATACGGTCTTGCTCTGTCATCCAGGCTGGCATACAGTGGCATGATCATAGCTCACTGCAGCCTTGAACTTCTGGGCTCAAGTGACCTCCCACTTCAGCCTGAGTAGCTGGGACTACAGGCACATGCCACCACACCCGGATAATTTAATTTGTTAATTTTTTGTTGTTGTTGATGAATACTATTTCATTATACAAATGTACCACATTTTGTTTGTGTATTCACCAGTCAAAGGACATTTGAGTTGTTTCTAGTTTCAGCTATTATAAATAAAGCTGCTTTGAACATTTGTACACAGGACTTTGTGTGGATGTAGGTTTTCATTTCTCTTGGATAAAAATCGAGCAGTGGGATTGTGTTTAACACCATAAGGAACTGGCAAATTGTTTCCCAAAGTGGCTGCACCATTTTGCATTCCCACAAGCAGTGTTATGAGAATTCTAGTTTCACCTCATCCCCACCGGCATTGATACTGTCAGGTTTTAAAATAATGTAGTGGTACCTCATTGTGGTTTTAATTCATATTTTCCTAATGACTTAAGCATCTTTTTTCTGTGCTTTGTTTGTCAATAATATATATTCTTTTGTGAAAAAATCTATTCAAATCTCTATACCATTTTAAAAATTGAATTGAGTTTTTATTAATGCATTTAAAAGTTCTTTTTATGGTTTAAATATAAGTTCTTCTCCTGATAAGTATTTTGCAAAAATTTTTCCCTGTCTGTGGCTTGCCTTTCTATTCTCTTAGCAGTATCTTCCACAGTAGAGAAGTTTTTAATTTTGGAAAAGTTCAGTTTATCAATTTTTTTCTTTTATGGATTGTGCTTTAGATACTGCTTCTAATAAATATTTTTCTAATCTAAGGTCGTGAAATTTTTTTCTGTATTTTCTTCTTTAAGTTTTATATTTTTAAGATGTACATGTATTTCTATGATCCACTTGAGTTCATTTGTGTATAAGCTGAGATGTTTGTGTTTTGATTTATAGATAACCACAAGCTCCAGAATTATGTGTTGAAAAAACTATCCTTTCTTGTCTTTGTCAATAATCAATTGGCATAGATGTGTGGGCCTTTTTTGGACTCTCTATCCTGTTCTTTTGGCCTGTGTTCATATCCTTTCAGCTATACCACAGTATTTTATTATCACAGTCCTATGGTAAGTCTCAAAATTATGTAGTGTGGGTTCTCCATGTTGTTAGTCTTTTAAGAATTTGTTTGGACAATTCTAGTCTTCTACTTTTTCATATAAATTTTAGAATCAACTTGCCGATATTTACAAAAAGAATGCTGCTGGAATTTTCACTGGAATTACATTGAGTCTACAGGTCAGTTTAGGAAGAATTGGCATCTTAACAATATTGAGTCTTCTGATCCATGAACATAGTACATCTTTCTACTCATACAGATCTTATTTAATTTCTTTTATCAGTGTTTTATAGTATTCTGCATAAAAATCTTTACATATTTTGTTAGATTTTACTAAGAATTTTGTTTTCAATGTTGTTTTACATAATACTTTTTCAAATAAAGTTCCTATTATTCATTGCTGGTGTATAGAAATACAATGGACTTTTGTATATTGACCTTGTATATTGCAACCTTCTAGACCCACTCATTAGTTCCAGTAGTTTTTGGTAGATTCTTTGAGATTTTCTATGCAGACAATCATATTATCTTTGAATAGAACACCTTTTCCTTCTTTCCCAATCAATATGACTGTTGTTTCTTTTTCATCAGTTTAATTTTCAAAAGATACCAAATATAATTTTGCATTAATGCAAGGGAAAAGTGCTATTAAAGAAACCAAATAAAGAAAAACAGATAAATGTTACTTTATCAAATGAAATATTAGTGTCTAAGAGATCATATTAAAATAATGAAACAAAGATTTTGAAAATAATTAAGGAATTATACTCATTAAGTTTTTGTACCTCTGTTTCAAATTTAGATATTATTGATAAACTCAATCATATGAAAGATAAACAACATTAACAATTTTATACTTCTTCTTTTTTCTTCCCCTACCTCCTAATGCTTTGGTTACATTGTTATGTTTATTTTGCCAGGATTATAACACCTTAAATTCTGTAACAGAAATTCCCACAATAATTTAGTTTTAGTTTCAAATTAAAGAAAGAATCAATCCTCACACCCATTCTCTCACCACTGCTTCTCCATTCCTGGCATTTTTGCTTGGATGAATAACATATTTCACCGGATTTCATCGTCAGAAGTTGTTGGCATTTTTTCTCAAAAATAATTCGTGCTATAGTCCCTGAATTCTCTAGAGATTTATGGTTAGCCTAAATTTTTCACCACTTGTAGATGCCTTTCTTTTTTCTTGTCTGAATGTCTGAAAATTCTTTCTTCATGCTTGATGTCAAGTAATTTTGAAAGAAAGTATTTTGGTGTCAATTATTCTGTACCCACTTTTCCTGGAGCACTTTCTGTTATTTCAGAGAATTATCCTTGGTACAAAATTCTTATAAAAAGAAGGTTTGGTGCTATAATAGTTTCTTCTTTGAGAAATATTATTTATTTGGATCATTGTTGTCTAGCTTCCATTTCTTTAATCTCCTTTCCCATGCTTTCACTCTCATATGTTGATTGCTGTCTCTAATGTATTGTTCTGTAAAGGGCTATTATTTAATTTCTCAATTTCCTTAACTCTACAATCTCCCCTAGTTTTATTATTTAACCATGTTTGACCTTGTTTCAATGATATTACATTACTAAGTCCTTGCATGATGCTAATAAAATTTTACTAGTTTTTAAATCCAAGCTTTTGCTCAGCAACTTCCTTCCTCTTTTCTTCCTTTCCCTTCCTGTATCATCCTTCCTTCCTTTCTCTTTTTCTTCACTTTTTTCTCCCCATCCCCTCTTCTGTTCTTCATCCTTCTCCTCCACCTCAGTGCTGTGTCTACATAGCTACCATGCCATTTTCATCCTGCTTATGCCTACCACAGACAATACTTCCCAGATCTCTTAGTTGCTATCACAAATGAGGAAAATCACTCCGAACCTGTCAGCCCTTGTCTGACCACAGTCTATTTGCTTCCAGCCTATGAGCTGAAATTCGAGTGTTCTGTTCTGTTTGCTTTTCCGTACTTTGAAAGCCTGGCAGGAGAGGAAAGGCCACTGGTCCTAAGCACAATGTTTGTTGATGGAAAGGGGTGAGAAAATATCAAGGAGAAACTTAAAAGTATCCTAGTTATTGATGAATACTATATTGCTACTTTTGTAGAAGATTTTGTAATAGTTTTCAGTGTTTAACATTTCTTGATTTAAAAATATGCTTTCAAGACATTCTTTGTCTTTAGGTATAACTGACACAATAACAAAACACTGTTTTTTCCAAGACACCATTCATTACTTTATTTCTTTTACATTTTGATAGGTCAGCTTCAACAAGGCATAATATTCCTTGTTTTGTTTTAATAAGATGGCTTTTTTCAAGGAATCAATGTAGTTATGTAACAATTCAAAGGCATTTGCTAACCATATCACCCCTCTCATGCTCCCCGACTATGCAGAGTAAACCAGAAGCCAGCATAACAAAATACACCTGCAACCATCTAGACTAACATTAAATGGGAGTGGGTTGCCTTGAAAACAGTATATAAAGGCCGTCTCTTCCTGTTTAAGACAGACGGCTCTGAGAGATTCAGACACAGGCGGCAGTCAGGCAGGGTCGAGGCAGCCTGCACAGGGGAAAGCCCTGGGAGGCAGAACTAGACAGAACCATCTGGAGTCTGCACTTGGCCAAACCTCAGCTACGTAATCATGGATAATTCACATCACTCGCCAAACCTCAACTCTCCAATCTATAAAATGGGGAAGTGTTCACTTTCCTTTTGTTCATTCTTTCGTTCTTTTATTTTCACAACTGCCGTGTCCCGGAAATCTGCTGTACGTGTCACCGTGGCTCTCGTAGAAGGTCCCAGCACGGGGTCAAGCAGGGCACAAAGACACGTGGACGCCCTGCCCTCACCGTGCTGATGCTCCAGTGTGCATGAGGGTGTTTCACCTGTGAACAGATAGAAGCTCAGAGAGTTGTGCATCCTCATGAGAAAAACAAAGCCATCAGAGAAATGCAAATCAAAACCGCAATGAGATACCATCTCACACCTGTTAGAATGGCGATCATTAAAAAGTCAGGAAACAACAGGTGCTGGAGAGGATGTGGAGAAATAGGAACACTTTTACACTGTTGGTGGGACTGTAAACTGGTTCAACCATTGTGGAAGTCATTGTGGCGATTCCTCAGGGATCTAGAACTAGAAATACCATTTGACCCAGCTATCCCATTACTGGGTATATACTCAAAGGACTATAAATCATGCTGCTATAAAGACACATGCACACGTATGTTTATTGCAGCACTATTCACAATAGCAAAGACTTGGAACCAACCCGAATGTCCATCAATGATAGACTGGATTAAGAAAATGTGGCACATATACACCATGGAATACTATGCAGCCATAAAAAATGATGAGTTCATGTCCTTTGTAGGGACATGGATGAAGCTGGAAACCATCATTCTCAGCAAACTATTGCAAGGACAGAAAACCAAACACCGCATGTTCTCACTCATAGGTGGGAATTGAACAATGAGAACACATGGACACAGGAAGGGGAACATCACACACCGGGGCCTGTCGTGGGGTGGGGGGGGGGGAGGGATAGCATTAGGAGATATACCTAATGTAAATGGCGAGTTAATGGGTGCAGCACACCAACATGGCACATGTATACATATGTAACAAACCTGCACGTTGTGCACATGTACCCTAGAACTTAAAGTATAATAATTAAAAACAAACAAACAAACAAACAAAAACAAAGCCGAGTAACGGATAGAAAGCGACTGGAGAGTTGGTGCTGAACTAGCTGCTGCGTTGATGGGAAGCTCTGGCAGCCACGTGAGCTTGGTCTAACCAAGGGACAGGAAGATGGGCCTACTGCCACACACGGAAAGTGGGGAGGGTGGACGGGGACGCTGCTGGGAGGGAGCAGAGCCCAGGTCGTGTAGGCTGAGGCGAGGCACTGGAATTGTGCTGTAACTGCAGGCAGCAGCAATCGGGCTCTCCACTGGGGAGTGATAGAATCAGATGTGAGGTGTGGAGTTCCCTGGGTGCTGGGTGGAAAGCGCAATGCAGAAGAGCAAGAGTGTCAGCGGGTCCCAGTCAGGAAGGAATCCCGGGGTCCAGGACAGAGACCAGATCCGCTTGAGTGGAGGCTTGGCATTGGAGGTGATGGGCGATCGTTCTATTCAGCAGGTCCTTAGCGGCAAAGTCCACAGGACATGCTGAGGGCTTGGATATGGGGATGGGGAAAGCGAGGCGCCAGGTACGGCTCCTGGGCTTCTGACTCAATAAATTGGTAGATGGAGGTGTCATTTACCAAGATGGGGAAATAAGGCGGAGGGACGAGGTGAAGTGCGGAGAGGTGGGCTTGAATCACACACTTGCTTTGCTTTTAGGTCTTTAAATAAGATTTTATAGTGATCCTCATATATGGATATTGTACAAAATGTATTGCTTTTCAGATCATGTTAATGCTTACTTTTTCACGTTTCCACTCTTACTTAATTGCCAAAATAGAGAAAACCTATTCAAAAACACTTATCTGGTATACCTGCAAATTCTTTTTTTAATTCTCTCAGTTTCTCTTTAGCTAGAATCACTTGTTTTGCCAGGTACAAAATAGTATCACAGCAATAGGAGATAATTGGCTCTTTTCTTTTTCAATGCTTATGAAATTAGATTTTACCTTAATCATATGTACTAAAATCCTCAAGGCTTTTAACAGCCGTGGAACATGTTTCTGCCTAGTTCCTGATTTTAACTGGAAATATTGTAATGTTATGCCTTTTAGGATACTGTTTATTTTTGTTTTTTTGGGTAAAGAGTTGCTTTATTTTTCTTTCTTTCTTTCTTTTCTTTCTTCTTTCTTTCTTTTTTTTTTTTGTTTTTTGACAGAGTCTCACTCTGTCACCCAGGCTGGAGTGCAGTGATGCTATCTCGGCTCTCTGCAATTTCCACCTCCTGGGTTCAAGCAATTATCCTGCCTCAGCCACCCAAGTAGCTGGGATTACAGATGTCCACCACCACGCTGGTTAATTTTTTGTATTTTTTTTAGTACAGACGGGGTGTCACCATGTTGGCCAGGCTGGTCTCAAACTCCTGACCTCAGGTGATCTACCTGTCTTGGCCTCCCCAAGTGATGGGATTATAGGTGTGAGCCACCATGCCTGGCCTAATTTCTATTTTTAATGAGCAATTATCACAGAATTCTATCTTTTCAGTATATGATTATCCAACTTTTTTCATTTTATGATTTAAAATAAATAGCTGTATTTTCAATGATTAAATCAAATATATGTGATGCTGATTGCTTGTGTACTCTGAATAGTTAGAGAACATTGAAGTTTGGTATAGTTTGCAAATGCATTTGAATTGTTACATAACTGCATTAATTTCTTGAGAAAAGCAACCTTATTAAACAAATCTCTTTTTTTTGCTTACTTTGGCTCTTTTAAAAAAAACAACCTTTAATGTTTTTTAAGATCAGCCTTTAATTTTATAGCTAATATGTTTAATAGATGGTAAATTATAATAATAGGTTTTGTCTTTCTGGTTCTTTTCTGGATGGTTATATTAATATACGACATTATTATGGCTGCTGTTTATTTGTGCCTCCAGCAAGCTATTTTTAAAGGAAATGTAATTATGTTTCTATCCTTCATGATCCAGAGGTTATTATGGATAATTTTATTCTTTTATTGAAGCAGATCTCTGACTTATGGCCTCATCATCCAAGAGAAACTGCATTTCAAAATCAGAAAAAGGCTTAAGCTACAACCATGACTAAAAGCAATTAACTAAGAGAATATCTTGTTATTTTAACCTTATCAACACATTTTCTGATTCTTAAAGTTTGGTTTGTGGGGCCATGAATAGTTTTATCATATACTTCACAATCATGCTAATGTATACCTCTCATTCCAGCATCCTACGTGGCTTAGCACTTAACCTGGGATTTTTATTTTAACTGAATTATTATGTGCATTTAAATAAGCCAATAGTAGTTAGATAGACCTCTACTTTCTACTTCCAAGTTCTGCCATAATTTGAATTATGGTACATAAGACACATGGGCAGAAAAAGAGGGCTCATTCAGACATGGAGGTAAATCCAAAAGCTCACCAGTGGTAACTTTTCTCTTAAAGACACTTGGCGGGCATCTTAAACCAATGCTTTTCTTTCAAGCATAGGATTAAAAGTGCTTAGTGATAAAACAAAGTGCACCAGGGACTTATTCAGCTAGGGACAGCTAATTCCTTCCAGTCTTGGTGGAAGTATACATTAGTAAATCCCATTTTGGGGGTGAGGCATTTTATCAGTAAAGATCAAAGTTCAAAATATTTAAAACTAGGCCAGGTATGGTGGCTCACGCCTGTAATCCCAGCACTTTGGGAGACTGAGGCAGGTGGATCACCTAAGGTCAGGAGCTCGAGATCAGCCTGGCCAATATAGTTAAACTCCATCTCTACTAAAAATACAAAAATTAGCCAGGTGAGGTGGCACATGCCTGTAATCCCAGCTACTCAGGAGGCTGAGGCAGGAAAATCGCTTGAACTTGGGCAGTGGGGGTTGCAAAGGGCTGAGATCGTGCCACTGCACTCCAGCCTGGGTGACAGTGGGACTCCATCTCAAAAAAAAACAAAAAAATTTAAATCCTAAAGCTTGCAATTCTTCTAGTATTCTGCAATAGAGAAGTACTTTACACTCGCGTCAAAAGTTGTATGGAGAAGGGTACAAAACACAGAGAAGAGTTTGTTATTGAGAGAAACTGAAAGGAATACAATGACTATGAGTCAGGGGGAAGGTGATTAATTAAAATACAACAATTCCATATTATGGTACTTTTAAAAATAATAATATTTGAGTGTAATGAGGGGGAAAAAGTCTTGGAAGTCATGTTATTACCTGAAAAAACACCAAGTCAAAAGACAATACAGACTCTAGAACGCCTTTTATGATAAGCCAAGCAACACTGTATATGTGTGTCATGTGTAGTTACATATGCACGTAAGCATGGACCTGATCAGTCCTGGAAAGACATATGCAAAGCACTTTCCAGGGTTTACCTCTAAAGGGAGCAGAGGGCTGCAAGCCAGGGCCAGGAGGGAGACTTTCATATTTATTCTCTTCACATCTGCGTTGCCTGAAACTTTAACAGAGAAAATTTAGTCATAGATTATGTGCATAATTTTTTAAAACTAAGCACTGTAAAATGAAAAGTCACTCTCTACAACTATATGCTTCAACAAACATACTTCCTATGCAGACTCACTCAGTTACAGAGCGATGGGAATTGGCCACAGGGACTAAATCCCTGCCTCCGGGAGACGTTTTTGGTTTTATTTTTTGTTGTTTTTAATTAATTTTTTTAGTTGATAAATGAAAACCAAATATATTTATGGTATACTAACATGATGTTTTGAAATATATAAACATTGTGGGATGGCCACCTCAAGCTAATGAACATATGTATCACCTCATGTGCTTATTTTTTTGTGGTGAGAACACTTAAAATGTACTCTGTTTGCAATTTGCAAATTGTTATTAACTATATTTACTATGTCATCCAATAGATATCTTGCATTTATTCCTTACTATTTTATTTATTTGTTCTTGCCTTATTTTTAACCAGGAAAGTTTTACCCTCAGATTTGGATGTTCTATAAAACAAGTAGTTGAGGACATACTTCCTGGTATTAGAACTTCCAGGGAATTTCCAAATGACTGCCTCACAGTTTCTCTGAGTCACCCCTATACTTTCATGAGGAAATCTGATCCCATTCAGCCAGATATTCCATAATAAAAATAAAAAGAGTCCGGATTTTTAAAATATAAATATTCACATATGTGAAGCATTGTGCCAAACACAATATACTGTAGCATGCAAAAAAAAAAAAAATCAGGGTAAGGTAAAACCAATAATAGTGCTTTAACTTTGGGATAAAATAAATGGCCTCGTTCCTATGTTAGGAGCAAGGTCACTCACACAATTCCAGCCAAGGACAACTAATGGAAGGTTAGTGTCAGCAAGTAACTGAACACAATGATGAAATACATAAAGATACAGCAGAGTTTATTTACAGTTAGCTTCCTTATGAAACTATCTAAAAGTATCAGTAGAGAATGGAATGTGTGTGGGAAATGGCATTAGAAAACGCCTTGGCCCTAAAGCTGCTTCTTAGCTTGATTAGGACCTTAAAAATGCATTTTGTCAATTACAACAGAAATTTGGAAATCATAAGTATGAAAAATAAGAAAATTAAGTCATTCAGCATGCATCTTTGGGGCCCTTATTTTTGAACCAGGCCTGTTCCAGGTGCTGAACAAGACTGACCCGAACTCTTACCCTCAGAAAGCTTGCATTCCAATGAACAGATTCTCTGTAATTTCACCGCCTTCATAAAACCATTGGGTTATATCTTTTTTGATCTTTTCTCCTCGAGTTATGCATGCCTGTTTTTCACAGAAATATTGGGATCACAGCGAGTATTTTATACTTGAAATAAGGTAGCCACATTTTCCATATTAATAAATATTTTTCAACAGCATTATTTTTGGCACAACACTATGTTCCAGCGCCTCAGCAAACCGTAGTTCAATCTCTTATTTGTTCAGATAATTTTATTTTTTCATTATTATTAACAACAATATGATGGACATCCTTGTAGATAAATTTGTGCACATGTCTAAGACTACTTCAGAATAAAGAGTAAGTGAAATTGCAGGATAAAAGGGTTACAGGATGCTCTTCAGTTACTGATGAAAGTTAACATACTATTTTAATATTAAAATTAATGTTTGATATAAGCTAGCAAAGCAAAAAGTTAGACGTTTATATTTTATTTAATTAAAATAAGGGGGAAATCACATTATTTAGTTTATATTGGCATAATTATTTACAATAATATAAATGTTCATGTTATATTTTTATGTCTGCATACAATAGTCCTCTTTAATAGAATAGTTAACATATTTTGGCTTAAAAAGCCATTTCTTACACATTATTCTAGGAAATATATAATTTAAAAATTATAGTTTTGGACAGTATGCAGGGTAAATTATGAGCGTAGAGTTGCATCAAACCCCAGTCTTTCTCTAAAGTATTCATTTTTTATGTAGAAGCAGAGATTGTAATCGCTGTTACATGATTGATCTACCCTTTTGATCAGCTCTTAGCAGCAAAGAAAAATAGATATGCATTTCCCTAGATTTTGAATTAGAATTTCAAACTGTCTTTCCTGGTTCATGCTTATCAATTTTCAAAGTTGGAAACACAACTAAAGCTGTCAAAAATATAGGTAGCTTGTGCTATAATATTAAGACATTTCTTATCCTGCTGGATTTGTATTGGAATCAGTGGGAATTCAAGTAGTAAGGCAGGATCTATTGGCAGCTAGCACTCAGGGGAAGGAAAAATAGAAGCGGGCATCATTAAGAACAGGTTTCTCTTGCTCCATCTCCGTAAGTCCACATAAGGTAAAAGACCTATATACACTTCTGAGATGCAAACGGTGTGTCAGAAAAGATTCAAGAACAGTTTAAAAATAAAAGTCATTGCAACATACCAGATGAGGAATTCTATATGGGGAGGAGTAGCTGGGCTGCTCTGTAAGTCTTCATCTGGGTGAGTTGTTGGGGAAAACACGTTTTTGTGTAACATTCATTTTATAGTGGCCCTTATTTATCATTTTATTCTTTTACCCAATATTTAATAAGCATCCTCTCTATGCTAGGCTCTCTGCTAAGCACAGCCCTATGCTGGTGACTAAAGCAGAGGTGGCTGACGTACCTGCCATGGAGGTGTCATCCAGCCTATGCTAAAAATATCCCAGCGACTCCCACCTCTAGTGGTCACCAATGAATGTGAAGGTGAGATCAGTCACAGCAGCCGCTGTCCTCCTGAAAATAATGGGAGGTGTAGAGGGTTCCTCCCTTCCCAGCATTGCATGGGAGAAAGGCCTGAGGTACCCACCTCTGTGGGACAAGATGGAAGCTCAGGAGAAAGGAAGAAAAGATCCTCCCTCCCTCTTTCTCCCTCTCCCCAACCACATTTCTCTTTTTCTCTTCCTGAAATTAATCTATAAATCATTTTGATTTTAGGCTCTGGTGGCTTAGAAAAACTTAGATAAAAGATAAGCAATTTCTTGTGGCCTTTTTTGGTATGGAGAGTCTAAATAATTCAAAACACAATGAAAATATTTTCCTTGAAAGTGATTGTTATTGATAAATATCATCATTCTTCGTTGTCATCATCACTGGTCATTTACTGATATTTAGTGCATTCCACGCGCACAGATGTTGGCACGTGCATCTTGTGAAATTCCCACAGCTCTGCCAAGGAGGTGTTAGTATCCCCCTTGTACAGATGGAGGAAAATGGAAGCTAAGGCTATGCGTGTGGTTTGCCCAGGGTCACACCTCTAATAAGAGGAATGACCCAGATTAGATTAGATCCTCAAAGCTATAAATCATGCACCAGTTGCCCAAATTAACTGCATTCACTGTATGTTACACGCCTCTGATAAAAGTTGCCTGTAGGAGGATTCATGGAATTTCTCTTCTTTCCCCTGGATTTCTCCCCAGATACAAACAAAATCAGAGTTTCTATTAAGGGTGCCTTCAGAACATGAAAATGAGGCTAGAGCATGATGACAAATTGATGTATTTTTCAAATCCATTGTATTTTTTAATATAACACTTTTACCTCCTAAATTTACACACGTAAAGTTTTTAAAAAGAGAAAATAAATGTTTAAAAGTAAATGCATGCCAATTTCAGTGTTTTCCAAAGAAAGTCTGTATGGTTTGCTTTGATGAGCAGTATGACATTAGAGATGGATGACAGTCCTGAGAGAAGGAAGTCACATCTCATACAAACCAGGCACTGTCATCAGTCACAGAAAGCTGCCATTTGTCAAGGTATTCTGCACAGGGAAATGTAAACTCAGATCTAGAAAGCCAGCACAATACCGAGGGGCTGCACATTAGGGAACAGGTGTATTTCCAAGCAAGAGTGACTCAGATGAAACGATCTCCACCTTTCACAGGACCTGCAATATGCCGGTCAGCTACAGAACAGCCTTTGGGTGGAGAGAGAAAGACTTGCTGTCATAGAGGACATTTCCTCATTAGTGAAGGCAAGGAAAGGAAGAACTGCAAAACCTCTTTCAGCAGGAAACCACTGCCTGCATGTCTTGAGAATTTTAGCATTTCCGCTCTTGTATTTTTCTTGTGAGTGTGGGTTTTAGCATCCACTAATTACAGCATCCCTGAATTTTATTCCTTCGCTAGGCATTATATGTAAGTAAAGGGAAGCTGTGCTGGGCTTTCTGGAGGGCCCAGGCATTCCTCATAGCACTTGTAGTTACCTAAGCTCTCTTAGTGTTTCCATTTGTAAAATCCATCTTTTGCTGATTTGTATTTTCGCTCTAAGGATTCTTTGTTTCATGGGCTTAGTGTTTTTCTGAGCTTCATGTCCTCGGTATTCTCGGAAACGTGAATATTTTGAAATACACTGTTAAGAATGAAAAAGGATTTCACCTGGCTAACTTTTTGTTAAGGTACAAAAAAAACAAAATTCACTTTTAAAATATATTTGTCAAGTGCCTGACATGTACACTATTTAAAGACGAGACATAAACATTGTTTTGATTACAGGGGAATAGACTCTGTGTGGTTTTATTGATTCAAAGGTGCATACTAATTGCTTTTTGATAGTTGCATTAACTTTGTATTTGGGAAGTTATTTCATCTGACTCCCTGAAACTTGCCCGAGGGTCCAGTAATCACTATTGTGCATATGGAGAGAAGCTAAAGAGAGTGACCAATGCCATCTAACCCTGTCTCCTCAAATCCTCGCACAGTGATGGAGGCATAGCAGGTGTTCAGAAAGTTGAAATGAATGAATGTGGCTTCTTTCCTTAATGTTCATGGAATTATTTAGAAAAAAAAGGAATCCTTGATTGACACTGGGTCTGTAAAAGCACAGCAGTGGGCTCCTTCCCATCACATCACCTCACCAAAGGTGGATTCTGAAAACTCTCCCAAGGCCCAGTCCCAGGATTCACCGGGCAGCCCTCACGACCTGCGCACTCACTGCAGAAGCTGCCTGAGAGAGCAAAGCCGGAGCCGCATGGTTCCCCCTGAGGAACGAGCGCAGCATCCGTCCAACGTGCCAACCTCAGACACGAGCTGGGCAGCGTTTTCAGATGCTGACAGCAGTTCGGTCTCATTAGAGACACAGATATTGTCATCAAAGTTCAAACAGGATCAGAGACAAACAGTTTGAAACATAACACTGAAAACGTGGCTGTGACTGCCAATTATTTCAAATAAGCCTCCTTTGTCTGGGTAGTTGGGATGCCCGCATTGGGTCATGAAAAGAAGAGATGCAGGGCTCAGAGCTCACAGTCTTCTGTGCGACCCCTTGGGTCAGGCTGTGTTATGTCAGACTGCAGTGTCTCGTCTCCTGAAGATTTCACGAATTCTGCAATTCCCCTACGCAGGGAACCCAACTTTTCATTCATGTTTATTTGCAGTAGATCTCAATCTGTGAGCTCTAGATAACGACAATAACATTTTCCTCACTTAAAAGGCAGATAAAAGCAGAAGTTTAGAGCATACAATGGCCCAATAAGTTTGAAAATGCAGTGTTAACAGTGTAAATTACTGTAGTGGTTAGTTGTTATAATTATTTTATTTCTAATTTACAGTACAGTTGGTTGAAAGTCTTACTCCCTCAGTAAACAATTAAGAAAGATTTTTCAACTTTTTATCCTCTTTAAACTTATATACATAAAAGAACGGTTGCATCTTATGGGAATATTTTATTTGAAGAAAATGTTAATAAATTAACTGACACCTTTAAATTATTCCTCGAGAAATCCATTCTCCTGGAATTAGAAAAAGAATTTTCCTTTTGCAGCTGGGGAATTTGCTAAATCTGCAGAGTCAAAGCAGAAATGAGGCTCAGTGATTCCCAATTCCATGGATTTGTCTATGAGACTTTGCTCCCTGCCTGGTGACTCTGGCAGACACTCCACTTGCCTACCCAAACTCAAATTTCCTTTCTTAGTAAGAGAACCCCATTTGCATCAGAAATGACAACATGCACAAGTGACAACTACATTTTCCAGCATCTGTTTCAGCCAGCTTGGTGAATGAGTGAGGCTTCAAGAAATGTTCGCATCTGCCTTATTGCTCTTGACCTGTTGGCTGCTGCTTCTTGCTAGAATGTGCGTGTGGGAGCTGAGGGTGCAGCAGCCATCTGGTAGGAGCCAAGTATGAGGGCATATGCCCAGGGTAGCAGCATAAAGACAGAAGGAGACTGAGACAGGGGTCATACAGTGGGCCCTTCAGAAAAGTCTTGATCTGCCTATATCTACTGTTTTCAGTAGAAAAAAATAAACCTTGTATTTGTTTAACCTGCAGTTATTCCAGTTCCTCCTACCAACTGAATACATTTCCTACCTGAAAAAGTGTCACAATGCAGTTCTCCAGTGAGTCAGAAAGATTAAGAAAAAGTGTCACAATGCAGTTCTCCAGTGAGTCAGAAAGATTAAGAAAATATTTTCTCTCAATTATTTATAAGATCGCTATTCTTAGAGTTTGCTGTTTGGAATAGAAAACCACCTGCCCATTCCAGTGCCTGGTTTGTTGATGTGGTACTCTCCTCTTCCACACTAGGCAGAGTTCTGGTCAGTTTTCACTTGCTCACCACCAAAGGCAAGTTCTTGGCCAACAGTCCAAGCGTTCAGAAGTTTGCTGCGATTGTGTATTTCTCATATGCTCCATAAAATCAGCATTGTTTCTCCTCCAGGTTGAACCCCTGGGATTCTGTTTGTCTTCATTACCCTGTATTTAAAGTGGAATATTCTGTGCTAACTTAACGAACATGTGATTTATAGCTGACAAAGTGTCCAACCACTGCCTGAGACAAGGGATTTTTCTCTACTGATTCAAAAATAATACTCTTTGGTAGAATATTGACACAGCATGACTTGCCCCTGGTGATGGAGACAGCGTCCCTGTCACTGTTTTGCCGAACACCTTTAGCTTTTCTCTATTCCCCTAAACAGGCTTTACAGAGAGGGCACAACATGAAAAAAATTACAACCGGTGGTGGCACAAAAAACGTGGTGCTTAGCCAACACTCATGATATTAAATAGTGGTGAGGCAATTTACTAAAATATTCATTTGTCTGTGTCGTCTTCGTTTTTTCCCTCCACGCCCCTCAACCTAGCACTAATCCCTCCTTCTTGAAATTTTAGGAGCTGGGGTGTCTTTTAGAAAGTAGAAGCTTTCGGCTGGGCACGGTGGCTCATGCCTGTAATCCCAGCACTTTGGGAGGCCGAGGTGGGTGGATCACGAGATCAGGAGATTGAGACCATCCTGGCTAACATAGTGAAACCCTGTCTCTACTGAAAATACAAAAAATTAGCTGGGCATGGTGGCACACGCCTGTAATCCCAGCTACTCGGGAAGCTGAGGCAGGAGAATCGCTTGAACCCGGGAGGCGGAAGTTGCAGTGAGCCAAGATCGTGCCACTGCACTCCAGCCTGGGTGACAGAGTGAGACTCTGCCTCAAAAAAAAAAAAAAAGAAAGAAAAAAAGAAAAGAAAAGAGAAAGGAAAGTAGAAGCTTTTAATTTCTATTTGTTACTCTACCCCTCTAACTAAATTCCTGTTGGAAGTTAGAGGCACTTATTGTCTTTTATGGAGGCTGAAATGAACTGAGATTAGGGAATGTCCCGAAGGAAGGGAAGAAAGGACTTGGCCTTTAAAGGCCTCAAGAGGGAGAGATTTTCTAACAGATGAGATAGAGCTGGGACACTATTTGTGCTATGAATAGTTGGTGGGACCCCTGAGGGTTAGCTGTGTAATGCCCCTAGAGACGGTGCCCCCTCGAGGTGTAGGTGCCCCAGCCTCTCTGGGGACTCCCAGAGCCAAGTATGGCAACAAGCAGTAGAGTCCCCAGACCTGAAGGTAATTTAGAGAGAGTCGATAATGGACTACATCTGTCCTAATGCCTGGGACCTCCCTTCAATCCTAGCCTAGACCGGTGTCAGGACCTTTGCATGACAGGAATAGAGCTCAAGGAAGCAAGCAAGCAGGGATGATTTGGGTTTCATTTCCTGTCAGTCCAATGGTTGAACTCAAATTTGAGCTGACTTAAACAAGAAATGTGATCATTCCTCCCTCTGACTTCTTGGACTAAGATTGTCCACCTACTGTATTATAGATGAAAATGAAATAAAAGATATGCAAACATAGATCTTGCAGACATGACAGGAAGTCCGTCCACCCTGGTGCATTTTCTCTCTACTCGTGCCTGTTTTCATATCAGGTGAAGAGGGATCATCTTGTCATAACTCAAAGCCTAAAGTAGCTAAAAGTTATTTAGCCCTTTGCTAATAGGAAGTTCTATTTTCATCTTTAAAATAAACCTTCTGGCCAGGCGCGGTGGCTCATGCCTCTAATCCCAGCACTTTGGGAGGCTGAGGCGGGCGGATCACGAGGCCAGGAGTTCGAGACCAGCCTGATCAACATGGTGAAACCCCATCTCTACTAAAAATACAAAAATTAGCCGAGTGTGGTGGTGCATGCCTATAATCCCAGCTACTCAGGAGGCTGAGGCAGGAGAATCGCTTGAACCTGGGAGGCGGGGGTTGCAGTGAGCCAAGCTGGCGCCACCACACTCCAGCCTGGGTGAAAGAGTGAGACTCCATCTCAAAATAAATAAATAAATAATAAAATAAAATAAAATAAACCTTTAATATTTTAGTATACATTGCGTTACTCCTGAAGGAGATCTCTCCTCATTAGAGCACTGTGTTATTTTCTCATAACTCAGAGTCCTGCCTTTATTCCCTTGTTCTGTAATGCCAATGCTTGGGCATAGAATGCACACTGAAACAAGCAATTTGTATTAAGAAATGTACATTTATTGGTGCTGGCAATTCAGGATATGGTAGCAATAGTGATAAAATAAATTGCAAGGTGGCAGTAATCTACGAGTTTTACTGAGGTTTCAAGACAATATTCAAGATAGGAAACAAGTAGCTTGTCATAAAGTATAATTTGTTATGTAGATTAGAACTGTCAATTTTGAGATGGAGAAAAAAGAGAAATGAGGTGAAACTGTCTCTGTTTTGCCTAGAAATAATTCTTTCTAATGATTTGAACTAAAGCAAGCGAATCCGTTATTACCTCCACTGTATAGGATGGAACAAGAAACAGGAGGAAGAAACATGACGCTCTTGAATGGGGCTCATGTCCCTTACAAAATTGAATGTGCATTAAGTGCAATATGCATGTGAGTGTATACTTGTTTTCCATAGGAGGGACAGTTCTATTTAAGTAAAACCCAGTTCCAAGGCAAAGTGTTTAATTTAAATTCAGTCTTCTTACTAACAATTAGGGTAAGTGAATTAAATGAAATTAAGTCTGATTTGGGACAGGTTCTCCATTTCAGCTTCCTGGTAAACACTGCGCTTGGTTTGTTTGCTGAGAGGCTGGGAACACTGGCACATTTAATCTCAGCACTGGTACTCAGGGAACGCTAGCAACCCCGGCCACTCCTTGGTAATCAGTATCTTACAATGACAACTGGCTGGTGACAGGAATCTTTTAACCACAGAAACCAATGCAAGAATTAGAAAACAGAAAACACTCTTAAATATGGCTGCATTTTTTAGGCTTTCTAGGCCTTCTGGAATTTCCTTTGGCAATTTGTACATATCAAAACCTGCATTTCCTGGGCGAGAGTTCACAGAGACCCATGGCAAAAAGCCTAGTTACATCATGCCATTTGAAACCAGTTTGTGGACAGTTGGTATTTCAGAGCCAACCCTGTTTTATCATTAAAAGAAAAATCTCAGCACCTTGTGTAAGATAAATTAAAAGGCATGTTTATCAAGAAAGAGCTAGAATTTTCATAGTACAGTATCTGATAAAAAATTGGGAGCAGACTTTAAAACCCGATGGTGCCACAGCTTGACTAGCGTTCTCTGAGACCAGAACCAGAGGTCACATTATCGAGGACTAAAGAAAAATATAACGTGCTTAAAGTGGAAGGAAACGTCTAAAAGTTAGGCTAAGAGTGCCTTGAAAATGTCCTGAGTGGATGAACTCATTCCTTTAGGAAGGATGTTCTTGAAATGGTGTTCTGTACGTTTCCGTGTTCCCATTCCAGAACTTAATACCCGTTAAAGCCTATAGATCTCCTAAGTCTTTCAGGTTTTGTTCTTATTTTTGTTGTTGTTTTTTAACCAGTTCTCAAGGGAGACCGGTAATAATACATCTGCTGATTTTAGGTCTGAGGTTTGCATATGACACTTCAACCAGGAGGATGATTTCCAATAGAGTTAAATTAGTGGGTGTTGATGAGGATGGGGGAGTGGGGCAAGGAGTGGAAGCCAGCAGGTAGATGCAGCAGCCACAGTGGAGTCCCTGAAATTCCCGCCCCTTGTTCCTGTGCAGGGGGCCGCGGTGCGCTGTTGTCACCGCACCTCTTAACGTTTCCGTCACTTGAGTTGGAGGTTGATAACTAAACTTATGTGAACTATTCTCTTTGAATAATAAAGGGAACTCTAAATTACTCCATCTTGGCAGCCATATCAAAGACAGGAAAACGCAACAGAAAGATGCCCATGGTAATGTCGAAACTGAGCTTTCATTTTGGGAGCTGGGAAGGTAGCAAGAATATGGACCAGGCGGGGCAGGTAAAGATTGAGCCCAAAGCATCGGCTCCTCCTCTTCTGCTGTCCGCCCCTCCCGTTCATCCTTCCCCCATTCTCAGTACACACAACCCACCGTCCAGGATATGCTTTTCTTTTTCTTTTTTTTTTGAGACAGAGTCTCACTCTATCGCCCAGGCTGGAGTGCAGTGGCTTCGTCTCAGCTCACTGCAAATTCTGCCTCCTGGGTTCAAGCAATTCTCTTACCTCGGCCTCCCAAGTAGTTGTTATTACGGGCACCTGACACCATGCCCGGGTAATTTTTTGTGTTTTTAGTAGAGACAGGGTTTCACCATGTTGGCCAGGCTGGTCTCGAACTCCTGACCTCAAGCAATCTGACTGCCTTGGCCTCCCAAAGTGCTGGGATTATAGGCGTGAGCCACCGCACCCGGCCGTTCAGTGATCTATTTGCTCTTACCAAGGCGTTTTCTCTTAGTAAACTGTTAAATAATTCTTTGCCTGCCTCCACTTCCCAAATCTTTAAAATTAAATTTGATGAAGCAAATATAGTGATAGTGGTGATGATTTCAAATCTTCAAATGTAATAGTAAGTTTCAGCTGGATGTTTCTATCCTAGTTTTTTGCTTTATAGAAAAGTTTACAAATCAGCATGTAAAAGTCTTACTGTACAAGTAATAAACGGAGCATCACAAAAATAAACGTGGTCCTTTAATTCTAAGAGACCACTTCTTTTCAGGGCTTTTAATCTCTTTCTTTGAATCTAATGTTTAGTTGTGGGGAAAATTCAATGTGATATTCTTTGCTTCAAAGGTATTTTGTTGGTGGCATGAGTGTTTTTCTTGAGGTATGTTTTTGCCCTTCTGTTACACTCCGGCTTTTTATAGTATAATGAGAACAATGACCTCATTCTCTCCAGTTGATAGTAATAATGGCACACTTTTTATAACTTGAAAAGGCATCTGCTTATTGATAAGAGAGTTAAAATTAACTATAACACAAGAGTTAGCCATTGCATACTTCACCTTATCTTGCAGACCACAATAAATAGGATGGAAAACATGGAAAGCTTGTGGTTAATCTTTGTAAATAATAATCTGTGTTCCTGTAGAGACCTTTATCTTCTTTTTATGCTTTATTTCATAGCTAAAAAATTAAAGAACCCCATATTGTTAAATATAGCCCTTTCTAAATTGTACAAACAACACTAAAATGGGGAGAAAATTAAAGGCTTATAATGAAGAGGTTATATTTAATTCACAATCATAGCATTTGATAGATTAATAAAAATGTAAAAATGGACAAGCTGATTTTTCACACTTTGGAGGTGACACACATCTTCCACCTAGGTCCACACTCCAATTACAGTTTCTGAGTATGTCTGCTTAGAAATCATAAAAATACCATTAAAACTGGAGGTTTAATTCTAAACAAGAAGAAGGATGATAAATGAATTTAAAGACCCTGGCAAGATAAAAAACTTGAAAACTGAATAATGAAAATAATCCTATGCAATAGCACTGGTATTTCTAAACTAATCTGTGAAATAACTCAATTCTAAACAAATAAGAAGACAGTATATTAAACATGTGGTCTTTTGTTTATGAATTAAAGCTGTGAGTATATTGAATTGGAGATAGTGATAAATTCCAGAAGGAAATAAGCATAGGACGTTGCACAGTACTGTAATGATCCATCCATGTACCTGTCTCCCTAACTGAATTAAAATATCCTTATAGGACTGCATATCATTTTTATCTCTTTTTCAACCTCAGTACCCGACATTGCCTGGCACACACAGGCACTCAATAAAGGTCTATATTATACACATTGTTGAAAGAAGGCAGATCCCATCATTCCTATTCTAGGCCACTGCTCTTTAAAAATGTTTAATGCCGTGTTTCCCCTAATGTAAAAATGCAAATCCAGGTGGAGGGACGTGCCTTTAGTCTAATTAGCATGGTATACCTTAACATAATAATTTAAGGTTCTTGAGAGCTTCTCAAGATTCCTTCCGTGTCCCACCTCTCCACTGGCCTGGCGTGCAGTGCATTGGCACAGGCAGGGATGAGGGGGCATAGAGGTAGGCACTAGACCCGTGAGCAGGTTTGACTACAAGAGTCCCAGGGGCTCTACAAGAGAAGGCGGATGGGTACTAACAAATTGTACCAGCTGCCCAACTGTAATTATGTTCAGGCTTAACCACCAATCCAGAGGTGTCAGGTGTATTTGAGGAGGGAAGACAGCCCCACCACCACCCTCAGTGGAGGGGAAACAAGAGGGGGACCTGAGGTTGAAGGGCAGAGGAAGAAGAGGCAAGCTTCCTCACACCAGGGCAAAAATGATCATGTAACGTGGAACATTCATCCAGGAAATATGTATTTCTTGCATATTGTGTGTGAAATACTATTAACTGTTTGAAAAATACATCACAGGCAGTGGCTGCCTTCAGTGAGCTAAGAGTTTTGTAAAGAAGTCAAGGGCTTAGTTAAGTGCACCGCAAGGTAAGCAGTGATCTCAGCCACCAGAGGGATCTAAGTGGACCTTGTGTTTAGGAGGAGAAATTCCCTTGGCAGCCATGCCATCATGGCGAGCCTGGACTCCCATCTTGGGACCCACCAGTTCACAGTCCTTACTGTAAAATAAATGCAATTTGCTCAAAGTCAAATATATCCTGTCGCTCTCATGCCTCTACAACCTGTCAGTAGCCATTCTTCATTGCTTTTCACATCACTGAAACCCCATACCATGTCCTACAAGGCTCAAGGCCCTGCAGAATCTGCCTGTGTGCAGTTTGAAGCTGCAAAGCCTGGCACCTTCACACCGGATCTGTAGTCACGGCCCAACACCTACTGGGTCCCCCTGTTGCTGTTGCTCTTAGTAATGCTTCTCTCTCTCTTTTGCACTTGCAAGCACACACACACACACATATACATACACTGTTTTTTATTCAATTTGTATAGTGTTTCTGGAAATTTTCTTCCTCTGCATACTCTCTACTCCGGTAGTTGCTGTGGTTGTAATGCTCTCCTCCCTGCTCCCAGCACCTTGTTCATGCCACCGTCATCTCTCATCCGGACTATTGCCAGCCTTGCCCAGCTTCCAGTTGCCCCCTAGTATCAAGTATCCACACAGCAGGCAAAGTGTTGTCTATAAAATAGAAGTCAGGGCTGGGCGCAGTGGCTCACGCCTGTAATCCCAGCACTTTGGGAGACTGAGGCAAGTGGATCATGAGGTCAGGAGTTCAAAACCAGCCTGGCCAAAAACCCCATTTCTGTTAAAACTACAAAAATTAGCCAGGCACAGTGGCAGGTGCCTGTAATCCCAGCTACTTGGGAGGCTGAGGCAGGAGGATCGCTTGAACCTGGGTGGCAGAGGTTGCAGTAAGCCAAGATCGCACCACTGCACTCCAGCCTGGCAACAGAGTGAGATTCCATCTCAAAAAAAGAAAGAAAAAAAAAAAAATAGAAGTCAGATCTTTTTCCACCCCTTTAATTAAAATGCATCTGGAATAAGATCCAGATTCCTCTCTGGGACCTCTAAAGCACTCTGTTAGCTGCCTGCCTTCTTTCTCCTCCTCCAGCCTCATCATTTGAATCCTTCCTGTCCTCCCACCTACACTAGCTTCCTTTTGGTCTCTCAAGCACTCAAAACACATTCTGACTGCACAGACTCACACATTCCGTATGCTCATGTAAACCAAAAATAAAATTCTAAGCCCCCCACCCGACTGATGGACCCCACCCCCCATTTTCAGCGAAGGACATTCCAAAGAAACCTTCACCTTCAGCCAAGGGCATTCCAAAGAAACCTGAAAACATTCGTTCAGGCCACAGTGGGAAGTGGAAGTTGAACATCCCTCCTTATACCCTCCTACCTTTGGAGTTCAGGCACTGACCAGCATGAACATTAAAACAGAAATCTGCCGACAAAACAGACTGTTTATAGCAATGATGCCAACAAGATAGACAGCAGGCCCTGAAAGAAGTTGAAGTATTTTACCCCAAAATGTATTTCTTTGACATCTTTTGAAATGGCCCAGCAAAGCTGTCTCATGGGGAAAGTCTGCATTCTACAGAGAACCCCTTTCCCTTTCCATGATCCAAGAGAGAATAAGCTAAGAGTCTGGCATCTTTTTAAGTCTGATAAGGAACATTTACCACCTACTGTCTCTGAAGCTTGCTACTGGAGGCTTCACCTTGGTTTCCACGACCTCTTATCTTCACCCAGACCCTCCTTTCTATTGAGTCCAGGTGTTTAGATAATAACCTAACTTTTTCAACCAACTGCCAATCAGAAAGTCTTTGAATCCACCTGGAAGCCTCCCACCTTCGAGTTGTCCCACCTTTCCAGACTGAACCAAAGTACACCTTATATGTCTTGATTGATGTCTTATGTCTCCCTAAAATGTATAAAACCAAGCTGTAGCCCAGCCACCTTGGGTACATGTCCTCAGGACCCCCTGAGGCTGTGTTATGGATTATGGTCCTCACATTTGGCTCAGAACAAGCCTCTCCAAATATTTTACAGAGTTTGACCCTTTTCACCAACACCAAGAACATTCTTCTCGCAGATGCTCCCACAACTCTTCTGTTGAATGGGGCTTCAGCGTGAGTGCCAGTTCCATGTGAGGCCCTTTCTAACCAGCCAAGCTAAAGCCAGCCCTCAGGCACTGCTTTGTCACGTGCTCTCTTTATTGTCTGCATGGCACTCATTATCGAAATTGTCAACTATTAATTTGTTTACTTGTTTGTTTATTTACCATCATCCTCTGCTCTGGAATGCAAGCTTGTTAGGAAGAAAAACCATATCAACCTTATTCATCCAGTAGCTGGTGCAGTCTTTGAGACTTATAGGGTTCAACAGTTGCTTCCCGAATAAATGAGCCAGTTTTCTTTCTCTTGCTCTTCTCCATCTCCATTTGCTCATTATATTTTGTGTGATCCTTTTTCGTATGTAGTGGAAAGTTTTCTGGAACCTGCACCTGCTTATACAATTACAAGTGACCTTTTATGTATGGACCACCTTTAAGCAACCTCCAATGTTAAAAAGGAAAAATATGTTAATAATAAATTATGGAAGGATCTTGAGCATATTGTTAAAAATTTAAATACTTAGTGTCATGTTTACTTACCATTCATCTCTCTGCATGACTCACAGTGTTTGCTTCTTTACCTGTTCATTGTCTCTAAGCACCTGCTTTTGGAACTAATTGCCATCAGCACCTTAGTTTTTTGTTGATTATGCATTCCCTGTAGCTCCAAGTTTCTATTGCCTCTGCCATATGCTCCCATTTATTCACCATCTTTTATAGGTCACCCATTGTGCCCTGGGCGGTGAGAAACAAAGGTGACTTAAAAATGATCCCTGACCTCAGGAGGCTTACAAACTACTAAAGGAGATGGGTACATAAACCAGCAAAAACAATATGTATCATAGGGTCTAGAATACACATATTTATGGGGAATCATGGGGGCCCAAACAAGAGAGAGTGGTCAATTTTCCATGAGAATGAGGGAGTCAGGAATGCTTTAGGGAAGAGTGATCTTGCAGAGGAGAACAGACGTTCCTAGCAAGGAAGCGAGACTGGCAAAGGCTGGAGTTGTAAAATCGCCCAGCACTTTGAGGAACTGCACAGAGTGTGGGAAACGCAGGGTGTGAGGGAAGTGGATTAAGAGATAAGAGAGAGGCAGGCACAGCGTGGAGGAGCAGCTGGGAGGATAAGGTATGCTCTGCTGAAATATTTCAGTTTTGTCTCATGGGAAAAATAACCACTGAAAGTGTTTATTTTCTACCCTAAGGAATCCCAAGAAAGTCACAGTCCATTCACAGAATGAATTCTTTGTCTTCAAGTTTTCCGACTGAAATAAGTCCCGTTATGGCCATTAGTATATGTTTTTAAAGACCCAGCAGAAACCTCCTTACAAACAATAGACTCCTTAACCTCCAACAAGCCAAGTATGTTGTTGTTTTCTTGGCAATTTCCTGCAACATTTTTCTCATGCTTGTTTTCGACTAGCCTTTTGGGTTCACCAAAACCTTGTATATACTCATTATATTGTGTAAGTGGACTACAATCTCAAAAATGAGAAAATTTCAAAGGTTTTACAGGAACTAATAAATAATCAGTAATTTCAAGGCATCAATAGAGACTGTTGCAAATCTCCAGACTCCTGTTGATGTTCTTAGCCTGATTTTGCTTTTACTGCAAGAAATAAATGAAGTTGTCACAAGGAAAGAAAATGAAAAGTTGTCACATTTTTTCCATACCTTTTAGATTTTCTCAAATTATTACAAAGATAATGTTCATGAAGCCAATTAATTCTTTAGTTAAAACGTGTTCAGTTTTATGTTTAAAAGTAGATTTTGATCTTAATCATCATGGTAGGTGATGTGGGTTTCTTTAAGCCTTGTCTGTGTCTCTCCCTTAGTGGCCCACTATGAACTTGCTTAAGAGATGTCAGTGCTTATGGCAACCTCAGCTAAAAGGCACCTGGTGGAAAGGAAATGTGGCAAATGGCAATCTGAAATACCCAACATGTGCTAAGCATCTTATTTTACCATGATTTTTTTCTGCTGCATAAGGGAGAAAGGGGAGAAAAAGTGAGATTTAAAAATACAAAATTAAGTGGTTATCTTAGTTTGTTTTCTGTTGTTCTAATAGAATACCAAGACAGAATGATTTATAAAGAATTGAGGTTTATTTAGCTCACAGTTCTGGGGGCTGGGAAGTCCAAGACTGGTGAGGGCCTTCTTCTTTACATGGTGAGAAAGCAAGAGCTTTGGAGCTCAAGTCTCTCTTCCTCTTCCTATAAAGCCAACTACTGGGGGAACCAGCCCCCAATATTTCAACGTAGGTTCTTTTCTATTTTCCCTAAGTGTCAGCCGGTCTGAGAAATAGAGAGAAAGAGTACAAAGAGAGAAATTTTACAGCTGGGCCTCCAGGGGTGCCATCGCATATTGATAGGACCGTGATGGAGACCTCGAGCTGCAAAACCAGCGAGTTTTTATTAGGGATTTTGAAAAGGGAGGGGATGTATGAACAGGGAGTAGGTCACAGAGATCACATACTTCAAAGGGCAATAAAAGATCACAAGGCAAAGGCAGAGCAAGATCACAAGGCAAGGGCAAAATTAGAATTACTGATGAGGGTCCATGTCCTGCTGGGCATGCACTGTCTTGATAAACATCTTAACAGGAAACAGGGTTTGAGAGCAGACAACTGGTCTGACTAGAATTCACCGGGCTGGAATTTCCCAATCCTAGTAGGCCTGAGGGCACTGCAGGAGACCAGGGCGTATTTCATCCCTTATCTCAACCGTATAAGACAGACACTCCCAGAGCGGCCATTCATAGACCTCCCCACAGGAATGCATTCCTTCCCCATGGTTATTCCTTGCTGGGAAAAGAATTCAGTGATATTTCTCCTACTTGCTTTCTGCAAGAAGGAAAATATGGCTCTATTCTGTCCAACCCCACAGGCAGTCAGACCTTATGGTTATCTTTCCTTGTTCCCTGAAAATCACTGTTATTCTGTTCTTTTTCAGGGTGCACTGATTTCATATTGTTCAAACACCCATGTTTTACAATCAGATTTCATATTGTTCAAACACACATGTTTTACAAACAATTTGTACAGTTAACACAATCATCACAGGGTCCTGAGGTGACATACATCCTCAGCTTACGAAGATGATGGGATTAAGAGATTAAAGTAAAGACAGGCATAAGAAATTATAAGAGTATTGATTGGGGAAGTGATAAGTGTCCATGAAATCTTCACAATTTATGTTCAGATACTGCAGTAAAGACAGGCATAAGAAATTATAAAAGTATTCATTTTGGGAACAATGTCCATTAAATCTTCACAATTTATGTTCTTCTGCTGCGGGTTCAGCAGGTCTCTCCATTCAGGGTCCCTGACTTCCTGCAACAGCCACCAGTCCATCATCATGGGAGCCCCATACTAACGACCTTATATAATCCTAGTTACTTCCTGTTATGGTCTGGCTCTGTGTCCAAAACCCAAATCTCATCTTGAATTATAATCCCTATGTGTTGAGGAAGGGACTTGGTGGGAGGTGATTAGATCATGGGGCAGTTTCCCCCAAGCTTTTCTCATGATAGTGAGGGAGTTCTCATGAGAGCTGATGATTTCAGTGTGGTACTCCCTCGCTTTCTCTTACACGCTCTCTCCTGCCACCTTGTGAGATGTGCCTTGCTTCTCCTTCATCTTCTATGATGATTCTAAGTTTCCTGAGGCCTCCCCAGCCAGGCAGAACTGTAAGTCAATTTAAACCTCTTTCCTTTATAAATTACCTAGTCTTGAGTATTTCCTTATAGCAACCTGAGAATGAACTAATATACTTCCCAAAGGCCCCATCTCCAAATGCCATCAACATATGAATTTGGGGGTTAAATTTCCACCACATTAAATTTGGGGCATATTTCAAACCATAGCCATAGTAAAGGAAAATAGAATATTTTAACTTATGATCCTTTTTTAAAAAAAGTTACTGGAGATGCTTTAATGCTATCAAAAATCTAGAGATTTATAAAGCTCACAAAGGATTTAGCTGTAGGCAAGATAGTGGGGTCATAAATGTGGGAGTTTCAGGGAAGAAGTGACTTCTATTGTGTGTCTCCTACATGCCAGGCAGAGGTGTAGGCATATTAATTCTTAATCTTATTTATTATTTGCTATAATTTTGGATGGCAGTCAGATGGTATTCTTGGGGTTTTACCTAAAAGGAAGCAAAAACTCAATGAGTTAAGAAACTCGCCCTGGTCACATAGAGCTGTGTGGGAAGAATGAAATTAGAATCTGGCCTGATCATGAAACCCATGATCTTTCTACTGCATGACACTGCTTACTGTAAACTAGGAACATCCTAGTTAAGATGCATGCTTTAAATTGAACATTGGACTAAATGAATAACAGAACGGAATGTGAGAAATGCACTGATTTGAACTCCTGTGTTTGTTTGAATCATATACATTTTCAGAAACAGCTAAATTTGAGTGGAAAATACAACAGTGTTGTAATCCAAAATGTCAGTTTATACCTGACTTAACATTTATTGTGCTATGTGCTGAGAATCCCAAAGGCACATTTAATTTTATTAAACACAGTGATTCATTCCATAAACCTAACAGCCAAGGCAGTGCCTTGTCATCTTTTGACAACTTACCATAGTTTACTTCAAGTAACTAAAAGAACATGGCATCTTCATGCTAACTAGGGTCCCAGATGTAAATGACAACAGCAAACATCTTAGATAGGATGTGTGGTGGTGAAGGAAGACTTTGGTGCGTAATAAGTTATATGATGGATTTGGTGGGAGTCCCAGTATCTTATGAGGGTACAGACACATGGTTTCTATTCTGTCTTAATTCCTGGTGATTCTTCAGTGTTTGTATTTACCAAAGATAAATAGACCTTTCTTACTTTGCTTTTAGAAAATGCTTTCCCGAATGGTTTTTCAGAGAAGAAAATTTGTTACCAGATCAATGTACTTAAGGAAATGAAAAGCCCTTGATTAGCAGCCAAGGAGCCTCCTAATGAAATGACATTTCCCTCCAGGGATTTCAAGTGGTTAATAAAATCTAGTGTTCTCGGTGTAAAGTGCTTATGTTTGCTATGTCTGCTATGTGCTGTTCTGAGGTACACTCATAAACATTGATACATTAAGTGGAGCCCCAAAATAGATGAATGTGTGTGTCCACGTATGTACTGGAGCAGAAGCTTTATCTACGTCTCACACCTGAGTTGTGTAGTTGAAGGTAAATTTACCCTATGCACAGCTTCAAATGAACTCTTCATAAACCTGACGCCTTCAGAGGGGAAGGCCTCACTTACTAACCTGAAAACAGCAATAGCTCCTAAAATCCTGAGGAGAATGTAAGACTGTATTTCAAGGAAAAACTATGCCCTGGACCAGACAAAGCAATTAATGCTTGGAGAAACTAATAGTCTCTGATGGTTTCTACAGAGGCAAATAAACCATTAGACTGGTCTTTATTATTATGTCATTTAAGTGTGTATATAAATATATAACGAGATTATTGTCTTTATGATGTCTTCATATAAATGTGTGTATATAAAATGCTCTTATTTTAAGTCTTAGAAACCCACTAATTCTAGTGGAAAGCATTTTAATGTTACAGGAGAGTTTCACAGCACTCAAGGGCAAGGATGCATTTGGAATCAGGGACTAGCACGTTCTCTCTCAGTAAACTAACTAAGGCTCTCTCTCTCTCTCTCTCTCTCTCTCTCTCTTCTCTATTTCTCTTTGTGCAGCTTCTTCATTCCTCTTTCTTGTGGGGATTTCTGTAGCCTCCACAAGAATTGCTAGTTGGGCATCTTTCCCATTAAGAGAAACACTTTGAGAGTAGAATCTCTTAACTTCAAATGCAGATTCACAGTAGACAGATTTCATTCTATTAAAGCATTGTGATTCATTTCACAAACTGAATAACCAAGGCAGCGCTTTGTCATCTTTTGACAAAGAACCATACTATACCCTAAGCGACTGAAAGAAAACAGTATTCAATGCTAAGAATATCCCATATGTGAATTACACCAACTGTGTTCCTTGCCTGGCTTCAGACATCTGCCGTTCCCTGAGACAGTGAGCTGTAGCCAGGAGCATGTCACTGGGCCAGTCTAATGATACGAGGACAGGCTTACTTCCCCTCAAGAAGAAGATGTGGTGAAGAAGTTCCATTTTTCTACTTCAGTGACCTCTTAGAGTTAGATTTTAGTTCAAATGGGACCACTGCATTTCGTAGCCAAGCTTAAAAATGAACAATTATTACTGTTAGTCTTTTTCATATTTCCTGTGAATTTGTCCCTGCCTAGAATGTCCACTCCGCCACCCCCTTGCTGACCCATCACTCACCACCTCCAGAGCTCAGCTCAGGTGCTGCTTCCTCTGGGCTGACTTCCTCAACCACTCCCCTCTGTACTTCCATGACACCTGATTGTTCATTCTTTAAAGAAACGCTTGTCACACTCTTTAGTATAGAACCTGTTTGAAGACTGTAATGGATGATTCACGTATGGAGTATTTCATTTCAGAGACTATTCTTAAACTCTGACTCCTATAAGTAACCAGAGTAACATGTGAATAACACATCTTTATTTCCTTCATCCATTTGGTGTTCACTGAAAGCTTTACCAAAAGTCCCAGACACAAAGACTTCATAGTTTTGCCTTCATTTTAGTAAATACAAAAATGATTTTCCCTCTGTTTCTTCCTCAAAACTCATTCCAGGTTCTTAGACAATCAGCTCCATTTAAAAAAATTATTTTGGAACACTCGCCATGTTTCTACTCCAAGTCTGAGGCATAATATTTTATGCATTTCTTTTATAATACCATATACACATATCTGGGAGAATGTTTGAGAACTTTTACAAATACAATATAGAGAAACAAAGTTTGCACTTATAGCTCACATTAAAAATAAGTTTGCATATTTCTCCCCAAAACTGGGCAGAAGGTGTACCTCATTGGTGTATCCCTCTCATGTTCTCCTTTTTATACTCACAAGAAAGAAAGCATTATCCAGCTGCCCTAATTGGCCCCCGTGTGAATAGCTATCCCAAGTACATTTCTTGGGGTGCATTTGGGGTGTCGTAGAAATTCTGTATATGAACGAACTAGAAGAAGCCGAGATCATGCCTTAAAGAATACCTCAAAGATAGCATACTTCCTGCTTATATATATATGTATTTGGAAAAGGATACATACTTTGTCCTATAAAACATTGTAGAAGTGGTTTTATTTCTTTTAGCTTTGATGTTTCATCCATAAAATAAGCCTCATCATACCTCACTCCCCAGATGGTTGTGATGGTCGCTATTATTTATCTGAAACTCCAAGCATATATTATCATTTCCTTCCCCTTTTTCTTCAAGTTAAGGATGGCACTGAGAAGCCAGCTCAGGGTCACCACTAGACATGTGCAGGGAGAAGGTATTTTACATGCTGTACATACACATACTCATCTCCTGTATATTTGTGGGAGTTTATTTCCACTAACCCACTCCCATCACTTATATTTAAAGTGTAGTGACCTTCATGATTTCCTCAGGACCCCTGCAGGGTGGCAGGCACAAAGGGAGAGTGAACACCAGGACCAAGGGGTCAAACAGAGACCCAGCATCCTCAAGTGGTGATTTGCGTGGTGGTAAATGATTTAAAGCACTGTTTTTATGTTAATTCAAGTAAACAAAAAGAGAAACCACAAAAACATTGTGTGCCAACTCTTCCCAGACACCATGGTTTCAGTCCACATGCCTCTACTCTTGGGGTCGTGGGTGGACTTGAGAAGCCCGCTCTACTGAATATTAGAAAGAGCTGTGAGCAGAATAACCTACCGCAGAGGCTAGAATTTGGCAGCCCACAAATTCCATCTGAAGTGCAACTCGAATGTGGAAATCAGTTTTTCTCTTTAAAATTTTTCCTATCATTCAAGGAAATCTCTAGAAAGCTACAGCCATATCAAAACCGTGGAACATAACACTACAAAACAACCAAATGACCTGAGTTTTCTAGGATAGACTCAAATTAAAATGTTCCCATGAATATGATTGTATTTGTCAGAGTATGGACTCCATTTTTTGGTTGGTGACCTTACCTATACCTATGGAAGAAGCATATGATCTGGGACTAGAGAGAATAGTATCTCACTCTGCAGATACCAGTCTAGAATAAGAGGTAGCATTGAGGTTGGTGAACCTACAGCAATGGGCTGAAAGCGCTAGTCCTTAAGCTATTTTCTGTTTCATCCTGCCTGAGAGATGAGTGACTTAGTGGCCTTAACAGAGGGTGTGTTAGAATGTAAAAAATAGGAGCCGAATTTACAGTTTTAGAGAGTGCCCTGGGGATGTTTACAGGGATCGGCTGCCTGTAGCTGTGTTGACTCCATGGATTTTTGTTGCTATGCTAAACGTATTAAAAGCTTTGAATTATTGTACCCTGAAAGGATTTGTTCATTCATCAAACAATTATCTTCTGGTATAAGCTAAGCTCTATGTTATGCAAGGGTCCCTGTTACATACATGAAGTTTTTCTCTACAGTCTTATATTAGTCAGGGTTCTGTAGAGGGACAGAACTAATAGGATACATATATGGGAGTTTATTAAGTATTAATTTACACAGTCACAAGGCCCCACAATAGGCTGTCTGTAAGCTTGAGGGGTAAGGAGAGCCAGTCTGAGTCTCAAAACTGAAGGACTTGGAGTCTGATGTTCGAGGGCAGGAAGCATCTAGCATGGGAGAAAGATGAAGGCTGGGAGGCTAAGCCAGTCTAGTCTTTTCACATTCCTCTGCCTGCTTTTTATTCTGGCCGTGCTGGCAGCTGATTAGATGGTGCCCACCCAGATTAAGGGTGGGTCTGCCTTCCCAGCCCACTGACTCAAATGTTAATCTCCTTTGGCAACACCCTCACAGACACACCCAGGATTAACACTTTGCATTCTTCAAGCCAATCAAGTTGGCACTCAGTATTAACCATCACAAGTCTTTTACACGATGTAATATATATATATGTGAATATGATTTTAAAAAAATCCCAAAAGGACAGCTTGTAAGTGCAACCCCTTGCTTATTCCTGTCTCATAGAGATGACCGTGAGTCAATCCACCTTTCCTTTATAATCATATTATTATATTTCCTTAAAGGAACGTAAAAGAATATGGAACCACTTTAAAAAATACCTGTTTCTAAATAAACTTGTAAACACCAAATCATGGTCTTTGTGGTAGTTGAAGGTGAATTTCTTCATGTCTGGGAAGATACAGGTTTTCCGAGTTTAACAATAGCCATGTCAGAGGCAAAATATGAAAGATAAGCTACTCATCTTCTCCACTCTAAATGATTTTTAACAAGTGCACCTGGTATCAGCCGAGGGTCCCCAGAGAATATATGTTTTATACATAAATATGGAGATTTATTATAGAAATTGCTTCATGTGATTATGGCAGCCAGGAAATCCCACGATCTGCTGTCTGCAAGCTGGAGAACCAGGAAAGCCGTTGGTGTCTCAGTCTGAGTCTGAGAGCCCAAGAACCAGAAGCACCAACATCTGAGGGCGGGAGATAGATAGGTGTCCCAATTCAACCTGAGAGGGAGTGAATTTACCCTCGTGTGCCTTTTCATTCTATTCAGGCCCTCAACAGATGAGATGATGCCCACACACCCTGGGTAAGGTGGATCTTTTTTATTCAAGTCTATCAATTCAAATGCTCATCTCTTCCAGAAACACCCTCACAGACACACTCAGAAATCACGTTTCACCAGCTATCTGGGCATCCCATAGCCCAGTCAAGTTGATGCATTAAAATTAACCATCACATGCTCTTAAGCATATTTCAACCCGACTCAATAGAACTAGAGTCTTGTAAAACATATGATATACACACTTCAGTGGTTTTCAGCACAGGCAGTTGACCAGGCTTACTTGTTCAAAGAAGAGAAGATGGGTTTTTAATAGCACTCACAAATCAAATTCATTAAGTCCCTATTTTGATGTAGGAGAACAGAGCTATCATTGCAGCAAAATTTTCCAAGGCCAGTGATGCCAGGATACCAAGGAGCTACATGCTGTCATTTGCTTGGGTCTCTCTGACAACCATGAAGACACTGTCCTCTTTCCCTCTAACAACTTGTTTGTAAAATTGTTAGACTCTCGACATATGGGACAAGTCAGCAGAATGTTAGACTTCCTATAATATCTCAGCAAGACTGCCTTGAGAACTCATGGCATGTGGATAGTTCAGGGAGTTGTGTGTTTTTCCCAACTCAGTCATTACCAATTGTACATCCCACATGAAAGTCACTTTAGCATTTTTCCATATTTTAGGGGGAAGTGGTGACTCATGCCCGAGGGGCAGGATGAGAATATAGGTCTCATAGGCATCTTCAAACCAGGTTCGCCTCTGCTCCACATTTGTGCCATGAAAGAGCTTCGTTTCATAACAAGCCAGAGACCAATTCTAAATCAGTATCTGCACAGGCCTGAAGAATTGAAGGCTTATGCAATAGCAGTCATTGCCAGGGTGGGTGTGGATCAAAACGCAACGTAGAAATCCTTACGCCATTGCAAGCAGCTTGTCTCCTCTGCCCCAGTTGTTCTTGTAATTTTAACAACCATATGCTTATCTTCTGTTTTCTGGCAGCCTAGAACTGTTCTTCATTTCTTTTTTAGACTCAATAGAAATTAAGTGGTTTGGCCATCAACATTCCTGTCTGTCGTCTCTCAGTCTTCTGTGAACAGGACCAGATGGAATAAGCTCTTTGATAGTTACACATTCATTGGAATTGAAAAAATGGGCAGCTGATTTTCTATTTTATAGGCAAAGTCCCAGGCCTGCCCCTGTGAGAGTGTGGCCTGCTGGGCTACTGTCTTATTCTGCAACAAGGGGTGAAGCCACAAAGATTATGTCTAAAAGAGTAATCACAGAGACAGGACAGGGTTTAGGCAGAAGCAAGAATTTCAGAGCATGTGAGTGAGGAATTATCTGCACTGGAGTGGACTTATTTTATAATGGGAAAATTCTCAGAATCTCAAAAAAAAAAAAATGGCAGGGAGAGGAAGAGTGGCAGGCGACAATCTAACCCAGTTTGTGACTTGGAATTCATAAATTCTTTATCTGTCGATTGGACAGAAATAATGAAAAAGACTTTTTTCATTAAGGAAAATCCTACTTCAAAATACAATGGGCTGAGCCTTGCAGTGTCTCAAGTCGGAATTCGCAGTGGGTTTGGGGAAGCTCTGGTGGCTCCACTGGGTAGTGTCTGCTCTCTAGAATGGCAACAGGGTCAACAAGGGTGTGCCAAGATGCCAGGAGCTTTATTAGACCCTGAGCAGGAAAAAGCTACTCTTTCAGTCTGATGGAGCCCTAATCTGACAGGGTCCTGGAACAACAGTGCTTGTTTCAGTAAGGGCCAGCTATATAAGAGGTGGTTCTAACATCATTCTCGTGATTGATGGGCATTGTCCAAAATAAACAAAACAACCAACCTTTTCGTACCACCTAGCAGCTGTCAAGTCCCTGTGTCACAGATGTGTCACTACTGTGTGCTTCTTTAATATAAATAAGCCACAGCTAGTGAAAGGGCTACAAGAGATATTTTAGTTTGGTTCATCTCACTGCATCTAATAATCTCAAGTAACTTGAAAATGTTTAGGATATATTATCTATAGAAATGAAACAGTACTGAACCCAGCAGACTTAACCGTCAGATAAAAGGCTCAAACTATGTCAAGAAATGTCCTAGACAGGTATGGTGGTGGCTGCCTGTAGTCCCAGCTACTTGGGAGGCTGAGGTAGGGGGATCCATTGAGCCCAAGAGTTTGAGTCTAGCCTGAGCAATGTATGGAGACCCTGCCTCTTAAAAAAAAAAAAAAAAAAAAAAAAAAAAAAAAAAAAAAAAAGAGATATCCTTATAAAGAACATTTAAAACCTGGACTTAATTCTGAACCACTAGAATACTAGAATCTTCATTTGTGTGACAGTTTTTCTAAGACTTTTTTAAAAGTTTACCTTTCATAAATTTGCATCCATTTGAATTTTTATTTGCATTCAAGTTGATTTCCTGGTTTCAAAATCAGTCACAGCAGTTGTTGACATGGAAAAAAAATTTGCCAAAGCAAAAGTTGAGATGGTGTGTCACAAAGGATTTCATGAACTAAAAGTTACCATTCCTTGTCCAATAACTTTTACTTCTCTTTTATTCCATGATATTAGGGGTTCTGTGGTTAAAGGCACTCAGGAATCCCTGCAGGTTGGCTTTCCCCAGAATACCCTTGAAGCCCAGAATCATCATGGGGACCACTACAGACTTGACCTGGATCCTAGGGCCTTTATGAAAAAGTCATCACCGCGCATCCCCTTCTCTGCCTCCATTCCACTGTACTCATATAATTTCGGGGTATCTGAGACTGCAGCTTAAAGCATCATTCTCAAGGAGTCTCTGAGTCTGTCGAATTTTCTGGGTGGCCCCAATCCCAAACCATGACCTGGGGACAAATTTGGGGGTTCTTAAATTTCTGGGAGAGTTCAGATCCCACAATTCAGGCCAGGTCAGCCCTGCGACTCGGCATGAATGTGAGAAGCCTGCGGAATGCCAAAGGACTGATAGCTGTAATCTGAGACATGCTGTTTGCTCTTTGATGAGACTAGCCATCAAAAACGATAGCAGAAAAATCTCAATCCTTGCCGATGAAGCCAGTTTCTACCTGATGAACAGATCTCCTAAGATGTGAGCCCAGTGCTTCTTCAGTTCATTCCAGGGCTCTAGGGTACAACTTACTGCTTGGAATAACTCATTGCTAAACAGTCTGCAGGGTTTAAATTGTCACATTCCTTATGGAGTCAAGGTTGCTATAATCGTTGCTGCCGTCTACAGCAGCTCTGGGAAGGGCAACAGGGTGGAGTGGAATTTCACACATGCCATATGTCGCTTACTCATCCTGCGAGATCTGGCTTGGACTTGCTGCAGTTGGGAGGAGAGGAGGATGTATGTCTGGATGATACAATCACAGGGACCCCAGATCCTGCGAGGATGGATTCTGAGCTATAATTGTTCACCATTGACGCATGTGTTCAGCTTGATTTTCTGGTCCTGGCATTTCGGCACTCAGCAGTCACCTCCACACTGGGCAGAGTGAGAATTTGGTGCACCAATCCAAAAGATACTGAAGGCATTTTAAAGGGAAACCAATTCAGTCCCTTTTCTCCAATCCCAAAGAAAGTGTCCACTCACTAGGGAGAAATAACAAAATTAGATTTTGATTTCTTATCTTAGAACAGATTGTTTCCTACTAATTGAGGCTCAAACACAAAGTGGTAAAAAGTCCACTGGAGCAGACTTACATTATGATGGGAATACTCTCAGACTCTATCAACACTGAATCTGTTATTAAACACAAGATAAGTGTAAGTTTTGGGGACAGAAGTTATCTAATTGTTTTATCCTTTGCCATGTTTTATTATAAAAAATCTTGTCTCTATCGCCACTCCCGCCACACCAAAGAATCCCCAGGGAGCATGGCCCCAGTGAGTCATGTTTTTATTCTGGATATCCTCATCTACCAAAGGTGTTATCATTCTTTCCTTTCCCTAGTTTTTATTTGACAAATAGGGATTTTTCTCTAAATTTAAATATCATAAATAAAATTTTCAAACACAAATGCCCTTGGAGATTCTGAATCATAACTCCATTCTCCCCCTTCCCCCTCTCTCCCAAACTTTCCCTGGTTTGAATTACAAGCCTAGGGGGAAAGAAATAACAGTTTAACTTGATTAATGGAGCACTCAGCAGAAGCACCCGCTTCCTATTCTCTGCCTTGCTTTCTACCTCATTGAATAAATGTACGCTATTATCTCAGTCTCGCTTCAGGCTTTACCAGTGAAATTGTTCCCAATAGGATTGCCAAAGCCCTTTTGGTTAGCCTTAACCAAGTGATAGTCTCAGTCATGTTTTAAAGTCAGGTTTATGAAAGTATAATTTATATACAGTATTCACCTTTTTTAGGAGTACAGATAAATGAATTTTGAAAAATGTATCAAATTACAGAACTTCCAACACATCAATGTGTAGAAAATTTTCATCTCTTCAAAAAGGGTCCTTGGCCCCATTCAGTTGATTTTCTTTCTGACCCCAGCCCCTGGCAAACCCTGATCTGCTTTCTGTCCCTATAGTTTTATTTTTCCAGAATGTATTATTAGTGGAAACATGCAATACTTAGTCTTTTGGGTCTGGCTTCTTTCACTGGCATGATGCATTTGAGAGGCGTCCATTTGTTGCAACTATCAGTGGCCTTTTCCTTTTTGTTGCTGAGTAACATTCTGTTGTATGGATGTACCATCGTTTCTGTATCCACTCTCCAGGTGATGGACATTTGTGTTGTTTCCAGGTTTTAGTGACCATGAATATAGCCTCTATAAATATTCACTTTCAGGTTTTTGTATGAACATATGTTTTCATTTCTCTTGGATAAATGCCAAGGAGTTGGGACTGCCAGGTGGCATGAAGTTTATGTTTAACAGTATCAGAAACGATCTTCCAAGGAGTCTGTACTATTTTGCATCACCACTAGCAGTGAATGAGAGCTCCTGTTGCTCCACATCCTTGTCAGCATTTGATATTGTCAGATTTTGTTTTGTTTATATTTTGGCCAGTTGAAAGGTGTGTAATAGTTTTCATTTGCATTTTCCTAATGATTAATGGTACTGAGCATTTATCATGTCCATATTTAGATCTGCATCTCCTCTTTGGTTAAAGTACCTGTTCAAAACTTTTGCCTATTTTTTTGCTTCTTTTTTTAAATTGGGTTGTTTGTTTTATTATTGTTGAGTTGTGTACATTCTTTATATATTCTGTATACCAGCCTATTATCAGATACATATTTTGTGAATATTTTCTCCCTTTCTGTGGTTTCCCTTTTATTTAGCAGAGTATTTTAACTGTGATCAAGTCCAGTGTGTTAATTTTTCCTTTTATGGCTTGTGCAATTTGTGTGCAATATAAAGCATTTTTTCTAACCCAAATTTACAAAGACTTTCTCCTTTGTTTTCTTCTATAAGGTTTACAGATTTTTTTATTGTTGCAAAATGCACATAATATTAAAATTACCATTTTAACCACTTTAAAGTATGTAATTCAGTGATATTCACTACCTTCACAATATTGCAAAACCAACATCACTATCTACTTCAAAAACATTTTCATGGCCAGGCACAGTGGCTCACACCTGTAACACCAGCACTTTGGGAGGCCAAGGTGGGAGGATCGCTTGAGCCGGGAAGTTGGAGACCAACCTGGGCAACCTCGTGGGACTCTGTCTCTACAAAAAATTAAAAATAAAAAATTAGCTGGGGGGTGGTGGTGTCCACTAGTAGTCCCAGGTACTAGGGGGGCTGAGGTGGGAGAATCATTTGAGCCCAGGAGGATGAGGCTGCAGTGAGTCATGATCACCCTGCTGCACTCCAGCCTGGGTGACAGAGCAAGACCCTGTCCAAAAAAAAAAAAAAGCATTTTCATCATCCCTAAAAACCCCATACCCACTAAGCAGCCAATCCCCATTCTTCTCTTTCGCCAGCCCCAGGCAGGCACTAATTTACTTCCTGCCTGTATGGATTTGCCTCTTCTGAGTGTTTCGTATAAATGGAATGGAATCGTGTTACATATAGTCTTTCGTGTCTCACTCTTTCATTTAGCATAAGTTCTCAAGGTTTCTACATCTTGGAGCATGTATCAGTACTTCATTCCCTTTTATGGCTTAATAATATTTCAATGTATGAATATGCCATCTTTTCTTTATTCATTCATTAATTGGTGGGCATTTGGTTTGTTTCTACCTTTTGGCTCTTGTAAATAATGCCGCTGTGAGCATCGGTGTACAAGTTTTGTTTGAAGATCTGTGTTCACTTTTTACACAGGAGTAGAATTTCTGGGTCATATGACAATTCTGTGTTTAATTTATTGTGGAATCATGAAACTGTTTTCCACAGTAGCTGTACCGTTTCACATCCCTCCAGCCGTATATGAGTATTCAAGTTTCTTCACATCCTTAGCAACATCTGTTATTTTCTGGTTTTGCTGTTGTTGTTGTTATTGTCATTCTCATGGGTGTGAAGTGCTCTCTTATTGTGGGTGTGTTTTGCATTTCACTGGTGACCAACGCTGTTGGGCATCTTTTCGTGTGTCTGCCGATCATTCGCATATCCTCTTTAGAGAAATGTCTCTTTGAGCCCTTTGCCCATTTTTGAATTGGGTTCTTTGTCTTTCTGTTGTTAGCTTTATAGTTTTGAGTTTTACATTTAGCTCTATGACCCATTCCAAGTTAATCTTTTTGTATAGGGTCCAGTGTATTTATCAGTGTTCATTTTTACACATATGGTTCCAGTCTTTGTTTAGCAAGACTGTCCTTTCTCCATTGAATTGCCTTAGCACTTGTGTTGAAGGTGTGGGTTCTGTTCTCTCCCACTGATCTATGTGAACTGCCTTCCTCCAAGGAAGGGATGTGTTATCTCATATACTCATAGAGTGTACAGTCTTCAACACTGTAGGTTTACAGTGAGGTCATGAAATCAGGTAGGTAAGGCCTCCAACTTTGTCTTCTTTCTCAACATTGCTTAGGCTATTCTACTTTCTTTGATTTTTCATACAAATTTAGAATAAAATTTCCCATTTCAAAAAATAGCTTGCTGGGATTTTGATGGAAATTGAATTTTAATTGGGATTTATTGCACTGAATCTAAGATCTATTTGGAGAGAATGGATATCTTAACACAACTGAGTTTTCTCATCCATGAACATGATATATCTCTCCATCTTTCAGGTCTTACTTAGTTTCATTAATAATTTATAGTTATAACTAATAATTTATAGTTTTCAGCATACAAAGCTTACATGTATCTTGTTAGATTTATTTCTAAGTATTTTTTCAGTGCTACTGCAAATGGTATTGCTTATTAATCTTCATTTTCTATTGTTTATTTCTACCATATGGAATTATTGATTTTTCTATATTTACTTATATCCTGCAATCTTGTTAAGCTCCTTTATTAATTCTAGTAGCTTGTTTGCATATCTTTGAGATTTTCTATGTAGACAATTTTGTCATCTATGAATAAAAACCGTTTTATTTCTCTTTTATTCTATATATATCCTGGGTTTTTTAAATCTAATTGCTACAGCTAGAACCTCCAATACAATAATGAATAGGAATGGTGAAAGTGGATACCTTTTCCTTGTTCCCAATCTCAGTCCTGTGTTAACTGCTGTTTTGCTTTCTCTTAGTGAAACTACCTAGACTTTTGTGACCCCACACTCTCCGGATTCCCATTGAATCATCCTCCTTTTGTGGGGGCCTTTTCCTGCAGCTGCCTTTCAGGGTAGTTGTTCTACAAAGTCTTCCATAACTCAGTGCTCTGTTCTTTCTACCCACACTCCCTGTGTTATTGCATATACTCATGGTGTACCCAGTGTCACCCATGTACGGACTCCTAATTCCATATTCAGTCCCAGACCTTCTCCAGCAGTCTTATTTATCTAATTGCCTGCCAGCTGCCTGTCCTAGAAGCATGTTAAATTTAATTTTTTTTTTTTTTTTTTTAGACAGTCTTTCTCTGTCGCCAGGCTGGAGTACAGTGGTGTGATCTTGGCTCACTGCAACCTCCGCCTCCTGGGCCCAAGCGATTCCCTTGCCTCAGCCTCCTGAGTAGCTGGTACTACAGGCATATACTACCATGCCTGGCTAATTTTTTGTATTTTAGTAGAGACAGGGTTTCACCATGTTGGCCAAAATGGTCTCGATCTCCTGAACTCATGATCCGCCTACCTTGGCCTCCCAGAGTGCTGGGATTACAGGCATGGGCCACTGCACCCGGCCAAATTTAATATTTTTAATATTTACTCCATCACTCCTACCTTCTCTGTTTGCTTCCATGGGCTGGTTTCTCTAGTGACTATTTTTCAACACAAATCTGATCAAGTTGCCCCTTAGCCCCAGTGTACCTTTTAATGTACGATATAACTTTCATGGGGTGTCCAGTCTTCAACACTGTAGGTTTACAGTAAGGTCATGAGATCAGGTAGGTAACTCCTTACCATGGCTAAGAAGGCCTGCATGCTCTGACTTTTAGTTAACTCTCAGGTCTCATCTTCTGACACTTTCCTTCTTGTCCACTCTGCTCTAGTCACATGGACCTCCAGTCTCTTTCTTGAGCCAACCAAGTTTGTTCTCACTTTAAACCAAAAGTAGATCTTTACATGACTAGAGCTTTTTGGACACTTAGGTCATTTAGGCTCACATGTGGCCTCCTTAGTAAGATTTTCTCTATTCAGTCTAAGAGGACCACTCTACCACCTACACATCGTCTTTCATATGGTCTTCTGTCATTTTATTCCTAACATTATCATCTGAAATGACATTATTTAATTATTAGTTTCTTATATCACTTATTTCTCCTTCTAGGAGATAAGCTCCTTGAGGGCAGGAGCATTGGTCATTTTGATAGGAGTCCCTGTGTCTGGTGCCTATAGCACTCCCTGAGCACGGAGTAGATGTTCAGTAAATCATGAATGCTGAATGAATGAATTAATTTTCTAATTCACCGTCCACCTGGTCACCTAAGCCAGAAACCTGGGTATCAGTTGATTCCAACAGTGTTTGGTCAGTAAAATAGAAAGCACTGTAGATATTTTAAGCAAGAAAGAATTTAGTACAGAGAACTGGGAAATTATAGAATCAATTAAAAGCCTTAAAGAAGCAAAAGTCAGAGAAGCCACTGCTAGTCTTTCGGGAAACAAATTGCAGGAATTCTGAGGGACTTTTACCAAAGGTCTCACCTGTTTACAGCACCAGAGATTCTCAGGAGATTGTGCAGAAGCTCCTGGCAAAACCTCATTTGCCATCTGCCAAAACCCATGCACCTACTCACTGTTGCTGCAAAATAATAAGTTTCCTTTTCTTCTGTCTTCCGCATCTTTCTTGGGGACCTCCATGGGAGGAACCTAACATGAGATCCTGCTGGCTAGTAAGTGAATAATCTGGGGCTCTGGCACCTTCAATACAGAGGAGAGTATAGAAGGGAAGAAAGGTATTGAAACGCTGACAATCCAGCCCAGGAACTCACCCACCTCTAATACACGAGCAAGTGCAATCGATTTTACCCAACATTTCCCTCAAATATCTGAATGTCTCACCTCCACTAATCTCCCCCCAACCTTTGCCTCCACTTAGGCCCTCATTGTTTTTGGCAACAACTAACTGTTGTGCTTTTCTTCAGCCTTGTTTTCTTAAAATAATCTACCAGAAGTACTCCTCTGACTGTGTTATTACCCAGCTTAGAGTCATCAATGCTTGTCATCACCCACAAGGGGAGTTCAGGTTCCATAGCTGAGGGAGAAAGGCCTGGCCTTTAACATCTTTGTTCTTCCGCAATGCCGCACGCCACACATTTGTTGACCTCTTTGCTTTGCTTCGTCTCACCCACGTTGCCTTCTAAGCTTCCTGCCCTCTTCCACCTGACTTGCTTATTTTTTAAGACATGGCTCAGGTGCTACCTGCCCCAGGACACTTTGCTTTACGCCCTCTCCCTCCCCTCCCTCTTGCCCCTCTGCTAACACCCCCACCCAAACTGAGTTTGGAGCATCTCTCCTTGGTGATTCTGTTCTGATGATATGAGTCAGTCTATGGGTCTGCCTCCCTCCTAGTGAGTGAACATCTTCCAGAGCTGGATTCTGTTGCCTTCATCTCGGTATCAAGTGCCTGCAATACAAAGCACAGAGCAATGGTTGAATGAATGAATAAATACATGCACACAGAAGTACAATGTGCATTAGATCCCCCTAATTATTTTTTAAAGGCTGGGTGTGAGAAAGAAATCGAATTGTATTTGAAAGAGGGCCAGTACTTCACAGGTCTCAGAGATCATCGCTGGTATTTTTTTTTCCAAGAGTCACACATCTTGTTTCCTCCTGCCTAGTTGGATTTGATAGAAGAAGAAGATTGGAATGGAACTAAAAGGGTTTTGAACCACTCAGATATTCTACAGACAGGTTTAGAGGAAATTAGTAGCAGGGTCATGGATCAGCTATGCAAGATACTAGCATAGTTATTCATCTGAATAGGAGCAGTCGGCCACACAAGAGAGATGCTTATGAAAGAACCACACCAAAATCCAGCTAGATTCTATCTTGTATGAATGAGAGATATTTTTGGTCTGCAAACAAGCAGGCATTCCATACCTTGGCATTCTCTTTGACCCATTTGTGTGAGGTTGCCTTTCTCAGAGCATTTCCATAACACGGGAAAATTGACTTTTGTTTGTTTACCCAAACAATATTCTTAAAATGAACAACCCCTGTTCATCCACAAATGACCGTGGAATCTCGCTATCACTCTTTGCTACTGGTGACCTCTGCCAGTCCTCCCAGGCTGTAGAGCTGTATTTACACCTCACAGAGAAGCACTGGGGTGAAACTCTGCGTGGAGCTGTGCTGCTCAGAGATGCTCCTCTCCTCTCTTTCCACTTCTTTCTTCCACAGGGTAAGACTCATGCTGAGAGGCTGACGATATCCTACATCGTAAGCACATGGCAGGATGCTTTATGTCTCCACTCTGCTTACTGGAGCCCTCTCAGTTCTGTTCTGAGGCCAGTGTGCCCTGTGTTTATGACTCCATCCCTCTAAGGATCCTTCTTTAAACAGGCCAAACATCTAACGCTGCTACAATTTACCTAGGGTTTCTTGTTCCACCTCACCCAGACCCAAAGCACTGAATATTTCAGTTTGTACAAACTGCCTTTATTTTATGGTGGTTCAGCTTTTAATTTACATTTTAGAGTTTTATACGTATGTCCTTTATTGTACAGGACTCAGAAGACAGTCCCATCGAAAAACAACTCTTTACAGCACTATAAACAAATTACAAGCACATAAAGCTTGGAGTACATTCCTCTCTTAAGCTCTCCCCAGGCCTCCTCCCTAGGGAGCGCTCAGTGTGCTCCGGCTTGTTCTTGGGAACTCTGACTGCAGAATACGTGGATGTTGTAAATGCAGCAGAAAAGATCCCTTGCAGCCCTCCTACTGGACCGACCCCTGGGGCCAGGGTCATTGTCTTCAGAACTGCAGTAAGGAAATGAGTCCTGGGTAAAATAGCCTGAGGAATCCCAGCGCAGTGTTCTCAAACTGTTTCAGTCCTGGTCTAATGACTCATTTGGAAATTCTTAGAATCTTACTCATCTTCTCCATGCCCTCTTTCTCTGCTCCAAGCCAGCGGCTGAGGTTAAGTCAGAGGCTTGTATCCAAGTTACCCCGAGTGTTTGCCATTTGCATTTGTCTTCTGACTTAGCTCCCCTCTGCAAGTTTAAAATTCTTTTTCACAATGGGGAGCATAAGTCCCACCGTTACTGGATCTTTCTGAGGACAGACTGCATGTTATGAGAAAGAGCAGTGTTCTCCCCTTCCTTGCAAAATAACATCGTGCAGTGTTGGGGCCTTGAAGAGTCAGTGCCTCAAAGGCAGGGTGAGAAAGAGATGTCCAGTTTATGCCCCATGGAAAGCAGCGGTGCCTGCTGGAAGGACAAAGAAACAACATAGAAATAAACACCGTGAGAACCCTGTGGTGGCTGAGCACACGTCTTTGTGAGCATACGTGATACCTTCTGGTGATTCTGACCCTCTTGGCTGCTATCAGAGACAGGAGGTTCCATGTCAAAGTGGTGAGAGTGAAATCTGGATTGTTACTGTTACTTAACTAGGACTTAACTGGTTTCCCTAGGACAGAGAGCCCGAGGCAGAGGCAAAGCTTACATGCTAATACTGTATGCGAGGAGATAGCGGACATGCCATCCCAGGATGCAAGAGTGAAAGGAGACTGAAGACAAGGCAGGAAAAAAGGCAAAGCAAATGCAAGGTGACACATCACTGAGCTGCCCTTAGTTTCTCAAGAGCTTTTGGGCGGCTGTTGTGTCACATGGGAGTGAGGCCCTAATGGAACTACTGCATCTCGAATCTGCTGGCTCTGCCCTCTGTGTCCTCTCTGAGGGCCAGTGTCAATTCCCCCTCTCCTCCAGGCTCTCCTCCGTGAGCCCCCCAGACAGCCCTTGGGGCAACCAGCGCATCCGTGAGTTGAGGAGGGTGGAGAATTTCCAGGGTTCTGACGCCCCTGGCATGATGGTGGCCTGCCCAAGCCCCCAGGGGAGCTAGAGGCAACCCACAGCGTGAGGAGATGAGATGGCAGAGGCTGCGGCCATGGCTTCACAGCCATGGGAACAGAGCAAGTTATAGCTAGGCCCACTGCAGCCGGGAAGCTGGGCAGGAAGCTAAGGCCTGTGGGCGGGGCCAGCCAGGCCTGGGTGCAGGTAGTATGGGTCCCGCACACCCTGCTGGGGAGATGCAAGGGACTCTGGCTACAACCAGGTGCTGTAAATTATAAACAACACAAACTTAGAAAAGCATCATCTGTTGGAATTAGTGTCAAATGGGAAATGTTATAAAAGAAGCTGTAGAACTTCAGTAGGGACACAGACTTTCAGACCAGAGGAAATGGAAGGCTGCTAGAGACTTTCTCCACATTCAAAGAAAAGCAAACAAACAAAAAACTTCAAGTGGAAGAGGTGGGACTGGCCCAAGCAGCCCTACAAAAGAATCCAGAATCTTTTTTGTTCTCAAAGCAATGTGGGTTTTTTTTTTTTCTATTAAAGAAATTATGCCTTTGGGGATAGTCTGTATAGTCTTAGAGTAATTTAAATCATTTTTCTTTTGAGATTCTTTTCATATTTATGATTTTAATACTTTATGCTGATTAACTACATAGAGATTATAGGCTTTGCAAAAGGAATATCTCAGCCTGTCACAGTTACATTTGTATGAAACGACCTCACTGCAGGAATGTTAACAATTGTATTAGAGGTTCCGTTTCTAAGTTTAAATAGGAATAATCTACCTCAACCTATTCAGTTAGAACAAAAGCCACTTCCGCAAAGCAATAAGCATGTATCTTCTTCCAACCTAGTTGCATTTGATTAACGATTGCATGAGAACCTTTCTCATACTTAGCTTTTCACCTGGGGTTTTTGAAATGCTTAAGAAAAAAACTATTAAATACAAGCATTTTAAAGCTAATAGTTTCCCTGTTTCTAAAATGTGAAAAACACTAGAAGCTGAAATTCAGCAGTTTCAAAAACATATTTCAGGTTCAGTTTTCCCAGGACAGCTGCAATGCTTGCTGGAAAGTCAATGACATTGCAACTTGTAGGCAGTTCTGGCCTTTCATCTTTTTTTTTTCTAGGGACAAATAGTTGATAGGATCTGTTTGATGTAAAATTTAAAAATCCATATAAACTTGGCAATTTTCCGGAGCACATTTGATAGGAGCAAGTTTACTTAGATTTATGTAATTTTGTTTCTGGTGCGTATAAAGATTAGAACTGAATGTGAGGTCCTATGCAGAGGCAAGAGGTATAATGTGAATAATATAAAGTCTCTCTTCAAAACCCTTCACTCATAATTAAATATCCATAAGTGAAGGGCAGTAAGTAGATGTTCAAGTGCTGTGTGAACAGAAACACCATACAACTTTAGAATTCGAGGCAGCTTAGCTATCTTTGTGAACTGAGGACTCTGGAGTCAAGAGGTCATGGGTGACTCTCCCTAGATCACAGAGCCAGTTTTTAGCAAAAATGCACCTTTTGTTACACTCCAAGTTCTCGCATAATTTCTTTGTCTCTACACTTTTAAGTGTTAAAATTCAAAAGAACATTTTTCTATAAATAATGTGGACAAGAGGTATTTGATCCTTGGGTGTGACTGACATTATAGTTACACAGTGTAGTGTCAAGCTCTGGTGCCTCATGAGCTGGGTTTGAATAGAGACCCCGCCACTTTCTATTTGTGTGACCTTGGCAAATTATGAAACTTTCTGAGGCTCGGTGTGACACGGGGATAAAATTCATGCCCAATTCATAGGTTCATTGTGAAAAAGAAATGAGCGATTTCCCTAAAGCACTTGGTGGTGTGTACATTATAATCACTTAGTAAATATTGTTTGTTGTTATTTAAATTGCTTTTACTAAACTATTATGAAAGACTTTTCTGCTGTTTGTCCTTCTAATCACTATTGTCTTTGTCTGTGTCCCACCTGACCTCTCCTATAAACTGACCTTTTATCTGTCTACTCTGATGAGAGCAATGGCAGAGTAGCTGCTGCTTTGAGCAGAAAGTAAAGCCGTGTGGAAGGGTACAGTGAGACAGTGTGACAGGGAAAGCTTTCAGTTAGCCTCAGCAGGTCAGTATGATGCTCACACATTCACTTCCCAACTGCTTCTGTAAAACGCTCCATGATTCTTCTTTTTTAAGCAAATGAGAAATCGGTTCTTGATCTGAGTCCCAAGTAGACATCTGTAGCTCTTCACCTAAACCTTTTAATCAGCACCACACTGGAGCTCTGGGTCATCGTTTATTACATTCGTATTTGGGTTCCCCAGCAATATTATTATAAATAATAATATTTATTAAGTGAATATTCACTTATTTAATAATAAGTGATATTTAATAATAAATGAATATTTACATTCACTATTTTGGGAACAAGAAGAGCAGCAATAAGCTGGATTATCATGTCAACAGGCTTGATATTCTCCTTCACATCTGTAATAGACGGTTTATGGGACTTCTTCAGGGAAACAGGCCGGGTTGAGCCTCCTCAGACACTCCTCATCTTGGGAAAGTAAGTCTCCCACCTTCAAGGGAGGTTTTCAAAACTATGAGTGTTGGCTCCAGTCCCATCATGTTGGTTGCTGAGAGGAGATAAACTGGCTAAAGGTTTCCTAATACTTAGTCCCCAATAGCTGAACACTGCTGGTGCAAAAAAAAAAAAAAAAAAAAATCCTTTCAAAATTGGCAAAAATACAAACAACAAAATTTAAAATCTTTCCATCGTGATCACCTTTTTTGAACAGTGCGCAAATGAATTGTCACTGGAATTTTTACTTACGTAAGCACATTCTAATGTTCTGTTGACAAATTATTTTTCCATTGTAATCTAGATTCCTCAGGGGAAAAAATGTCATAAGTTCACCTGAATGTGAGATAATATGGTTTCATTCCATCTTCCACTAAACAAGACAATAAAATTTTGAACACCGTTAGAATTGAAATGTTCTTTAATTTAGTTTCTGTGATTAAGCAACATTTTAAATTTTAAATTCTATGGTTTACTTCCTTTCTCATAAAATGATTAAAAATTGTTTTTGGAGACTGTATTAGTTCATTCTTGCATTGCTATAAAGAAATACCTGAGGATGGGTAATTTATCAAGAAAAGAGGTTTAATTGGCTCACAGTTCCACAGGCTGTACAGGAAGTGTGGAAGAATCTGCTTCTGCGGAGGCTTCAGGAAGCTTTTACTCATGGCGGAAGGCAAAGGGAGAGCAGGTATCTTACAGGCAGGAGCAAGACTTAGGGAGAGATTGGGGGGAGCTGCCGCACACTTTTAAATAACCAGATCTCCAGGGAACTCACTCACTTTCACGAGAACAGCAAGGGGAAGTCCACCTCTGGTGATCCAGTCACCTCCCACCAGTCCCACCTCTAACACGGGGGATTACAATTCAACATGAGATTTGGGTGGCAACACACAGATCCAAGCCATATCAGAAACGCTTTTTGGTTATTTTATAACTTTGCATGTTAGGTGCATTTTATGACTTATAAACATCTTTGGAATATGCTTTGAAAAACAATAGTGTAGGGGCTAGCAAAACGTGATTATTTTTTATTATGTACAAATCAAATCAAATGTATACTGATATTCTATAATATTAATTAAAAATCACTTTTGAGTTTTAAAATGTATAAGGCCCAACCTAGGAATTAATTATTTTAAATAGAAATATTTACATTCACTATTTTGGAAACAAGAAGAGTAGTTCTCATTTCATGATCTAGTTGCTCCTCTATACGGCTGGTAGAAGGGTATACGTGGAGCACTGATTACATTCTGCCTCATTTGAGAACAATTTAACTATTGTTTTCTTCTCTACATGAATGTAAACTTTTCAAGAGTAGGTAGGGTATATTTTTTTTTGCTCTTAAGCACATGATAGAAACGTGTACATGCTAACAATACACCATAAAGTATGTGTCTTATCTAATTAATGTGTCCTAAGTGTTCATATGGTTTGGATCTGTCCCAGCCCAAATCTCATCTTGAATTGTAATCCTCAATGTTGGAGGTGGAGCCTGGTGGGAGGTAATTGGCTCACGGGGGCGGATTCTATGGTTTAACAAGATCCTTTGCCTTCCACCATGAGTGTAGGTTGTCTGAATCCTCCCCAGAAGCAGATGCCAGCATCATGCTTCCTGTACAGCCTGTGGAACCACAAGCCAATTAAACCTCTCTACAGCAGCACGAGAATTGACTAATACAGGTGTATATATTTTATACTTTGTGTTTACTTATGAAGCATACATTTGAAGGCTGTTTAAACATTATTTTATCATCTGGATATCTATTAATTGGCATTTCCAATGTCATAATTTATGTTCATACTGCCCATTGGTTAATTCTAGAACTCTTTGTGGAGCATATGTTATGTTCCAGGAATCAGACTCCTGGAGCTGTCAGTCCAATGAGGAAGATAGACACTATTTATATGACGCAAAAACATCAAGTGCTTTTGAATGCAATATATGAAACGAATTATTTCCACTATGATTGTAGTGTTGCATTTTATTACATTTTCATTTTTGTATTAACTGAAATAAAGATTAGTTGAGAATGAATATGAAATATTAATTGAAAACTAAACATTAAATTTAATTGAATTAAATGTCCTGTGTAAATCCTTATAAAACCCTATGAATTTGATACTATAATTCCCATTTTTCATATGGAGAAATATGATGAATCCCATAGTTATGTAATTTTAAAAACTGATAATCCTTTTGTATTTTGTGTATTGTAGTAATCTATTATCCAAAGTATTTCTTTTTCAAACCATTCCATTTAAAAAGTGTGTTTAAGGCATATATTAATTACATAGTGTAGTAGCACTAATTGCTTAACTGGTTTCATTTGAAAGGATTTAATTAGGCAAACTTAAAAGCATAGAAGCCACAGTATTACAAGGTGATAATCCCAGGAGCCATGTACATGATACCATGTAATTAATTTGAATTACCAGGTTCTGGAATGCTTAAGCTTTGCTGGACTTTTAGAAACAAAGGGGACAGTGACCTCCCATGAAAGGAATGCTGTGGATAAGCTGATCAGTTACTTATCAGCCCTGCTATTGTAGCTGTGCCAACCAGACATGTTCACATTACTTGGACACAATGTGCATGGTAGTTATAGTCAGATGGGGTGGTACAGATAAAATCATGACTTCATTTTCCATGGATAACTTATCTTTTGTTCTTTGGAATTAGCCATTTTAAGACCACATATGAAGAAAATGTGATAACAAAAATGTTCCAACTATGTACAGTAGTGCTTTTAATACTCTGTAACAGCTAGATAGGAAAGACCTTAGAATATCAAAACTGCTTTAGGTTTCTGCCATCACTAGAAGAAAAGAATTTTATCAAGGATGTAAACATAAGTTTCAAAAAATATTAGACCTCAGCATTACCCCTGAATTCGGACTAATCATGAATGATAGTTTTATCTTGTTCAGAAACGGTCTCCAACCTATGCTGTGAAAGTAGGTTACTGTTCTCTCAAAGTCCTTTATGGGGAAGATACATATACACTTTTTTCCACAGGAGAACTTTGAGCAAATTGAATTATTACAAGGAAGGTTTCATAGACTGCTGGTAACCAAATGTGCTTTTAAATAAATCTTCAGAAAAAAGTTACAACTGTGCACATCCTAGACCAATTTTAAGCTTGGGATGAGAGTAACTTTAAGATATAAGAAACTGAAATTAAGAAAAGGAATAATTCTGTTTCATCAGCTATCACTGGATTCTGCTTTAACCTATAATAACCAAAACAAATTGTGACCAAACCACGTCCATGGTGACCAAATTCTCCCATACTCTCATTTGACACAAATCAAAATCATTGACTTCTAAGTCAAAATGTGGAGTTTATTTTTAACCAGCCAAGATAGATAGAAGTAAAGTAAGTAAACATAATCTTATTATAGTTGGTCAGGGTAAATTTTTGATTTAAGGCTATTTAATACTCTAAGGCTTTTAAGCAAAGGTAGAATCTTAAAATCTAAGAAAATAATACAATCTTTTTTATAGATATGTAACAGCATCAGATGGGGTTTTTACATAAAGTTAGATGATTTTAAATCTTAACTAGTGCCTAGAAAAGATTCCAGACAAGGGAATGTCTACCTATAACATGATTCAGCTTAATTTAGGGAAACCATCTATCATGGCATAAGTGCAAAGACTGAAAGCTGCTGCCTTACCAAGTGTTAATATTCAAAGAACTAATATTCGTAAGTTTCAAATATATTGAAATTGCTTCTCTTCAATAAAAGGATTGATCATATTAAAACCAGAGAACACAATACTGGTAATACTATTTAACATTTATTGAACAGTTAGTATGTGCCAGACACTATGCTAAGCCCTTTGAAGGAGTTACTTCATTTAATCTTTCACCATTTTAATAAGGTGCTAGTATTAGTTCCACTTTAGAGATGACAGCATTGAGGTCTTGTTGACTTCACAGTTTTGCCTCAGTTCAGTCCTATTTGGAAAAATAGGAAATGTATTTTTTAAAGCACTGGTAACATCTCAGAGTGTAGTGGAAAGAATAGAACTTTAGGAGTCAAGAGAACTGTCCTTCAGTCTCCACTGTAAGCTCCCTGAGGGAAAGGACTCTGTCTTGGTTACCACTCCATGGCCAACACCCGTCCACATACCTGCGGCATAATAAAAACTTAGTAACCCTTCATGGAATGCCGGACTCACTGAAGGAGAGCAGGTGCTGCTTACTCAATGTGTGATCTGGCCAGGTGATTTAACCCCTCAGGGCCCTATCCATTTGTTATTCCTTTCCTATTCTAACATCTTCCTTGTTCCTAAAAATGATTTGAGGAAACAAATAAAGGATTCAGCTGCACAAGACCTTTAAAGTAAAGATAAAAGGTCAAGAGTGATGTACTTGAAGAAGGGAGAAAACTATTTCCAAAGTCAAGGCTAAGAATAGCTGCCTCGTCTGGGCATGGAATTTAGACTGAAAGTTGCTGCAGCAACAGAGCCTCTGTGGATTGAAGCCACCCCACCTACCCGCTCTTCTTCTGCCACATTTGGCCAGAGCAATCTGCTCCTGTAGGAGTCTTGGAGGAAAGAAGAGAAGAGCCCAAAATATCCCTTTTGCTGTCTAATTATTTTTAATGACTAAATCATCCCAGTTCTAGATGACCATGTTGGGTCCATTTTAGAGTGTACGATCAAGTGTACGATCAAAAGTTCAAATGGCAGAAAAACCTTGAGAAGATAAAAGGCTACTTTCTCTAGTGAAATCTGAAACACCGTGTTGAATGGAGGAATTAGAATAGCGCCCAAATAAGGAAGAGTTATAAAGAGCAGGTCTAAAAAAATAAAAAAGAACCAAGTCACAGCAAACCCTAAGTACCCATATAGTAGCACAAGTTAGCTCTGGGCCTTTCTAGCAGAATGGCTACTGGAAACAACAGAGGCCGTGAGAAAAATAGTAGAAAAATGTCCAGCCACCCTCACACAAACCCAGCTTAAGGTGATGGCTAACCGCCCTCAGGAGGGTGTTTGTTTTGGGTTCAGACAGGGCAATTTGATAAGAAAAGAATCTTAGCCAAATGGTGAGAAAGGTAAATAATTAACCATGTTACTTCAACAAACAGCACCAACCCAAGACATTTGGGTTACACTTGAAAAAAGAAGCAATGGAACTAGCAAGTCTCTATCCTGAGAAAATGTTCTTGATCCTTTGGCCATGAGCTTTTACTTTCCCCGAAGAAGCCACTCCCTTTCTTAATTTGGTTGCACTTCAGAGATCAAAAGGGGGCCTCTTCCAACACACAAAAGATATGCTCCTACTTCTTCAGCGTTTATGATGATATTTGTTCAGCTGCTTCCTTCCATAACCATTTTCTATTTGCAGACTCAAAATCAGATAGTGGGTGATTCAAAGAGCTAGGTGGCAAAAATGTGCTGACCCACCTCACAGCACCTATGTGTGCTGGGTTTCAGACCTCTATATGGTCATCTTGCAAATCCATTCATTGGGAAAATTCCAATAGCTTAGTGGCTCATTCTCCAAACTATGATTTGAGAGCATCTAGAGGGCCAACCAGAATGTGCATTTTCTCACTATTTTCCTAAGCACCATTCAATGTGCTACATCTAGGTTAATAATAGTAATCAGGGAAATCAAAGAAAAAAATGTGAAGAAGTCACCGTTTGACTTGGAAAAATCACCAGTACAAATGTATAATCAAATGGCATGCGATTACAACTGTGCCTCTTAACACTATATCATACCTGGGGCCTGGAACTCTTGGGAAAATTATAGTGGAAATTTAAATTTTTAATTTAATTAATATATAGAGAATGCAGGAGTGTTAGGTATCCTTCCCATACTCTTCTTTCTCCTAATTCAGTAAAGTCATTTGAGCTGAAGATTTAAATCTGAAAAATCCAATTATTTATTTTGAGCCATGCATTTTTGGTAGCACTAAAGAAGTTGGGTAGAGAAATTAGCAACCATGGGTTGTATAGAGCAGATGGCTGGAATTAAGAATTTATGAAAAAATATATTGTGACATTATGAAATAATTTTTCATGGATGTTTTAGCTTGATGTGTAAGTACCGAGTAGGTGTTCCCATTTAATAAATAATGACTATGTGCCAGAAATTAAGAGCAAAACTTAAAAGAAAACTCATTCTTCTACCTTCTGGAGAGATGCTCACTCTGCCTCATTTATTCCTTTAATGTCATCTCTTGGTTTGTGTGTCTGTGTGTCTAGTGGGAACGGGGATGGGGATGGGAATAACAGAGCTTTTCTCTCTCTGTCTCATTCTTTCTCTCTTTTCTACTTTCTATTGTTCTGGCCAATATTTCTGTTCACTTTGTGTGTATGTAATCACATTAATGGTACTGAAAAAAAATCCTGAAAAAAGATTAGTATACACCAAGATCTCAATAGCTGGAATCTGCATTTCACACAGATCTCATAGATACTATGCTACTGTTCAAAAAAGCCAGCTGCATTAGTACAAGGATAGGGAAGATATGGCTTAAAAACAGAGCTTGATTTGCCAACCACATCACACCGTTTACCCATGGAGCTGAGAGTCCAGTATTTTAATATTAGACCACATGTATAGAGGGGCCCAACAGCAAGAGTATGATGATTGCCCCATCCTGTTTTACATGGATTAGAAAAAACTTGGAGCAATCTTCGCAATTGAAGAGGAAAAGAAGATATTCCAAGGATTGAGGCCAGGTTTTGGCTTTGAAAAGGAACAAGTTTTGGAAACTGAGCACATTTCAAAAAAAGCGCAGTTCCAAAATATGTATGTGTCACATATGGAGGATGGATTAAATCTGATCTGTGTTGTCCCATAACATAGCAATGGGACCAATAATGGTAAAAGCTGTGAGAAGGCAGATTCCAGCCACACTTGGAGAAGTCTCTGGAAAAGAACAGGATGCTTGAAACTGTAGTTGCCTCCACCACAGGGGATGGCCCATCTTGGAGTGTGGCTGGATAGTGACTTGAATCGCCTGACCTGCAAAGCCCTTTTCCACCCTGGGAATCTATCATTCAATAAAAGGAATGGCAGTAGAGGGGCAATTGATGTGGGGAGGAGGGATGTTTGATATGGAATTGATGTACAGTGTCTGCCACTTGGGACATTTAGGATCTCGTGTTGCTGTGATCGGTGGGCGAGCCATGGTTCCCTGCCTTCCCTGAGGTTAAGCTCTAATATTTTTAATTTTGTGCTACCTGTCAGGGAAACTCTGTCTTTTCTTTCTTTGTTGTATTATAGAAACGAAATGACCAGGAGCCTTCAAGGATTTCTTGAAGGCCATTTCAAGCCCATGATAATGATGATGATGATAATGATGATTTTAGTGGATGCTACAATCCCTCATCTCTCCCTTTCAGAACTAAGGTGTCCACTCACCCAGCTCCCAGAGTGTGCATTGCTGAGGGCTCACAAGTGAGTCTGTCTCCAAGAATGGCCTCCTCTGGTTCTGCGTCTCCTAGTGTGGGCAGCCTGCAGGCAGTGGGTGGATGCAGGGCTCCCAAGGTCCAGGCTCCTTGTCTTCCTTTGGGGCAACTAGAAGGTGTTATCTCAGCACCATAGCATCCTGTGGCCTCTGCTGAAGATTTATCAAAGTTTACTTTCTCCCTTTGTCCAATTTTTCCTCTCCTGCTCCCTTACAGATATGATAACTAAGGACACATCCCCAAAGCCCCTTCAGTAAATCCCCTCCTTACCGTGTTTTTAGAGAACAAACCTAATGCAGAGGATGATGATGGTGATGATGGTGATGAGATGATGATGATGGTGACGATGATGATGATGGTGATGATGATGATGATGGTGATGAGATGATGATGATGGTGACGATGATGATGATGATGATGGTGATGATGGTGATGATGATGATGATGGTATGATGATGATGGTGACGCTGATGATGGTGACGATGATGATGATGGTGACGCTGATGATGGTGACGATGATGATGATGATGGTGACGGTGATGATGGTGATGATGACGATGATGGTGACGATGATGATGGTGATGGTGATGATGATGGTGATGATGGTGATGATGGTGATGATGATGGTGATGATGGTGATGGTGATGATGATGGTGATGATGATGATGGTGGTGATGATGATGGTGGTGATGATGATGATGATGATGACAATGATGATGATGATGATGATGATGATGATGATGGTGATGGTGATGATGATGATGATGATGATGATGATGATGATGATGATGATGATGATGATGATGATGATGATGATGATGATGATGATGATGATGATGATGATGATGATGATGATGATGATGATGATGATGATGATGATGATGATGATGATGATGATGATGATGATGATGATGATGATGGTGATGATGATGATGGTGATGATGATGATGATGATGATGATGATGATGATGATGATGATGATGATGATGATGATGATGATGATGATGATGATGATGATGATGATGATGATGATGGTGATGATGGTGATGATGGTGATGATGATGATGGTGATGATGATGGTGATGATGGTGATGATGGTGATGATGATGGTGGTGATGGTGATGATGATGATGGTGATGATGGTGATGATGGTGATGATGATGATGATGGTGATTCTGATGATGGTGATGATGGTGATGATGATGATGGCAATGGTGATGATGATGATGATGGTGATGATGATGGCGATGATGGTGATGATGATGGTGATGATGGTGATGATGATGGTGATGATGATGATGGTGATGGTGGTGATGATGGTGGTGATGGTGATGATGATGATGACGTAGTCAGGGGTGGGGTACAGTGGTAGCAGTGGAGAAGGAAAACCACTGCATGTCACTTGCATTGTCCTTTATCTCACAAGTAAAAAGATTCATTTGATCCTCATAATAGTTTGTGAGTGGGCAGATGCTTAAATCACTCCCAATCTACAAATAAAAGAACCGAGGGACATAAAGTCAGGAATTTGCTCATGGTCACATAATTAGGGATCAATTTTATAGTAAATCCTGTCTTCTGATTCCCATTTTACTGTTATTTCACCTGACTACAGTGCCCTATACATCACAGAAGTCAGGAAAAACATTTGTTGAATAAATTAGTGTGATTTCATTGGCCTCTTATCCTTCCATTTTTTTCCTACTGACCCAGTGAATTAGGTGAAAAAAGAGAAAAAACAGTATATATTGATGGTCCTGATTTTGCAAGGTAATCATAATTTCACACATTGTGAAGTGTGTCTTGCAGTACATTCGCATATCCTCAGTAGCTCACAGGACCAACTTGTTCTGTTTAGAGACTAGGATGACTTGTTTATGAATAATGCACAGGGCAAAGAAAAAAGAAAAGATTTATAAGAAAACTCCAGAAAGATTTCCATGACATGCTGATAGGCTCTGCTCAGGTCCTGGATTTGTGGTGATCGTAGACCAGGGTAGCTTGAAGAACAGGTAGTAGTGGTCGATGAGCATAGGCACCTCAGCTAGGTGAGGGTGCCTGAGGGGCCACTCTGAGTGAAAACATTTCCACCAAGTCCTCAATATGAAGAAAAACTGTGGAGAAAATCCCCCTACTTCTGCAGAGCACATGACCTCTGAGGGATATTGCTTATGATATAAATGCATTGATGTGGCAAAATGAATTTTAAAATATTTTGTCTGAGTCCACATTTCATGAGGTGTCGCTGATTAAAATGTGGCTGACTGAAACGATGCTTCTCCACTTAGATTTTGCTTGAATGGAGTTCTTGTTTGGCTTGGTAAGCCATGGACTTTAAATGCTTTCAGGCCAGCTTGTTTAACCGCAGAAAGACTTCCTGGAGTGACCTGGGATGTTTCACTTTGTAGGAGTTTCAGGTGAAGATAGTCTATAGCCACCGAGTGAGGAAGTCTTGAGCCAGCTAGGTCATCGCAACCGAGAAAATCAAAACCATTCTTCTTTTCTTCACAGTGGACTTAGGCCCAATGTAAAGAACATCTGGAAACAAAAATTATTTCATTAACCTCAGGAGTGACTCTGTAGTTAGATGTTCAAGTGGTATTGCTGCTAATAAAGTAATCTAGCCTCTAGATCATGATAATGTTTTCTCCCCTCCCACAGGCCTGTGCACAGGACCTGAGAACAACAAAAAATATAATACCAGTATTCTGAGATACAGAAACTGCAACAAAAGTGATCAAAATGATTTATCCTAGATCAATGGCAAAAAGAAAAATAACAGAAATGCTGGGAACATCACCATTTCCTTCTGATCGACTTTCAGGAATCTGATCCAAATAAAACAAACAGGAGTTTCTACATTTACAGACAATTCATTAAAACAGTGCTGAAGTAAGAAATTCTGCATAGTATTAAAATCAGGTGATTCTTTAACCTTGGAAGTCATACATTTTTTAAGCCTATTTTCTCACCTGTCAAATAAAAATAATTCCTGTTTGGCAGGTTTTCTATAAGGAAGAGATTTAATATTTCTAAAACTTGTAGCTAGTGCCTGGCACATGGTAATCTGCTAATAAATTACATTGACTGTTATTGCACTGTTTTGAAATTATAAATGATACTCAGTACAGTAAAAAAAAAAACAAAAAACAGAACAAAATGAACAAATAAAGATATTCCCCATGTGCCTAATAATTCTCTGAGATTTTAGGCCTTTGAAAGCTGCAGTAACTGCTTTAGATTACTGGTGGTCTGAAGCTGCTACTAGGACCTGACCTATACCCAGGGGAGGGTGCAGAATCTCGGAGAGCCTGAATTAAGAAGCAGTGCCTGTATTTGGAGATGCAATGAAATCCCAGGTGTTCCTCTCAGAAACTGATGGCTGAAGAGAACCTGGAAGCCCCCTGATCAATCTCAGAAACCATGTGTAGGGATCAGCCCGCCTGCCACCCGTGTGGGGCCAGGATGCACTTTGGCATGAGAGTGTGGGTTGGGAGATGTTACCCTGGAAGATTCTTCTAAAAAGAGCAATCAGTCTAGAGGAGATTTGGTAGAATCTTTTCAACATATCACACCTATCCCTTTTTGTTGTTGATTCAATTTTATAATGGTAGATTCACTCTAAATCTAGCAGAGGAGTCTTTCTGCCAATTCAGTAAAAAGAAAAAAAAAAGCATCCAGAGATGCAGTTTAATTGATCTTTTCCACCAGCATCCTGGGAATTCCTCGATGTATGAATTGAGTTCAGTTGAGTTGTCCCTGAGTTGGTTTTTCACAGACCCAACTGCATAGGGAACAACAGCTTTTTTCCCAGAAAGGATTATAGCTGTAACACCATAACTGTTATGGGTTGAATTGTGTCCCCTCAAAAGATACTTTGAAGTCCTAACCCCAGGACTTGTGAATGCGACTTTATTTGGAAATAGGGTCATTGCAGATGTAACAAGGCAAGATGGGGTCATAGGGATTAAGGTGGGCCCTCATTCAATGACTCCTGTCCTTATAAGAAAAGAGAAATCTGTACACAGACACACACAGGGAAGATGTGTGTGCAGATGGAGGCAGAGATTGGGGTTACACTGCCACAAGCCAGGTCAGGAAACACCAAGATTGCTGGCAGCAGCCAGGAGTAGCGAGAGGCAAGGAAAGATCCTCCCTGGAGCCTTCAGAGAGAGGATGGGGCTGCCCACACCTCATCTGCTGACTTCTGGCCTCCAGTACTGTGAGAAAAATGTCTGTTGTTTGAAGCCACCCGGTTTGGGGTACTTTGCTACGACACCTCCAGGGAGCAAATGCAGTAACCATGGCCATTTTGATACAAAAAAATGAGGACCCTGAGAGTTAAGTAGGCTGCCCAAGATGACCTAACTTGTAAGAGGTATTCCTACCCTAAGATACGGTATCAGCTGCTATCTTTAAGGTGACTTCCCTTAGTAGCTTCACGAATTTCTGAGATCCAATCAGCGGGCTTCTCTGCTTGGCCTTTTTATCGAACCGCAGACAAACCAGCCTGACTTGTTGATTTAAAATGTTCTATTTCATGCATGCACGGCCTTGAAAAAGACCACAGAAAAATTACACATGATGCCCAATTTATTCTGTTCTTCTTTCCTCTGACTGTGATGTGTGACTAATAACACTTTTTTTCCTGTCTCGTGGAAATTGAGAAGTTTCATAAAACAAGTCTCCATCTTCTCACTGAATTTTTTTTAATATTCATCAAAGCTTCCTCCACAGAACATATCAGGAAAACTCAAATCTTTCTCTGACTTTTCATAAAGTCAGTTTACTATTGCTATTTTTAATAACCATTTTCTTTCAGAAAATGTGTCAATTTACTAAAGAATATACAAATAAACAAAAGAAAATTTATACATAACTCAATCCCTCGTTATTAAACATTGTTATTGTTGAGTGTACCTCCTGTCTTTTTCCTATGACTATATATCCAAAATTTTACTTACAAAAATGGAATGGTGCCACCATACATTTTTATGGGCTTATTGTTGTTGCTGTTTATTTAAAATATAATGTGAACATTGTAAACCAAAAAGCATCTGAGACAGGTCTCAATCAATTTAGAAGCTTATTTTGCCAAGGTTAAGGACATGCCTGAGAGACATGCCTTTCTCCAAAGATGATTTTGAGGACTTCGGTACATAAAGGGGAAAAGGAGGCCGGAGGGGAAAGAAGGAAGGTATGGTCACATCACTGAATCCACTTGTTGCAAGAGGAAAGGAGCGGGCAGGGGAAGAGTCAGTACGTATTCCTCTGACACTCCGTAAAACGGCACTTTACATAAGATAAGGCAAACACAGAGTAGCTACCTGTGGAGATATCAAACCTTCTATCTGTAGCTTCTGCTTAGGAACAAAAAGGAAAGGCAGCTTCCTGCATGACTCAGCTTTCAGCTTAATTTTTTCCTTTGGCATCGTGAATTGGGGTCTCGAGTTTTTATTTTCCTTTTCTTTCTTTAATGCCATAATTGGAAAATTCTAGCTTAAAATGTAAAATCTTTATACTCCCGGCGTTCTCAGAACTCTCAGAATGCTGAGCGCACTCTGAAACTCTAGGCAAGGGGCATGGTTTGCAGGATCTCCCAACCTTGTTTTGCCTGTGGTGCCCCTGTAGAATAGCCTGTCCTGGAACACCCTGTGGAAAATATCATTCTACATAATGACTTTTCAACACTGAGCATCTCCCATGGCGTGGCTGTGCCACAATCTACTTAGTTCCTGTTCATAGAAGTCAAGTTATTATCATTCATATACTTCTTGCATATTTTGTAAAGTTCCCATCGTATGTCTTTTCTAATATCCCAGAAACAATGTCTCTGCCAGGCACATGGCAGTTGTGTCAACCTTGTCATATGCATGTCTGTGAAAACTCACCGAATACAAAAAATACTGAAAACAGAAGCGGGCACTCACTTCAGAAGCGCTGCTGTGCCATCTCTCCTGATGTGCTGGGCAGCGTTTCCTCCTCTTTGGGGGTCTCAGGATCTTTTGGTTACCAACAAGGAATACAGAGCTCCAGGCCTGTTGGAACGGCATGTGGCCCGGGCCTCCATTTCCTCCACTTTTCCTGGTAATGCTGATGCACACCCAACTGGGGAAACACTAGATAAAGGATGACTGTCAAACCCTAAATAGTAATGTCATTCAGAAGAGCTGAATACTGCAGGTGAAGAATTTTAAGAATATTGTAGCCAACTAATTTCACTTCTTTCTTTTTTCTATACACAGAGTGATAGAGGATGAAATTTAATCTCAATACATTTGAAACATCTCTTCCAACAAATAATAATAAGACTCAAAAAATAACATCGTGTTACAATTTCATTGGCAGCAGTTTTTTTCCTTTTTGGTGGAACATAAAATAGTGGTATGTCTTATAATTTATGGGTCCTTCATTTTGTTGATATCTCCTCGGGCAACTAATATGAATACCTTGCACAGAAGAAGGTGTTCGAGACATGTTTCGTAATAATGACGACTAATAAAAGCGACCAAAACATCAAACCATGTGAATGACTCCATTAAAATGTATTTCCCAGGTAAATGGGTCCTAGAGCTCCTATTCTAAAATGCAAGAATGATCACATCTGTGTTCTTTTTATGACTCTATGGTGGGGCTGAGTGTGGTGGTGCACGCTTGTAATCCCAACACTTTGGGAGGCTGAGGCGGGCAGATCACCTGAGGTCAGGAGTTCGAGACCAGCCTGGTCAACATGGCGAAACCCCGTCTCTACTAAAAATACAAAAATTAGCTGGGTGTGGTGGCGGGCACCTGTAATCCCAGCTACTCGGGAGGCTGAGGCAGGAGAATCCCTTGAACCCAGGAGGTGGAGGTGGCAGTGAGCTGAGATGGAGCCACTGCACTGCAGCCTAGGAGACAGAGCGAGACTCCATCTCAAAAAAAGAAACAAACATAAAAACAACTCAATGGTGGCTTGTTATTTCCAGGAAGATAAGGCCCAAAGTTCTTACCACGAAAAACAAGGTGTTTGACAAACAGTGACCCTTCCACCCTGTCCACCTCGCCTCTGCTTCCTGCCACAACACAGGCTTCTGTGCCACTCCACCTCTCAGTCACAGCTGCCACTTCCTCCACCTGGAAGTCCTGTCCCTGGCTTCCCAGGCAGGCGAACTCCTCTTCAGCCACTTAGCTCGCGTGTGGCCCCTTGGTGAGGCGCGGGACGGTTCATTTGTTCCCTCTGCTCCCCTTGCCCCCCGGGCGTGGGCAAATCACACTGGAACATCACTATTTGTTCCCTCACGTTCACCCACCCAGAAGGTGGGCAGTGCTTTAGTAATCTGACCCTTGATGCGGATCTTCTTGGGTTAGTTCAGGTTGAAGAAATGTTTGTCGGATTGAATCAAGGGATGGCCTTAAGGGGCAGATAGAATTCATTCACCTGGGACCCATGTGGCCCAGTCATCCGTTCATTTGTTCATTCGGCATTTCTGTATCCTCCACAGCCCAGGTACGATACTGAGCCCTGGAAGCAGGGTCAAAACAAAACAGAAATGATCTCTGCCGTCCTGCAGTTTATAATCTCGCGGGACAGACAGAGATTAAGTAAATAAAAGCACAAGTAAATGTGCAGCGTGTGAAGTCCCGGGACTGCCAGGACTCTGCTACAGAACTCTTAAAGAACACGGTGCCTCTTTTCTTAAAGGGCCCTGTGTGTCGGCTGAGACGCTGTCTGCAAGGCCTCCGTAGGCCTTCCCCGCAGGCAAGGTGTCCGCGCACGCTGCTCCCTAGCCTCTGTCCCTGTCCCTCTGTGGTCTCAGCTCCCTACTCCTTCCCCAACTGCAGGACTTGGGCACACCATGCCCCTCCTCTGAAGGCCAGCCCTGCCCTGGCAGCCCCTTGGCATCTGGTCGATAAAGTCCCCACTAGATTCTATGAAAAGGTTAAATGAGGGAAAGAACTAGGGCTGCCGAGAGAATAGGAAACTGGTGCCAATTTAAATTAAAGGGGAGGGGAGGACATCAGCCGGGAAGGAAAGCAGGAGGCAGAAGCGAAAAGGCCTCCTGCTGGCTGTTCACACAGCGCCGCGCTGTCCAGGTGAGGTTGCAGGGAGCCTGCGATAAGTTCCCACTGATGACACTAGTGCCTGTTTCTCCTTTGCTGAAGCCCACGGCCCTCACCGTCTGGACCATTCTTTTGATGAACACATGCATTTGTGTTGCTTTTTGACGCTCTGGTCCACGTCCAGCTGATGTTTCCCACGGTATTGGAAGGTCCCGGAGGTCCGTGCCCACCCAGTGCCGCACCATAAATCAAAGATACAAAATTCAAGATAATACCTAATACCCTTTTATGCTAATTAATGGATTTAATTGCCACAACCGCCCTCAGAATTAGATAATATTATCATCCTTTCTTATGAGGAAACAGAAGCACAAAGAGGTTAGGCAATTTGCATATCACACAGCTAACAAATTGCAGAATATTTGAATCCACACCATTTATTTATTTGTTCCACAGTGAATGAACAAGTATACTTTGAGATATTGATATGAAACCAGTATAAGGAGAGATGGCAATGCTTTGAGTCTGTGCTGAGGAGTTAAGCACAGTGGCTGGATAGGCAAGGACACCCCCAGGCAGGAATGAAGGAAGGGTGCTTCCGCAACCCACCGAGTCAGCCTGGGTGATCCCTGCACTGACAGGTGACCAGCCAGGAATAAAGGCTCACTGACAATGTCCAGAAATGAGATAGTACTTTCTTTGTACCCAGGCTGACATGAGCTGGCAGAGGCAGCTTGTTGTCTATCCACTCCCTATTATCAATTTGTTTCTCAGTAGTAGAACACTGGTTTACCTGGGACCAAAAGGCGTCCGGCTGAAAAGACCACGTTTTTGAGACTTACTTATCACTCAGGATGCAATGAGATATCAGCAGAAGTGCTGGGTGGGAGGTGGGGAAAAGCTCCTTCAAAGAGGCCAACTCAAGCGGAAAATGTGCCCCTTGGCTCTCCCTCTCCTCTTCTTGCCTGGAACATGGACCTGATGGCTGGAGCACAAGTAGCCATTCTGGACCACGAGGATTCTTGAGGATAGAAACCAGTTTCAAAAGATGACAGAACAGAGGGTAGGAGCTAGAGTCCTAATAATCATGAGGCCAATTTTCTACTAGCCTAGAACTCCTTATTTCTCAATCCTTCAAGTGAGAGAAAAATATAGCTCTGTCTCTTGTAAGCCCTGTTATTTGAGCTTTCTCTCCTATGCAGCCAATCCTGATCCTGTGATAAGACTTTCTCATGTGTTACCAAAAATTGAAACACAACTTGAGTTTGCTTCCAATTGTTGGAAGCAAACCATGTCTTTAATGAAGGAAAGATATAGGAAAGAGTCCACATGCCAAGAGAATAATGGGTCCTTCAAGATGCAGGTCAGGTATCAGCTCTCAGATAAATTTTTTAAAATCTACCTTTATGCCTATAGGAAAGTTGGTTGTGGAATGATTTGTCATGCTACTTTAAACCTCACAAGGAATGTTTCTTTTCTTTTTTTTTTTTGAGACAGAGTCTCGCTCTGTCACCCAGGCTGGAGTGCAGTGGCACGATCTCGGCTCACTGCAACCTCCGCCTCCTGGGTTCATGCCATTCTCCTGCCTCAGCCTCCCAAGTAGCTGGGACTACAGGCGCCCACCACCAGGCCCAGCTAATTTTTTGTATTTTTAGTAGAGATAGGGTTTCACCGTGTTAGCCAGGATGGTCTCGATCTCCTGACCTCTCACAAGGAATGTTTCAAATAGTCTTCCTTTGATGCAGGAAATGTCCAGAAGAATGTTCTCAGTTCAAGGCAATGATCTGGCAATTAGGATGCCAGAGTCTGACTTTTAAAAATATAGGCTGCTGGGCACGGTGGCTCATGCCTGTAATCCCAGCACTTTGGGAGGGCAAGGCAGGTGGATCACAAGGTCAGGAGATGGAGACCATCCTGGCTAACATGGTGAAACTCCGTTTCTACTAAAAATACAAAAAATTAGCCTGGTGTGGTGGCGGACACCTGTAATCCCAGCTACTCGGGAGGCTGAGGCAGGAGAATCGCTTGAACCCAGGAGGCGGAGATTGCAGTGAGCCAAGATTGTGCCATTGCACTCCAGCCTGGACGACAGAGCGAGACTCCATCTCAAAAACAAACAAACAAACAAACACATAGGCACTGAATTCTGACCTGGGTAGGCTTAGTAAAATAATTACCATTCTGGGTTATAGCTCCCATCCAATATTCTGCAAGCACGCATAGTTTATTTTTCCTACCTGCACGTGCTGTCACTGTCAGGCCTTTAACTGAACATCTACTATTTCCAGTGCGGATTGGGGATTTTTATTTTTCAACAGTATTTTCCACTTGTTGTTGGACCGTTGGATCCTAAAACGTGTACCTGATTGTATTAATACATCACTTGGGCCCATCTTATTATCTTGACCAATGAATCTTACTGAACATGTATTTCAGAAGCACTTCTAGAAGACACAAGGTGACCCTCTAATTTTCACTTCTTTTGAGATTTGCACATTTGGCAGCTGAGGGCTTTAGCATGATCTTCTTCAGAGTTTACGGAAGCTGCCCAGTTTCACCCAGCACCTTCTAATTTGTTTCAGTGGCTCAGGTGAAACCAGAAGCATTTGTTTTAAAATCCTTCTTGCCAGGTTTTGTTTGCTGAGCCTGGTGCGTTTCGTTACTAATTCAACAATGCCGTGACGGCAGAGCCCAGTGCTTTTTCTGCACTGGGTAGGGTGGCACGTTGCCCGGAAGTACCTGGGGGCCACTGCTGCCACAGGACACAATGCTAAGTGGGAAAGGTCATGGGAGCTACACTCTATTAATGTGGTCAGAGTGCCTCTCCAAGAACAAAGTGTGGCCCCTCACAGGAGCATGAAAGCAGCCAGCCCTCTCTTTCCAGGTCGCTTTTTAAGCTTATCATTATGAAGTATAAACAGTCAAATTCCTTGGGAGCAAGTGCAGCCTTTTCTGTATTGCTTGCAGAATCTCTCCCCACTGCAGGTTTAATAAAAGCCAGGAGTACTTTTCTCTAGCTACAGCAAGATGTATTTATATGTTTGGGACTGGTTAACAGGGCTGTGGGAGGGGGTTAATTGTGGGTGGTTTTTTTTTTCTTTTGTTATTATTGGATAACACCATTATTTTTTCCCCACCTGGTACTGACACATATTAACACACATTTTACGATAAAGTAGTTCCTGTAAGCTGCTGCAATCATAGTCATTTGCAAACCCAAAGCTTGATAAACCTGAAATATTTAAAACAATGTTGTTATTATTAGCCAGTAAAGACCGGGCTCTCCAGACTTAGGACTAGCTGAAACTTCTTCCTGTACCTCTTGCCACATTTTCCTTATTCCTCTTAACCTAGAGAGTATACAGAATTTCTAGGGGGTTCTAGGAACAACTAATGGGCTACACACAGTGTTTTTGTGTTAATAGGTTTGGCTTTCTCTCCAGTTTGTTGAACGGTTTTTTATTGCTGATGTTTACGTTCTTATCATTTGCTCTCTGGCAAGGTTTTGTTCTTCTATAATCATTTTCTCATTTTAAATTCATTTGATAAGTGAATTTCCAAAAACCCTCAACTCTGCTGGGTTTGTTTTGGTTTTGGGCACCTCTGATTTATAAAAGTCATTCTGGATACTGATCAGGGTCATACTTCTTCAGGGGATATGAACGCATTTGATTAGTAGCCTGTGGGTCAGTCTGCTTTCCAGCATATATTTCTTGGGGTTGGAATCATAGAAATAAATCCAATTTGTTTGACTGAGATACTTCAATCCTCCTCCTAAGTCAGTTGTCACATTTCCCATCAATGTCCTATTTTGACATTGTTCACGTCATTGTGAGAGTAACTAAATATGCAAGGTTTTGGAATAACCTTTGGGATATTCTATTTTATTTGTTTTAGGAATTAGAAAATTCAATCTAAGCTTTACAAAAGTCTTTGCTACCTCATAAACCATGCTTCAATTCCAGTCTCTAAGTTAAGTCATATGACGTGTTTCTTTGTTGTGCCAGGGACCAGATCCTTTGGTGGGTCCCAGCTGTGGAGTCTGCAGCAGAAGATGTGACTAGAGAAGAACCTATTGCTTCAAGCAGTGATGATTTTGTTGAATTAAGGAAACAGACTAATAAGGATTTCAAAATACGAACCAGAGGATAAATGGTTTAAGATCAGAATACAGGGAAGCAGTAAATGTAGGGAAATAGCAAACTTGTTTCAAGAAAGTGCAAAATGTTTCCAATACTCTCTACCAGAGTAGCCTCCTCAGAGTAACAGTAATGGTAGTAATCACTTTAGTTACTCCATAACTTATTAACTTCTTTAGTTTCAACTCTGATAAATAGTTATGTCTTCATCAACTAATCTTAACCTTAACTCTGTGTCTATTCTAAACACTATTTTTATTCTCATTTTATTTCATTTTTTAAAACTTTGTATCTTGAAAACAAATCAAACTTATAGAAAAGTGCAAAGAATAGTAAAATAAACTGAAAATATTCTCATTTAAGATTCATCAGGTGTTAGCATTTTGCACATTTGTGTTTGCCTTCCATAGATGATACACAGATGATAGATAGGTAGATTGATTGATGTGTAGGTGTGCATACGGTATAACTTAAAATAGAAGCTAGATAGATAGATAGCTCTCTCTCTCTCTCCATATATATGTGTGTGCGTATACTATTAGAGCATATATATGTGTGTGTATATGTATTCTTTGATGATAATATATTTGTTTGAAAATCCTTCTAAACAAATATTTGTCTTAGAAAATCATATTATGGTGTGGTATTCTACGCTTTCATACTGAACATAATTTCTGAATGGAGATTTTCACACACATTCTGTATTTTCATTTCATAATAAAAACCAAAACAACTAGCAGTGTGAATTATAGGGTTCCCTTTATATGTTAGTGGATATCTTAATAACCTTTAATAATATAACAAATTTAATTATAATGTTTAAATATATATAAAAAATACCTTTATGACCACGTTGTTTAAAATTCCACACTAAGACAACAATCTCAATAGAGAAAACAGGCAAAAGCTATGAACAGAAAATTTACAGAAGAGGGAACCCTGAAAACCATCAACAATGAAAAGATGTTCAATTTGTCAGTAATTAGAGAAACACACATTCAAACAATAATGGGCCATTACTCTGCACCTATTATATTAGCAAAATTTTAAAACTAGATAATGCCAAGTGTCCTTGTCATAGCTGATTGGACCAAGGCACAGGGCAGCCCATGTATAAAGCTGCTGGCCACATAGGTGGTATCTCACTTGACTCAGAAAGATGGGCTGGAAAAATCAGATTTGTCTCTTGGAAATCTGTATCTAGCACATTTTAAAACAAACACGTTTGGAAGGAGAATAAACGTCAGGGACCTGGGCTAGGGCAGGGCCTGAGGTCAGAGCAATGCCAATGGGCCTCAGTGCACCAAGTTACAAGGGAGGGGCTTCGAGCAGGCGAAGGAGCCAAGAGCCTTGGAAGAACAGACTGGCAGCAGAGTGATGTGTGAAGGCCAGTAGAGATGCCGGGAGACGTGCCACGGGGCAAAGAGGGGAAAGGGATTCATCTCAGTTCCTGCCAGCTTCCCAGTTCCGGTTCAGTGCAAACTGGGGGACTTCCAGTTCTCTTTGGAGGAGCAGGAATTGGAGGTATAGGGGAGGAGGAGATACAAGAAGAAGGATGAAGGCCTTTGAAATTCCAAAGGAAAATGACTTCAGATATTTGTTTGTTTGTTTGTTTGTTTGTTTTGCTACTAAAAACAGAGACAGAGTCTCCCTCTGTTGCCAAGCTGGAATGCAGTCATGTGATCACAGCTCACTGCAGCCTCGACCTCCCAGGCTCAAACATTCCTCCTTCCTCAGCCTCCCGAGTAGCTGGGACCACAGGCGTGCACCACCATGCCTGGCTAATTGTTTGTTTGTTTGATTTTTTTTTTTTTTGTAGAGATGCAGTCTGTTGCCTAGACTGGTCTCAAATCCTGGGCTCAAGTGATCCACCTGCCTCAGCCTCCCAAAGTGCTGGGAATAAAGGTGTGAGCCACGGCCAGAGATTCTTATGCCTTGCCAACCAATCAATCAAGTGTGAGGGTATAAAGACATTTTCAGAGATACAATGAAAAGAAAAGCCACCCTAAAACATCAAGTGCACCTAGAGTTTTCTTGATATCCTTTTGTAACATGCCAGCATTTTGTCAAAATCACTGAAGTTCTTCTGAAGTGATGAGTCAACAAATGTGTGATGTTGAAAAGTAAATTAAAACACAGATTTCACACCAGCCAGTCATCAGTCCCTATTCATACAGTGTCGTAGGTCCTCATTTAGAGGCATTGAGAAATTAGAATATTCCAAGCATGGAGGGCAAAGAAGACATGGACCAGATTGGCTTCCAGAGAGTTGATAGAACAGTCTGGGAGTCAGACATAAAAGGAGAACTGCTAAGAAGTCCCAGGGCGTGACAAGGCCTGTAATAGCAGAGGTGGACCCCGGTACAGGGGAGTCGCAGAAGAGGTCGCTCAGACCCCACCTGGGAGAGTCATGAGTGAGGTGGTCCATTTGGGCCAGGTGTTGGAAGATAAAAGAGGAGGCAGATTGGGATGGAGGTTAAAGGTGCTGGGGCGAGGAGCAGTCAGATTGAGAAGGTTTTTAATAGTAGCAGCATCTGCAGGGCAAGGAAATGGTGTGTAATGCAGGATTCTGAAACGTGGGCAGTGAATAGTAGAATGGGAGGCTGAGGGCGAAGGCAGGGGCACGCTCAGCAACAGCAAATGCAAAATAACTTCAGGGAAGGGAACTTCAGTGAGAAAAGGTAGGCTGGCTGGAGGCGATCTGAAGCGGTGAGGACTCTCCCAAGCAGGAAAGCGCCACCCACTTGTCCTCCATGGATACGCTGACCCTGGGTGGCTCAGACCTACCTAATGTGAATCCGGTTGGGGAGGAAGGGGAGCGGGCATCCCCAAATCTACATCCACAGGATTCCTATGCAGTCAAAATTTGGGAATTAATACTGAAGGCAGGAGTGTTAACATGGGTAGGGAAACGCAATACTGACGGAATCCTAAATCAATGACTACTTAGCAAATAGAACATCTATATTTACAAGTCCAAAGTGTTAACATAACTATTTGAAACAGATTGCTAGAAACAAAAATAAATGGGACAGTGCCTTGGAAATATATCAGATAGAATATGACTGGTGATAGAGTCCTGAAAAAGAAGAAAAGCCTGGGGGTTCTGCAGAAGATTTACGTTGTTCATGGCATTAATCATGGTAGATTCCCAGAGGAGGTGAAATGTTATGGACGGGTGGAATGTGATCCATTTTACTGAGGAAGTAAAACTATTCTTGCCTTGAAGGTAATGTTTAAAGTCAAAGAATTTTTAATTAGGTGCGGATTTTTTAAAAAGAATTTTTAATTTACAAATAAGATTGAGTTAAAGAATCATTTTCTGCCGTAGAAGCAATAGGATTTTTTAAAAATTCTATTTTAAATTGCATAAAAAGCATCTTAAAGTAATCAGATAAGTTGAGCCATAAGTAAATGGATATTTAAAGATCTTATTAAAATAGTCTACCTGATTTAGTTATTATTCTGACCCTATATAGCAATTCACAGGGTTTTGTTTCAATTAAGTGGCTCTAAGATTATCATTTAAAAACAAAAAGTGTAACTCTCCCGTTTGCAGCTCTCTGCACTCATTCTATGACTGGAAGGTGGGGCTTGTTTTGACAATGCTTCCAGTTAGGGTCTCTTAAGTGATTTGCATGTTATTAACCTGGATAGCCACTAATAGGGCTTCACTTCCTCGATTTCATACATAGCCCCGGCTCATATAAAAAAGAGTTCTTCAGGAGAGCAGAAAAATCGGAGCACTTGCACTATCGGTGAAATGTGTAGAAAGATAACAGAAGCTACCCTCCTCAAAAAAATGATGAGTTTGATGAAAAGAAATTAACAAGCTGTGTGAGTGTGCTGCACATGATCAGCCATGCTTGCTAAGTCTGTCTGTTGGTTGTTGCTATGGCTACGAAAAGCCAGTGGAACCCAATGAGCTGTCTGCAGCAGAGCTGAGAGGACCAGCCATTTTACTTATGGAAAACAGTGTGGCATATTCTGCTGAGCTTCGCCCTGGAAGAAGCCTCTTTTATACATCTCTTCAGGGAAGAGAGAAGCAATGGGCATGTTAGTATACAATGATCACAGCCACGCAGGCCTGCAAGCTGCCTTTTGGACAGGCTGTTGACTGCCGTTCCAATTAGCTGATTGGAGAATGTGGAATGCAGAGTGATAATGCTGCATATCTGCTATCAGGCAGCAGCAAAGGTTTTTGTCTTGGGAAGGCAAGCTTTCCCTGCAATATTATCTCAGCAGCTCCCTAGCTGCTTACCCTGAAAACGAGGGATCCAAACGGAGGGTGTTGCACTCTGCTAACGCTGGTCCTGTGCGTGGCTGTGGCATATGAGCGGCAGGTCTGAAAAAGCAGGTGTGTGCTGGGACGGGCACTGGACTGGAACGCAGGCGGACGCTCTCGGGTTTACCTGCTTCCTGTTAACAGATTGTGGGCTCCCAGGGCATATGTCTGCACGCTGAGGCCGAGGCGGAGAAGGGGCTTCCTGAGCGTCCCAGTACACTGACAGAGGTAAGCTTTTTTGACCTTTTTGAAAGCACAGCATAAAAATAACTGGGGCAAAACTTAGCCTGAAAGATTTACGTTGATTGTGTGATTTGGATTTACCAAACAAACATACACAGACACATACACACACGCATACACACACATTTCTAGAAAATAGTATCAGAGACATAGAGTTGTTTCAGTGAATTTTGGTTCTAGCAATTGGAAGATAAAAAACATGACCGATATGCTTTGGGGTTTTAAAACCAATATTTACTGTTTGAGCAGACTACGATGGCTTGTTCTGAACCGTCCTCACAGCCAACAACATTTCTCGCTTGTGAACAATGGATTCTTTCGTGACCTGCACTTTGACTTGTATTCAGAGAACTACATGAAAAAGAACTACATGAGAAGCATTTCTTTTTAAGCCTCGTAAATGATTTATTTAACTCTTAACACAGCTATGTACACACTTAAATTGAAGAATTCTGTTCTCTATGTGGGTCATAATAGCCAGTGGATTTTGTACTTGCTTACCCTGGACTGAGTGTCTTGGTGTCCTGTTTGATTTAGTTGGGGTAGTTGTAAAGCAAACAGTGTAGGTATTGGAAGCCGTTCACACCTCCTTTCCGAGTATCTGCATGCCTTGCTGGCCCAGAGCACAAGACCCCCATTGTGCTCCCCCGGCTCAGAATCCAAGGAAAGAAAGGAAGCGAAGCCTCTGCATTGAGTTCTAGGACAGCTGAGGTATGTGGCAGTAAAACTTCTTTTCTTGCACAATTTTTCTCACAAGCAGATAGGTTTCAGAGATAAAGAGTGAAACCAAAAACACCGCACACCTCATCCAAATCTGCGCTCATACTTGCAGCAAATGTTTGCTGTCAGTTGCTTCATAATAACAGCACAGACCCCGAATTGCAGGAGGAATTGCCTGGTAGTGAGTATTTCCTTGATTTATAGTCTCTTAGGAACAAAGCTGTTACTGTGGATTGAAACTGGTCAGTCAAATCAAAATCCCTGGTAAGAAAATGACGGAGTAAGGATTAGATTCTGGTTCAGCAACATTTCAGCTTTACTCAAGTCAGTTCTTTGGTTGTTTTGTTACCAAAAATGTCAGATCACTTATAATACTATTGAAAATATTTAATAAAAATGTTTGGTCAAAAACTTTGAACAAAACCCCTATCTACAAAAGATGGAATCTACTGTGAAATTTAAAATAAGTAGTAACTGAGATCTACTTCTAAGAAGTATATTTTTATTTGCTACCTTTTTCCTCCAAAATCTGGATGACATGAGTCTCTTCAGAATTTTAAGTATAATTTTCACTGATAGATATGGGCAGGAACCGCCTGTTTCAGAGATGTAGCAATGTTCATAAGCCCTAAGATAAGAGAATGCTAAAGCAGTAGGAGAATAGTTTTCCAAACTTTTGTTCTAAATGTCAAAATAGTCAAAATATAAAGATAGAGACTAAGAATCTCAGTGGAGCCAAACATGTGCAAACGTTTGGTGATAAGTGTACGCCTATGCGGGTTGTAGGGGATAAAATGGTGAGGTGACGGCCTTGTACTTCATTATGTTTAACATTCAAAGGAAAGCTAAATGAACAGACTTAGTTCTGAGTCCAATTCTATGAGCAAAAATATCAGCTAAGTAAGGGATTCTATATGAGCTGAATGAAAGGTAGAGAAAATCTCTCTCCAATTTAATTTCCTTCAAAGCTTTACACTGCCAAAGGATTTCTTAGAATTGACACAGTGCAAAGACCTGCAGCAAGCACCTGATTTCCTATTAATTTTTCTTGGGGGAGCTTTTAGAAGAATGAGGTGTAGAAATATCCAGGGCACACCCGACTGCTGTGCCTGTTGCATTGATAGTGGCACCAAGTGAGACAAGACCCTTAGCCCACGGGAGGAATGGCACACACTTTATACCTGTGCAAGTTCTTTCCTATTTTAGTAACCTTTTAAGATGACATGCTATACACAGATGACCATTTTAAGTTCAATTCTGTACAGCGCATCTCCATAGTTAATAATTCAACAATTTTGAGAACCAGGTTCAGAGACATAATCTCTATCCTTCAAGACTTTGCACTTTCGCTTATGGCTATTTTTAGACCCTTATTTTCTGCCACTTTCCAACTCTTCTGCTGGCAATATCAAATATTTTGGAATTTCCAAAACATACTATATCAGATTTTTTTTTTTTTTTTTTTTTTTTTTTGCAAATGCAGTGCCCCCTGAAGAGTCATTTCCTTTAAATCTCCCCTGCAAGGACAGCTGCTTTCATACGCCCTTCAAGTCCAGCTAGACATCCCCCCTCACTGTCCCCCACCCTGCTTGGCTACATCTGAATCTTACTTCTGACTTTCTGTCTGCTGAACCATATTGCATTTGTCCCTGTTCACAGCCTTCCAGAGCTTTGCTGGCCTCTGATTCTAAAGTACTTTGTCCAGTGTCCAGAATTTTGCATTCAGACATTGTACTGGTAACCTCAGACTTCAATATTTTCCTATTAGTTACTGTAAATATAGACTTGACCTAGAAATAGAAGTCCTAATACTGCCTTTTATCAAGGAAACTTAAAACATTTGAAAAACAACAATGAGGCTTTCATTTTTCTGATTTGAAAATATGGCTTCAGGATCCCAATTTCATAAAAGCTACAACTGTCCTATAATAAATCCAAATTTCCCGAGGGAAAATTTTACAATGTATGTTTTAAACAAAACAACTTGAATGTTTTAGTATATAAATAATACTATTTTTCTATCCATGGCTATTATAAAATGTATAGAAAATATCCCTATTACAAATTTGTTATGGAATCAGACTGTTTAAAACTAATGTTGAGTTGATGATGATTAGTAGCCGATTATAATGTAAGACACTTATGAAGTTGTTTTTCTTGCTGAAACCAGAAGAAAGTAAAGGTCGTGAACTGGAAAGAGATTAAATAATTGAAATGAAGTCTACAATGGCAGCATTTCTTTTAATGTTCCTAAGTAAACCTAAAAGGTGACTGGAAATCACTAGTTACGTTACACTAGTTATGTTACCCTACAACTTGAGTACCTGGGTAAGGGAGAGAATATTCTCTTAGAATCACTCTTGATATAGATATAGGTTTGTTTACAGAGACTTCCTACCCTCTGTTCTATATTAGATAACATTATTAGTATTTTTTAAATAAGCCTGATTTCAGTAGCCTTTTTATGAAAAAACTGCCACAATCAAAAATAAGAATGTACCCATAGTTTTATTAAGAAGTTATAAATACATAATTCCTTGTCTTTAAGATATCTGTGTTGAAAGCAAAAGTTCTAATTAATACTGTATGAATTTTTGTATATAAAGTAGAATTGATGAGGAAGTTTAAAATATCCTGATATTTGGGATTAGAAAGTAAAATATTTAGGAAATTATTTAAATTCATATTTCTTGACATTATTGCATTCATTCCAGCATTGAGTTTTCTAATAAAAGTAAGATAAATAGCAATTCTTAATTATCATGCTGTCCTTTAAAGCTTATTTTGGCTATCTTCCAGCTGATTTTAATGTACAGCATGCTATAATTAAATAATAGCTAAAGTTGGAATTGGTTCTATTCATCTTAAAGACTAATCATGTTTAATTATTTTAAATTGCATATAGTAATTAGATTTCAGAAACCATGATTTTGTAATATGCCTGTACTGTTTCTAACATTTTCTATTTTAAGTCATTTATAATATTTTTAAAGGTCTCAGTTATGTCTAACTACATGGATAGCATAATGAAATGAGTTGCACTTGTATTTTATAAAGAAGACTTGTGATATATGATTGCATTAGATAATTTTCTGGAAGTTCCTCAAACTAACAATTTAATTATGGATATGCCTGTTAAATCCTAAACTGCCACTGTCACGTGGAAAAATACAGATAAATATGTTTTCAAAATATGTTTTTCTGTATTATTTCTGAAAAACTCAAGACATGGACATGCAGTTAAAAGGAAACACTTCTGCAACTGTTGAGTTCTGAGTATTGGCAAATAAGAACTCACGTTTCAGCTTAAGTTCAATTAAGATGATATTTGCTGAATAAATGACGGGGAACCAGCAAAGACGGGTTTTTACTTTGGTGTTTGCAGCATAACAGATCCATATGGAACTCCACCACACTTCACTGCACCTTGGTCTTCAAAACGGAAATATACTAGTTTACCAAGTAGGAATTTTGGCCAAAAAAGCAGTGGTTTCCTCTTCCCTATACAGGTGAGGTAGACATAAATTCAGCATTAAATTCTGTACCTTAGAGAAGCATTATTTGAGCAAAAATTCAGAAAGCTTTCACTTTCCTGAATCCAATCAAGGGTCTTACTTTCAAAGATTTTCCCACCTCAAAAAAACAAAAACACAATAAAAAAGAAAGAAAACAAAAAGGCCTGGTAATGTTCTCATTATATTTTCTAATTTCTCTTTATATATTCATATTATAATTTAGGGAAACTTATTTTTAACAAAGAACATTATCTGAAAGTTTCGGTGATATTTTGTTTTTTTCTGTTCATTTATACGGTTGCCTACTTATTAAATTTTTGATTTTTTAAATTTAATCAGAAATTCAGTTTTTCTCTCTTCCCTCTGAGATGTTTTCCCAGTGGTTAAAGTAAATTACAAGTCTTATAATGAATTATATCCTCTGCTTTGAATGGGAGAGTTCATCCAATCCATTGTTAGAAATAGTTCTTCTTTTCAGGTTCCTTGTCCTAGTACATTTTTTCTGGAATAGTTGAATTTGAGGACAGGGGCAACATAAACCCGTCAGGCTCCAAATCTTCTGATGTTCTATTCAATTCAGCATCCCTCAGAGACTAATATAGCTGCAAGGATTAGCCGCAAGGAGTCCAACAAACTATAGCAAAAACAGGATTCTAGGCCGGGCGCGGTGGCTCACGCCTGTAATCCCAGCACTTTGGGAGGCCGAGGCGGGCGGATCACGAGGTCAGGAGATCGAGACCATCCCGGCTAAAACGGTGAAACCCCGTCTCTACTAAAAAATACAAAAAATTAGCCGGGCGTAGTGGCGGGCGCCTGTAGTCCCAGCTACTCGGGAGGCTGAGGCAGGAGAATGGCGTGAACCCGGGAGGAGGAGCTTGCAGTGAGCCGAGATCCCGCCACTGCACTCCAGCCTGGGCGACAGAGCGAGACTCCGTCTCAAAAAAAAAAAAAAAAAAAAAAAAAAAAAAAAAAAAAAATAGGATTCTAGCCAAGAGCTGTGCCACTCGTGAAGATCCTCTAAGAGTACAAGCATGGGATGCCATGAAGAATGGCAAGTGTTTTAAATGCACAGAAAGAAAAACATATTCAAATGAGATTTTGGCTATGTTGGAGAAAATTTATTAGTATAAATATTCATTCTAGTCTCCTCTAAACAGAAGTCCCTGTACTTACTTCTCGCTGAGGACAGCCAGCTTCTCAGAGGCACTGAGTCCTCTGAAGAGGTAACACCACAGAGGCAGCAGCCTGGCTGGTGGAAATGTGCTTCATTAAGCCTTCGGCTGCATGGAGAATCCTCTTCCACCTATTGAGAGGAGTCAGCGACTTCTGCCTCACTGGGTCTTTTTAATACCAGATATTTATACTTCATACAGGTTGCCTACACTTTATGCTACTAAACAACAAAAGTTTAAGAGAGCAACGCTTGGCTGCTTAAAAATGAGCCTTTTTGGTAGATTATCAAGATGCCTTCACACCCAATTATTTCAGTTCTCTGTGCTAAAGTTAACGAGGGAAAGGAGATTAGATAACAATAACCTCAGCTGTTGTTGTGCTATAACTGTGTCATCTGGTGAAGGGTTTGAGCACTTTCCAAAACGCGTGCATTTAACCCGTCAGACGTATTCTTGCACTATAGTAAATACTACATATTTTAGTTTGCTCAATATCTCAAAATCTAGGTTTCAAAATTTTTATAGCATAGTATTACTAGTAGTTAAGATGAAAATTGTATAACTGCTTGGTTGCTCTGCTACAGTGTGAATAGACCGGTGTTGTTGGATGGACCTAGAGCGCCAGGCTTAAACCAGTTTACGCAAAGGGAGGTCAGGAGAGTGGTGAATGGCAAGAGAATGGAAAAAGGTACAGGTTACTTCTGCAGAATAAAAGTTACAGGGAAAACTTGACTCGCTTTAGAATGGCAGCCGGAACAGAGAGGCCCTCAGCAAACAGGTCAACATACTGCATATTCAGTCAGTATTTGCTGAATGAATGAACGGCTTACAGCAATCAGATCTTCCCCGGTGTTGTGCTAATGCCAACACATGATTAGAAAGTGCTCTTTGAATCTACAGATAAAGTGACAATTCAGACATTTTTCTGATTTTTTAAAAATCAGAAAACAAAGGAGAAGAAAAAACACATGAAAATTTAAAAAGGCTATTATTAAACATATATATATATATAGTCTTCCTGGTGAGAAGCATTATACTTTAACAATTATATAAGACAGAAATATTACCAGAAGCATAGATAAAGCTCAAATGCAACACATCATATGGTGAATAATTCAGAAGATAAGAAAAACTGATTTCTAATCTCAATTTTTTTAAAGCCTCTTGGTACAGTCACATTCATCAAGAAATATAATCAACCTAAAGAGTTAAAATTTTCTTTTGTAAAATAAAAAAGAATAAGAAAGAAAAGTTTAAATCCAGAGTTATAAAATTGAAGATCTTCATTTTAAGGCTTTAGAATATAGTTGAACAGAGAGTTCAAGACAGAAAGAGGTATCAGTCTGGGAAGACCTTTTCAAGTTAAAAAAAACCATAGAAGCTGCAAGACCTTACACAGTCAATCAAAATATCTGCTTCTGATTTAACTCAAGAAAACAATAGAAACCTATTAACTAGTATTCAGTCAACTACGCAAAAGATTATTCAAAAAATGTTCAATTTGTTCACTCCAAAAGATATTGATAATAATAATAATTTATATAGATTTCACTCTGTACTTGCTACCATCCCAAGAGTTTTATGCATATTAACTTTTAATGAAAAATCTGGAAAATCACAAAATCTATAAGTATAATACCAAATACTAAAAAGTAGGGACTTTTAAGGACGTTTACATTGGAATTTCTCAGAAACATTTTCTGCAATCTTAAATTATTTCCCAAAGAGGGATTTAACATTGAATCGCTTTGTCTTAGATGCGCCGATACCACTTTACATGTTGTATTATTTTTATATCATGTTAATGAAGTGTTTTGACGTGTCCAGTCTTTCCATGTGAAAGTGACCTCCACGAGAGAGCAGTCTTGTTTACGTGTTTTTACCCACCATCTTGCCATGTCCACTACCAAGAGTGAACGAAGGATGGCTGAGTAACTAGGCCAAGTCGGTTATTGTAACAAATAAAATTCACACCCAAGGAAAGGGACCTGCTGAAAGCAAGGTAACCTGCGTGTGGTTCCATGTGACTTTCATCAGGAGAAAACTGATCTGGTCTACATATCTTTAAATGTTTGTTTTGTTATGGGTTTTTTGTTTGTTTGTTTTTGGTCAGTATGCTTTTTGGGTAAAACACTAAGCTAAGTATCAAAGCAATCCTTTTTAAGTCATCGAGACTTTTTCAACGGAGGAAACATGACGCAACCAAAAATGATTTGGCTCATTTAAACCACTTGTAGAATTTTTCCTCCGAATTTAACCTTCTGAGCAACTTAACTACATATGAGTTATGTCTGACAGTTAAGAAAATAATAAAAATATGAGAAGGCACACTTATCTTCTTTGTCAGAGAAACCATATCTGTTTTGGGAGAAGGGCTGTCTTAGGGCAGTAACTCAGATGACTGATAATATATCCTGAATTCTTTCACACTCACTTTATTTAGAAACATAACTTTTTATATGATATGTGTTCTGAAATCCGATTATATCACTCACTGACTTCCTTTCCACCATAGATTTAATTTTACAGGACTAATATAACTCATTTATATAATGATTAATATGGCTTTTTTAATTAAAAAAATCTTCCTTCTAAAGTGTGCCAAGGATTTTGACTACATTTTCAATTAATTTTTAGATTTATTGGCAGAAGAGCAGAATTACCATCACCCTTATGTTGTAAAAGTAAATGACAATCAAAGCCATAAATAATATAGTTTAGTTTGAAAAACCACCTTCCTGTTGACCCGAAGTCCCAAATGTCCTGTCAGTGCTTTATATTGACGGTTATCTGGTAAAATGATTGGATCTATGTATTATTATGTGGCATAATATTACATCATAATGATTTCGAACCCTAAGCTTGTGCTTCCTTTGAAGATCGAATTAGGAAAACATACCCTTAAAACGGTGCCTCACTTTTTTTTGGCTCTGGTATTTAATTTTGCAACTGTCAGGAACAAAGAGATTATGATCAGAAAATTATGTTTCCTGGGGAATGTTCTGTTAATGAATTGCCTCATTCCCAGGCTCCTCAGTCATGGTATTGCATTCTGCCTTTAGCCCAGCCTGTGAGAAGAGGTGCTGGGTTTGCATGGTGCAGAAAAGGCCTGAGAGGAGGAGAGAACAGGAGCGTAAGGATAGGACCCAGAAGGACTCTGGCCCTCTAAGTATTTGTTACCAATGGGATCACTGAACCACTAGAGCTTTTGAGTTCAGTAGGAATTAGGAAAAGTGTTGCCTTGAAATTTAAATGTTTCTGCTTCCAACCAAAAGCAAAGCATTGGAGAAATCTGCATGCACTCTCGCTAACCCCTCAGAGAGTGAAAGAGTATTTTATCTGGTCAACAAAACAGAATGGCCTCTTGTTGATTGACATGGAGAAATATCACCCGTTTAAAGGTCAGATTATTAATTTGTCAGTGCATTCTCTTGGGAAATAAAATCAGAATTTCATCTGGCAAGTGTCATGACAGGTGACACATGATTTTTAAGACTATCACCAAAAAACTATATCTGCCCAATATACAGATCAGTACCATGAGTTCCTAAGTGCCAAGTGGCCCACAGTATCTGGAGTTTCCCCTCCTGGTAGATGGGCTTGAGCAGGCAATGATGAGTTCTCTGCTCTCCTCTTCCAGACCTTGAAGACTGTTGTCCCATTTGTTAGTATGTTAGTGTAAGTTAGCTGATTGTATTCTTTCTAATTTGTTTGGTATTGAAAAGATGGCCTTGATAGGGAACGTGGAGAGCGAGAAAGACCTAAGTTCTGGGTACAACTTAACAAGTGGTCAGACCCAACTGTGGATGTCGAAGTTGTAACTGTATATTAAAAAAATCATACTTGCATTTTCATATAATTTACTCATTCATTTATTATACATCCATCAAGGACCGGAGGAAAAGATGAGAGAATAAGCCAGGAAGCCATTGAAAGAGCTTACAATTTAGTGCAGGAAGACAGGAACGCTAGTTACTGTAATTTAAGATAGAAGGTGATGGAGTGCTATAAGGCAGATATAATCAATGCATTTATTTATTCCTTCAAAAGACATGCGCAGAAGTAACTTATACAATAAAGAAACTCTTTGATCGTCTTAAGCAATGGAGTTCCAGAAGATGATAATAAATTGCTCAGAGAATTGAAGTTTGTTAGAGGATCGGGAAAGATGGATTAGAGAAAATGGTATTTTAATTGGGGCTCGAACAAGGTGGGATTTTGACAATAGTGTGGAAAAGCAAGCTTTGTAGCATCAAGAATTGTTTTATACCACTCACATGTATTTGGCACCCCCTCAGTGCTTTCATGTAAATTGTTGAGTCTGGCTCAACAGCCCTGGGAGGTATGCACTATCATCACTGTTTCACATGAGAAAAGAAGAAACTGAGGCTCAGGGAAGTGCTCATTGGGTTTTACCTGTTACGAGTCAGTGGCCAACTTTGAGATGAACTTTTTGAAAAGAACTTTGTTCTTGACAGTTGCTAAAGTGCTGAGATTAAAGCACATGGAAAGATTAAGAAATGTGTTTACAACTCAAGAGCATCACACACAGAGAGAGAGAGAGAGAGAGAGAGATGATTCAGTTAAAAAATGGGCAAAGGGCCAGCATAGATAGTTTTCCAAAGAAGACATACAAATGGCAAACAGACGTATGGAAACGTGCTCAACATCACTAAGCATCATGGAAAGGCAAGTCAAAACCACAGTGAGACACCACCTCACACCTGTTAGGATGGCTATCACCAAAAAGTCAAAAGATAACGAGTGTTGGTGAGGATGTGGAGAAAAGGGAACCCTTGTAAGCTGTTGATGGGAATGTAAATTGGTACAGACATTGTAAAAAATTGTGCAGAGTTTCCTCAAAAATTACAACCAGAACTACCATATGATCTAGCAACTCCACTTCTGGATATACATACAAAGGAAAGGAATAAATATGGAAACAACCTAAGGACCTGTCCATGGATGAATGGATAAAGAAAATGTGGTGTATATACACACAATGGGATATTATTCAGCCCTAAAAAAGAAGAAAATCCTGCCATTTGCAACAGCATACATATGAGGACATTATGGTAAGTGAAACAAGTCAGACAGAGAAAGACAAATACTGTACAATCTCACTTATATGTGGAGTCTAAATGTTGAACTCATAGAAACAGAGTCGAATGGTGGTTGCCAGGAATTGGTGGGGGGAGGAAAATGAGGTCAAAGGGCACAGACTTTCAGTTATAGGACAAATAAGTTCTGAGGATCTCATGCAGCGTGGTGACTGTAGTGAATAAAACCACATTGCACACTTGCAGCTTGCTAGGGGAGTAGATCCAAATGTTCTTACCATCCACAAAAAAGATAAGAAGTGATCACTAACTTGATTGTGGTGATCAGTGCACAGTGCATGCCTGTATCAAAGCAGCCCGTGGTTCACCTTAAATGTCTGCAGCTTTGTCAATTATACCTCAATACATCTAGGGAGAAAATGGAGTATGCTTTTAAGGGTATGGAAGCAACAGGTACAATTAGGAAATAAAAGGATGGAGGGGGCCCAGCTAAGACAGCAGGAAGAAAAGAGGAGAGAGGGAGAGAAATGAAGAAAGAGCTAAGCCCATGCACAGCCCTGGGGAAGGCACCAGCAGCAGAGAAGAAAGCTGCAAGGGAAGCAGGGCTACCCCAGGGGCAAGATCCCAGGGAGGACAGCAAAGAGATAGGCCCAGGGACCGAGGACAGCCCAGCTCACAGAGGGGAGACTGTGACCTCTGGGACACTGGAATGAATTGAGCAAGTGAGCTCCACTCCTGAGAGCCAGAAGGACAGTCAGGGAAGTTCCCAGCGGACGCCCAGGAACGGCACTGACTCACACTCTCCTCCTTCATACGCTGGGTCTGAAAGTCAAAGACTCATTTAAAATTATTACTATAAATCTCTATGACTTAGAAAGTCTGACGCAGGTGAGATTTCTTGGATTCAGTCTTTTTCATTGAGGGGAATATGTTATAGGGTGATTGCTAGTGGTTAGAAGCATGGACTTTTTGTATTTTTTGTGTTTTGAGATGGAGTCTTGCTCTGTCATCCAGGCTGAAGTGCAGTGGCATGATCTTGGCTCACTGCAACCTCTGCCTCCCCAGGTTCAAGCAATTCTCCTGCCTCAGCCTCCTGAGCAGCTAGGATTACAGGCGTGCACCACCATGCTCAGCTAATAGTATTTTTAGCAGAGACGGGTTTCACCATGTTGGCCAGGCTGGTCTCGAACTCCTGGCCTTAAGTGATCCGTCTGCCTCAGCCTCCCAAAGTGATGGGATTATAGGAGTGAGCCACTGCACCTAGAAACATGGACTTTGGACTCACACATTGTCGGGTGGGAGTTCTGGTTTAGAAAGCCGATTGCAGTGAAGTAAGCCGAGGTACGAAACCCTCTATGCCACAGTTCCCTCATCTAAATGAGTGTCGCCATAGTCCCAGGCATTAAAGGCACGTGTGTTGGATGTTGATGAGAGCACTGCATCTGACGCAAAGAAGGTCTCACAGACGTCAGCCACTACTGGTGTTGGTTGTTCCTGGGAGTTTATAGAAAGACTCTCTTCCAAATTCCTGTGCTCTAGTTACTCATCTCTAAGTAAACTCTGGAGTCTTGAGAAGCCAGGTACATGTGTAGTTTAAGGGATGGGCGGCTGCTTCTGCCACTCTTCAGGGAGATCTAGGCACCACTACAATTCGTGTGAAGTGTAAGTCTCAGCGACCTCAGCGGGACTCTAATGCTCGTCCTACCATTTGCAGTGTTTGATCTGTGGTGTTAAAAGACTCAGGCTTCTCCTTTTACATAGTATTTGTTAGAAAACTTCCCACTACCCGGTTTGCTACCACTATAGCCAATGTCACTGGGCATCTCACGATTCTCTGTAGCTGTTACAACAGCATCAATAGGTTCTCTAAAATGCAGACAATGGAAAGGAGTTGCTAAATTTGTCAAACTTTAAGTGAATCTCATGCTTATTTTTTTGGTATGTTAGGTGGCTCTTCTTGGTGGAAGGCTCACAACCTGTAACTGACTCCAGAGCTTCTGCTTACCAATTCCAGAAAACTAGGTTTAGAGTATTTCCTCTGAGCATTCCTTCATGTGCTTTTATGAGGCTAAGTCTCCTTCCCTATATCCAAGATGGATACTTCGGGAAGGTAACATGTTCTAGTTCTCAAATTGATGTCAGTACATTTATGTTACTTTCTTCTCTATTTTTGGAGCAGTGAGGGAATAATGGGAATTTATACAAATAAAGCACATGAGTATTTCAAGTTCAAAAAAGAAGACAGGCTTCTGGGTGGATCAGGCCAGTGGGCAGATGGTGATGCTGTTAACCAAAATGGGAATGGAGAAGACCTGTTTTGCTTTGCTTTTGATATCAGGGCAAAAACGTTTAGACATGTAGAACTTTATATCTTTGCTGGAAACACTGGTAGGCAGTGAGCAGTGCTGTTCTGGGTAGCAGAAAGAATGGGGCAAATCAGGGCCTCACATGTAGCCTAATTCAAGATATGGACTGATGGTTGCATACAGCTTAATTAAGCATATATACTAGCTTTCGAGACGCTTTTTTCTGATAAGAACATGTTTAATTAATAAGACTATGATGATGTATTTTAAGTCACTCTGCAAAGAAAGATCCACTTTTTTTAAAAACGAGGCTTTTTAAAAAGCTATTAAGTGTAGTTGCTAAGTACACTTAGGTTAAATGTTGAAACTGCCTCCACGAGTTTTTTCTGCTTGTCACACGTGAATTTTAAAAGCAACTCATAATCTTTTTTTCTTTGTTTAAAACGGTAATACAGGATTTGACTGGCCTAAATGTCATTATCAGGAAGAAATAATGCAAGTTAAAAAACCCAGGATATTGGGCCAATTTTAGTGATTTTATAGAGTTTGATATTGAGCAAAAGTTATTTATTTTATGTTGAAGTTGTTAGAATCACAAGTTTATTCTGGAAAAAATAAATAAGGATTAAGATGATACATTATCCTAAAGAGTGGTGGGAGGATTGAATGGATTATGTATTCTAATTGTGTAGGGTGAGGTCTGGCATGTGGGAGATGCTAAACAAATGTGAGCAGGCATTACTATCATTCTTGGTGTATGCATGAGTTCATGTAAAAGGCACACACCGTGCACCTCTGATTCTCCAGGCTGCGTATGTTCAGTGGTGACTAGTCGACTTGCTACTCTTGGTGACTGTTCAGTCTTTGGGATGAGGGAGGGGAAACTGATAATCCCGCAGCATCACAAGTGCCGAGGCAGAAGGAAGGCACAGAGTAGAGTGTGACTGACCCTTCTAGGCAACTTCAGTGTGTGCATGGTGAAGGCAGGGGCATTAGATGGAGAAAGCATTGTCTGCAGGTGAACATGGTGTGAAAGCACATTGCAGGCTGGATGGTGCGTCTGGAATGTAGGAACAGTAGGGAGAACCGGGCGTGGGGTGGTGTGGGGGCATGGAAGAGCTTTGCAGTCACATAAAGTTGGAATTCATTCCCAGCTCTGTAGTGCTAACTTGGTCTTGGGGAACAGGCTCCTGGGCTTTTCCTGACCCCTATTTCCCTACTTAGGGGGAAGAGATAATAGCACTTACATCTGAGTATTATCATTAGGATTAAATGAGATTACTGCAAAATGACCGGCATAGCGCCTGGCACGTCAGAGGCAGAATGAATGGCCACCCATGCCTATTTTTGTCATCAGCATCAGGATCATCATCATGTTAAGTAGTTTGGGTTAATTCTTTAGGGAAAGAAAAAGAGAGAAAGAGAGAGAACCATTGGAGCTTCTTTACAGAGGAAAAGTAATGATCATATTTGTGGGTGAAAAATATATAACTGGTAACAGTATCAAATTAAATGAAGGGCACAAGAAAAGATTACGAAATGATAGTGTCGATGAATTCGACAAGAGGAAAACTTGGGCATGAACTAAGGTGACGGGGCCGGGAGAAATGAGCGAGGGATGTAATCAGTCAAGCCCTGCTCTGTGTCAGTCGCTCTCCTAAGTGTCTGGAACGCATCTGAAACAGTGTCTGCCAAACAGTCTTCGGCACAGACAGCTCTACTCGAGTGTGGTCCTGCGTTGCTAGAGGCGCATGGGATGCATAGAGTGAGGGAAATCTGGGGGTACCCGTGGCTTGTGGAGGAGCCTCTGAGGTTTCTCTGAAGAAGTGCGTGAGGTGGGGCCTAAGAATATGTCCACATTCGCTCTGGAAGCTGCCCAGCCCCACTGTGACCAGGGAATAATAGCGTGGCCACAGAGCCCAGGCATGCCCAGCCCTACCGTGACCAGGGAACAGCGTGGCCACAGCGCCCAGGCATGCCCAGCCTCACCGTGACCAGGGAACAGCGTGGCCACAGAGCCCAGGCATGCCCAGCCCCACCGTGACCAGGGAACAGCGTGGCCACAGAGCCCAGGCATGCCCAGCCCCACCGTGACCAGGGAACAGCGTGGCCACAGAGCCCAGGCATGCCCAGCCCCACCGTGACCAGGGAACAGCGTGGCCACAGAGCCCAGGCATGCCCAGCCCCACCGTGACCAGGGAACAGCGTGGCCACAGAGCCCAGGCATGCCCAGCCCCACCGTGACCAGGGAACAGCGTGGCCACAGCGCCCAGGCATGCCCAGCCCCACCGTGACCAGGGAACAGCGTGGCCACAGCGCCCAGGCATGCCCAGCCCCACCGTGACCAGGGAACAGCGTGGCCACAGCGCCCAGGCATGCCCAGCCTCACCGTGACCAGGGAGCAGCGTGGCCACAGCGCCCAGGCATGGAGCGATGGATTTCATATAAATCTGCAGGGCCCTGGGAGCCATTGGTATGGCTGGAATGCAGGATGCCCGATATGGAGAGATAGTGAGTAAAATCGAGCAAGCAGACCAGAGCCAGATGGCAGGGCAACTGTGAGACATTTCAAGCAGGAAGGTGAAATAGGATTTCCTTTATAAGATAGTTTCTCTGTTGTGAGAGCACCACTGAGGTAGGGTGGGAATGAATTCAAGAATTTCACATAGGGCCAGGTGGGGTGGCTCATGCCTGTTAATCCCAACACTTTCAGAGGCAGAGGCAGGAGGATTACTTGAGCCCAGTAGTTTGAGACCACCCTGGGCAACACAGTGAGATCCCATCTCTACAAGAAAATTTAAAAAAAATAAGGGAATTTCCTGTAGGAGGACAGTACAGTAATCCAGGAAGAAAAGATGAATGGCTCAGCTGAGACAGGACAGTAGGGCTGGGGGAAAAGTGCTGGCGTGGAGAGATTATGGAGACAGAACCAACAGTTCTCAGCTGGCATTTGGGAGTAGAAGCAGGCTATGGTTTAATCACCAGGTTTCTGTCTTGGGAAAACAAGACATGGAAAAAGTGTTTTGGGGGAAGAAGATAGTGAAACTGGTTTGAGACTTTCTGAGATGGAGATATAGGTGGAACACTTAGGTGGATATGTGGTTTTAAAAAAAATGTCTAGACCAATAGAAATATATTGAGCAGCAAAGAGAAGCCACCTATGTAATTTTTAATGTTCTATCAGCCACATTTTAAAAAGTAAAAGGAAACAGATGACACCAACTTTTATAATATTTTTAACCTAGTACAGCCAAAATATGATTTCAACAAGTATAAAAAATAGTAATGATTTCCTTGACATTCTTTTTTTTCGCATCTTGTGTGTATTTTGCAGGATAACACATCTCAGTGCAAGCAAGGCAGGTGCCCGGGAGCCACATGTAGCCCGTGGTTGCCATGTAGACCTTCAGAGAGAGGCTGGGCAGGAGGTGTCTGCTGGGGATGGACTAGGATAAAAACCTTCTCTGAAGGTACAGATCAAAGATTGCTGAGGCAGGGAGGGTGCAGCAGAGGTGAGCTTGTCCCAGTGGCAGGAGAGAGGAAGGAATTGCCGAAGCTGCCCCGACCTCTTTCTTCTATTTTTGAGGGTGTAGGATGTGAGATTGGAGTCTCAGAAACTTTGGAAACTTTGTTTATCTCTGTTGAAATTTACCCAACAAGAATCTGCTATATAAATTTGCAGGGCCCAGCGCAAGATGAAAAGGCAATTCCAAAAGTATGATGAATAAGTTATAGATGATGACAGCAGGGTATCAAACAGAACACCTGGCCGTTCTAAGCACAGGGTCAGGTGCACATGCTCAGTTTGCAAGCTCATGAAGCCCGCCTATACACACTACTTGTGTTTTTAGGCATCATCTGTGAACACTCTTGCCTACTGTGAATCAAACACAGTTTACTTAGTGAGATGATTAATGACTTTGAGTTACTGTGGGGTATTGCTGCTGGGAGCCACTCTTCCTGGCTGGAGGTGAAAGCAGCTTCTCCCCAGGCCAGAGGTCTGGGTGCACCAGTCCTGTTATATCCTTCCCACATTCCTCACATAGGCAGGACTTCAATCATGCTCAGACACCATCACCCTGACCCTCAGTCACACACCCAGGACCTCAGTCATGCCCAGAAGCATCATGTCAAGGGGAACCACCGAGTCCCCAGCCTGCTAGAAATCTGGCAGCTCCTCATTATCATTCTACTTATAGAAATTCCTCTTTCTCCACACCTTGTCATGGTAAAAGCATCCAACATGGATGCTTTAGATTGGGCTTCCTCAGAGGGGTGGCGGGGGAGAACTGGACCCAGGAAACACCATCTGAATTCCCTGAGATCAGCAGGATATCTAGAGAGTTGAGGCTGGGCCATGTATCTGCAGTTCTTGTCCCAGGACAATGCTTGAAGACACCTTATTTAGATTTTTATATTTGTGGCTGTGACTGCAACTCCCCTGCCTTAAAAATGTAAATTTAATGATCACTTTCAAACTGTCCCTGTAGTACATTATTTATGAACATAGGACCTTGCCTCCCTGAATAGCACCAAGCGCCCATGGCTCAGACACTCATCAGTGGGGCCGTGCCCCACCCACTGCCTGGATTTCCTCCCTCCTCCTCCTTCTCCATCTCTCCACTCTCTTTCTGCTGCCCTCTCTCCCCACCCTAACGTCATTTCTTTACCTGGTTATTTTTAAAATCCAAAAAACAATTTGAAGTGACATTTGTTATACTTAAGAAACAATTTTATGTCACCAATGTTTGGTCACTTAGTTTTAAAAGTCAGTAAATAACAGTATTTTTTTTTCTTTTAAAAAAGAAAGTAAAACAAATGCTTTTTGACAGACTTTCCCTTTGTATGTGCCTTGTCAAAGGCAGGGCTCCTCCAATTCTGCACCAATGTCCTTCCAATTTTGCAGGACAGGAAGGGGCAGGCCAGGCAGGAGCCTGCGGGGACCAAGGCCCAGTCATGGATTTAGCTTTCGAGGAGGTGTGGCCGCTGCCATGTGACTCCATATCTTTCAACCACAGGCTTGGTCTCTGTAAAAGAAGGATGCTGTGCATAGATCATAGGACCAGTCGTTCTCTTATATGAAGTAATTTGTGCAAAGGATACCTCACAGGGCCTGGCACATAACTGGCTCTCAGTCCATAATAACTTCATCATCAATAAAAAAAATCCCCAGAGATGGAAAGGAAATCTTTGGCCCAGACACGCTTTGTTTTGTCAAGATCTCCCAGAGGTATTGACCAAACAAGGCTCAACTGGGTCAAAAATAAAAAAATACACAGAATAAAAATAAATTTCCATAATAGATAAATAAATAAAAATCTTCTTAATATACAATCCATTTGACTTTCCGTGATCATGTTGTTCTTTAACTGTTGAAGTCCAACTTAAAACTCAAAGAAACTTCATTAGAGTATAACAAACACACTCTTGTATCTTCTGGTCCCAATTAATTACATTGCACTAAGGCAAACTAATCATCTGGAGATAAATTATGTGGAGTATTCACGGCAAAAATGATGACAGGATAGAATGTGGGAGCTCACTGTTTTCTAAAGACCTTATTCCCAAAGAACAGCCATCCTGCCACTGCCTAGGCTAGTAGAGACTGCAGTGCCACAATCCTGAAGCACTTGCTTGAGAATGCATCATATGATCTTTTCCCAACAGAATTTGGATTTACCTGCTTAATGGTGTTTTTCTTGGGCTGATCTAAAATGAGTCTTCACATCACATGGTATTGGAGCTTTGCGATCTGCAGGGTTAGTTAAGAAAGTAAAATAACAGTAAGTATTCTTATAAATAATAATAATGGCCACCATTCATTCAATGCACAGTGTGTCAGGCAGCGTGCCAAATTCTTTAAATACCTCTCATTGACTATTCACACAAACGCTCTGATGAGTACATTATTCTCATTTTACAGAAGAGGAAACAGGCGCAGAGAAGTTAAACAACTTGCACAGGGTCACACATGTGGGGAAAGTGGGATTCCAGCTTGAGTCGGCCACATTCCAAACCCTGCACTGTCAACAGTTTTCTAGACTGCCCATTTGTGGGAACTACAGATCAGCCAAAAGAAAATGTTACATTTCTCATTTTATCATTCTCTCTGTATTTTTTGCTCATGGGCTCTATGGAAACCGTTATTTATAAGTGAACACCAAATTTCCGTATCCTCAAGATCAGAAATAGCACGACAATAAAAAGAGGGAGGAAGAAAAAAAACAGTCTAGGATGTCAACAATTTTTTTTCTGAAGATTTATTTTCTTCTCTTTGCTTGTTCATATTTTCTTTCCTTCCTTCCTTCCCTCCTCCCCTTCCTTCCTTCCTTCCTTCCCTCCCTCCCTCTCTCTCTCTTCTTTCTTTTCTTTTCTTTTCTTTTCGATGGAGTCGCACCCTGTCGCCCAGGTCGGAGTGCAGTGGCATGATCTCAGCTAACTGCAGCCTCTGCCTCCTGGGTTCAAGCAATTCTCCTGCCTCAACCTCCTGAGGAGCTGAGATTACAGGCACCTGCCACCACACCCAGCTAATTTTTGTATTTTTAGTAGAGACGGGGTTTCACCATATTGGCCAGGCTGGTTTCAAACTCTTGACCTCAGGTGATCCTCCCATCTTGGCCTCCCGAGTGCTGGGATTATAGGCGTAAGCCACCACGCCGTCCCATATTTTCTAAATCTACTTAACGTTATGAAAATTTCAAAATAAGGAGATGTATCTAGAATGGGGCCAAAGGAAATTTAGGTAGCACCAATCATGTTTAGACATCTAACTAGGATGCCACAAGACTAAGCAATAGAAAACAAATTTTTAACCCTCTGAATATAAACATTTTGTCAATTTCCATTATCAAAATTTGCATCAATTTTAAATTGGGACATTATTTAGAAGCTGTCCCATTAGAAAACTGATCATCACCAACTTGATCTTCAATGCCAGGGGGCCTGTCTGTTTACTGGCAGTGGTGGTTTTACCCCTGGATTAAGAATGATTAGCTCTACTTTGGAACCAAATACAGTTCACATGGAGTTTAAAAGGAATCCAGAGTCTTGGGGCTCTGTACATGTTGAACAATTTCCCTTTGTTGACTATTAGCACTCTGATCTAAAGAAGAAAATGGTTACTCTGACGGCATGTACTTGTGGGGGAAAAACAATCTTATTTTTTTCACATTTTTAAGAGTATCTAGTGTGACAAATATCAAGTATGAGCACTCACTTTTATAATAAATTCCACGTTGCAGATTAGTCCTAACATGCTAGGTGAAAGAGTTCACCCGAGGCACTTAGAGTAAGAAAAATAAAAAACAAGTCAAGAGGTCATCTTCAGAACATCCACTGTTTATGATAAACACTGTACAGCCTCACCTTGGCTGGCTTTGTACGTCCATTATTCCATCATTCACTTTTCTCCACTGTGAGCTAGGTTTTTTCTATGGGGCAGGCACTGTGCTATATGAATAAAACAGAAGTCATGGCCCTCCTGGACCTTCCACACCCAAGGTCTATGTATACCTTATATCTGAAGCTAACTTGCCCAGCTCACAAACATGAGTCTGTACAAACAAAACAAGATCATATGAAGTGCAGAAAAGCTTTTTCTTAAACATTTAATGTATTCATAAATGTATTGCCCATATTTTGTTCTTATGTAGGTGGTAAATTTATACTTACCATTGCATGGTAATAAAATGTGACATGTGGCAAAAATGTGCTCATTCTAATTTAAACAGATGTAGGTTTTAAGTATTGAAAATTAGCATACTTTCCCAAATTAGTACTTAGAGAAACTTTTTAAATTGTTTATGAAAAGTGGCATTTTAATAAGCCTCACTACATTGCCATGCTCTTAAAAGCACATTCATATATTTTATTATTTTTCCCCCATACTCATGATTTTCTACTCAATGTTCACATTTTTCAGAGAACAGAGAGTATGGAATATTCATAGCTAAGTACCAAAATCAGCCTTCCTTTCCATTGACACAATGTGGAACAGGAATGCAATTTCTGTGGTACAGAGTCAATGCTGAGTGACAAAATTGGATCATTTCAGAAAATGTGATCAGGGAATCTTGAATTGTTCCCTAAATAAAGCCAGTTGTTTAGTGATAAACATATTTTAGAGTATTTGTCTGTGAGATGAGAGATGCTTTCTTATCAGACCAATGGACTAGTTTATGAATAATGAAGTTAACATTCTTAGAATTGAAATAATAGTTTCTTTTACATGAATAGACCATCTATTTATATATGGCTGCACAAATAAATTGAGTAAAATATGAGTTCATAGATTTCTTGGCTCTTTTAATGTGAAAATAATTCCAACTGTAGAGTCGCCCAGCTCCTCAGGTACCTTGTAATGATCCCTGAAGTTTAGAGTCCTTATTCATTGGAGGAAGCTATTAGTACACATTCAACAGATAAGTGGCAAAGATACACGTATTGTACTTGTAGAGCCAGGGTGGTTATCATGTGAGTGAGAATTGGGAATGTTTTCGCTACAATATGTCTTTTTGAGTGTGGCCACTAATCAGTATGGGTTAATAGACTGATCGAATAATACATCATTATTTTTGTGTTTTACATCTTACCCCAATGCTAGCTACTCTCAGGACAAAGTTAACATAACCACTGAAGCAGTGAGTGGAGATAAGTGTAGTTTAACAATTTTTTTTCATAGCAAATGTGTTGTGCGCAGATGACTGTCTTCTCATATCCTGAATAAATCCAACACTATGCTATTAAAAAAAAAAAGAAATAAAACTCCAGATCTCTTGCCTCCTCAAAATCTGTGAAATTAGAGACATGTTTCAACAGCCTAGAAATTAGCAAGGACCATTCATGAACTTTTTAACTACAGTAGATATATTGTTTCTCAGTGAAACAGATAACGGCAAATGTAGCCCATGGAGGCACTGCTCCAGTTGATTTGGAAACAGTACAAGAGTTTCTAAGTATTTATATAGGTAGGAAGAAACTTAGGGTCAAACTCATTTCCAAATGCACTAAAACAGTGAGAAAATGGTCAAGAAGCAAGAATAGCAGCAAAATTACCTAACAATACCTCACCTGGCACATTTTCAAAAACTTCTAATGCTTAAAAGGAGTTTAATGAAATATTGCATTAAAAATCAAGAGAATTAAAAAGTTATAATGTCTCTCTTGAATGATTCTGTTGTAAAAAAATGGTATATTCTGAGGACACCAATGTATCCATTTAAACATAAAAATAGAGGAGACTATAGAATGAAATTATGACTTTATTTGCTAAAATTATATTTAATAATTTATATTTAAACATTATAAGAAATTATATTTAATTTCTTGATTATATATAAATATATTCCATATTTGATAAGCAATTACTCTATTATCTAATACACAATTATATATTAATTATACTTATAAATATGATTTATTTCATAAATTATACTTTGCTAAATAATAAAATTGTTATGACTTTATTTTGAATAATTATTGCATAGAATCCCTGAGTACCTTTGTAGCTAATTCGAATCTGGATAAGGTGAGTGGAGATGAATGAGTATTAGGAGTTCTCTACAGGACTGCTTAAGAGTAGAAGGAAGGCAGTCTCATTTCTCATGGAAAATGGAAATATCATATTAATCTCAAAGAAACACAAAAATAAGCTTTAACACTGGATCTTAAGCTGACTTTTGAGTGTTAAGAAAAAGAGCAATGCAATGTTGAAGACTTCACAAAAAAGAGTATAAACATCCCAAACAAAGATGACCTGACCTGGTCCTTGATCTGTAAGTCAAACGCCCCAAAGAATAATTGGAGTCCAGAGCGCAGGTGTGTTCTGCGGCCCAGGAATCATGTATTCTCCAGCTCATGTTCTTAAGTTTGTAGGTCGTGGCGTTTGTTAGTACTTGAATTTCCAGCACCCTTGTGGTTACCGAAAATAGAAGGTGGTACAGAAGTCCAATTTGGAGTCTCGAAGGTGTGTTCAAATGTGTGCAACTGTTTTTAAAATAGGCCAAGTGGATAGATCTTAATCTGTAACACGAAAACAGAGTTCAAGTTGCAGAATGGTGGAGGCTCTGCAATTTAGAACCCACGTTTGGCCACAGTGATGGGCACCGTTGGTGAAGAGCTTTCCAATTCCTTCTTCTCTTACCCAACGTTATATATGCAAATAGAAGGGTGGCTTGAATTGAGTCTTTCTCTGTCTTTGCAGGTAAGATTCATTACAGGGTATAATTATAAAATTCACCAAATAAGTATACCCTAATATAATGCTATAAAGTGAACTCAGCTGCAAGGTTCTCTTTTTCAGAAGTTTCACCAGCGAGCCTTGTACGAATAATTCCTCTCTGAGATTATCTCATTTCTGAAGTCATTTTTCTAATTATCTTAAATGGTGCTATTCTCCTTTGATAGTTGACTGATTCTGAGATCACACTGCCGTACTTGAGTGTCTGGCTATGACTCAACTGAAATGTGCCTAATTTGAAACTTTGAAGCACCAAATTTTATTTGTTTTTCTTTTTAGGATATAGCCTATTAATTTCTTTCCCCCGCTGAATCCATTCTTACTGAAATTATTGCAAACCCCATTTTCTCTGTCGGTATCTCTTTTCTTTCTCTATGAAAACCTCTTTCTGTTGCTCCATTGATGCTACCACCTGACACTTCAATGAGTCTACGATTGCGAACAGCATTAACAGCTCATTTAGTTCATGAGGGGTTTGAGTAGCAAGTCTCCGACAAAGCTGCTCCCAGGCAGAACAAAGCAGCAGCTGGCGCTGGAGCAGCCCTGGTGCTCACGGAACAGCCCGGCAGGCCCCGTGGAAAGCCCTCTCCCATCTCAGATCTGGATCTGGAACATGCTGCCTGCGCCATGTGATGTCACCTGCCCATTCGCCGCAACAATGTTTCTTAGACCCTGGCGCTGGTCATGGCTTTACCTGTAAAATCATCTTCTGCTCCCAAATTTTCAAAATGTGTAGGGGATGATTACCTAGGTTTCGTAATGTGCTTTCCAGCTATGATTCAAGGTTAAATGAAAAGTGAGAACTATAACACTCGTCCTGAAAGTCTCCAGACTAGGCCCTATTTAAGAAATGCTGTAGAGAAATGGGCGGTAGGAACAATACGGGAAACCTGCCCGCCCACAATCTGCGTTGCTGGATTTAGCCATAAAACCCAAGAGTACCCAAAGTGGAGGCACTTAGGATAGGGTGGAGACAGATGGGAGGAGGGAGGCTCAGAGAGAAATGAGAAGACCTGAATTTTATATAAAAACTTTTGTAAATTAAAAAAGAAATCAGACAGAGCTCTCAGAAATCATAGGTCAAAGTCATTCAATCTTTCTACAAAGTAAAAAATAGAGAGGCTATATAGAAATAGCCCCATTTAAGGATGCTATTTATAATCCCCTCGGGTCGTATAACAGTTTCTCTGTCCCTTACGGCTTATCTTTCCCTTCTAAATATGTGTGTGAAGAAGATGTTGTCTTTTACGTACTTTTTACTTAATCTGTTCCCCAATGCATCAGTTCAGTTTGTCCACGCCAGTCTCTCTTAACCATTTTCACTTAAACAAGTCAAGCCTGCTATTCATTATTGCTGTTGTTTGATCTTTCCATTCAAAGTATCCCTGTCTTGCTTTATTTGGTGTATATTCACTCAGTACATTCTAGCGACCAGCCACTGTGCTGGGAACTGGTTGTATTTTGTTTTTAAAGGAATCCTATCCTCAAGGAGCCTGCAGTGTAGTAGGAAAAAGAGGTAAACAGCAACAACAGCCTACTGAACCCCTCCTCTGCAACCACTTGATGGAGTAGCCAATATTCATGCAAAGTCTCATTTAATCCTCTCAGAAACCTCCCAGAGAGGTAGATGGGGTTGTCTGCTATTTTTTTTTTTTTTTGAGACAGAGCCTCAAAAAAAAAAAAAAAAATGGATGAACATCCAGATTGGAGTGCAGTGGCATGATCTCAGCTCACTGCAAACTCCACCTCCCGAGTTCAAGCAAATTCTCCTGCCTCAGCCTCCCAAGTAGCTGGGATTACAGGTACACACCACCACACACGGCTAGTTTTTGTATTTTTAGTAGAGACAGGGTGTCACCATGTTGGCCAGGCTGGTCTTGAACTCCTGACCTCAAGTGATTTGCTCGCCCCGGCCTCCCAAAATGCTGGGATTACAGGCGTGAGCCACGATGCCCAGCCTGTCTGCTATTTATAGATAAGGAAATCCAGGCTCAGGGAGATTAAGTAACTCTCCTAAAGTGACATGGCTTGCCATGGGAGAAGCCACGCCTTGAGATCAGCTGTGCCTGGTTCCAAACCCTCAGTTCTTTCCTTGGAATGTAATCACTGCTGTGATAGAGGGATACTTCTTCAATTACCATTCATTATAACCATAGTCAATCAATGTTAAGTTAGTGTGTATTTGTTTGTAACAAGGTAGATAGGATTATAACTCTGCTCCTCCCCCTGCTAGAGGAATGATAGACTCTCACAGGGCCTTACAAAGTCCATTCTTCTCTATTTCTTCCAGGTCATTTCTTTTAACGCCACTACCTTTCCTCTTTAGCCTTCTCTACTTACTAAATGAAGCAGTGGTAATGCTGTTGCTCGAAGGAGACTGTTATGTCAATCATAGGACAAAGTGATTAGCTCAGATATGGGGATTTTCTTAATCCAGTTGTTTGACAGTCCCATGTATTCTTGTTTAAAATTAAAATAGAAAAAAAAACCCAAAACATAAAACTTTGAATGTGAGCTATCTGAAATAAATGATAAGGAAATTAAATTCAATATCTAGGTGTGCCCAATCCATTTCATTTTCCCCAACAGCAAAGTAAAAGTCTCTATATTTTTGAAGATCAATTTGCAAATAATTTTTTTCCGTGTAATGTAAACAAAATGGTATCTAATGATTCCAGTGTGCCAGGTGTGGTTTTCCAGCATTATATTCTTCACCCCTCTTCTTAATGCTTTAAGGTAATGAACGATATTCCCATTGCTCAGATGAGGAAAATGAGGCTCAACGATTATGCCCAAACCAGGGAGCTAATTCGAGGAAGTACCAGAAACTTAACTCAGAACTCTTGATTCTCCAAGCCCATGCTCTTAAGATGATGATGGAAACAGCCTCAGCCAACACGTGGGGAGGGCCTCCTGTGAGTTGCTGTTGTTTAAGAGCTTTGCATGTGTTAACTCATTTAAGCCTCACAACAATTATGAGTCAAGGGCCACACAGTGCCTATTTGGTGGGTAAGAGAACTGAAGCCCAAGAAGATTGTAGCAGCCACAGAAGCTGGCAGTAATAGAGTTGGGTTTGATGGTGGCGGGTAAGTACAGACCACGCTCTCCATCATTACACTCTCACACAGCTCTTGGCACATGTGACTAGAAAGACAAAATATTTACACGAGACTGTCTGTTATAAAACGGAATCGTTATGATTTATATTCATTTCTTCCATTCATGATACTTAATCAGAAACCATGACACAGGAACGCTTAGAACAATTTTCATGTTGCCTGTGTATTTTTAACTTTGTTTAACTCTGAAAATTCACCGGCCGCCTAATCAAACCTACCTTCCCCTCCATTATGACTGACAGCATTCACCATTTTAAGAAACCACAGTAAGATTCTTACAGGTTTTTTGTTTTTTTTTTTAAACGCTCAAAGTCAATACCTTATGGCCTTGAATAACCTTTTCAAAATTGCTTTTTCTGTCCCGAGGACACATTTCATCTTCAATTTAGATTTAAAAACTCCCTAAACTCCATCGAAGCAACCCTGTTGAAAGCTCTCTGAACAATGATCTGGCAGTGTCCACCGAGAACAGAATAAACAATGCGTTCCTGTTTTGTGTTTCCTGTTGATCACTGCTGTGTTCTTATTTCTCTTGATATCACTGATCAGTAAATTGTAGTTTTAGAAAAAAGAGCCAACTACTTCACTATATTTAGAGTCAAAAATATTCAAATGATGCAGCTCCCGGGGCGTTAGGCATGTCGGCTCATTTTTCATGGCAGATTTTGCTCCATTAGGAAATGATAATGGGCCGGAGACTTAATGCCACAACTGTTGTAAGCATTCGTTGTTGATGCCCAGAAGTTCTTTCAAAACTTCTGGAAGTATTTTTTAACTAATATCTTAATGGCAGGCCTAATAGTTTATTGCTGTCGTTCAGCCGGTCTAATGTAAGGAAGGTTGTTTTTAGATGATTGTTTTGTTTCTGTTTCTAGCTTTCATGGAACAGATGACCTCAATACAGTCATTTCACCAGGTTGGGTTTGCCTCAAATAACAAGAAATCCCACGGACAGGTAGCCCAGAGTAGGTTCCTCTCTATCCTCTCTCCATCGCTGTATCATCTCTCTGTTAGCATGCACCCCCACAGAATGACATCTGCATTTCAGTCTACAAAAAGAGGAGCAGAACAAGGTTAGAAAGAAAAGGACAGCCTGGCGCGGTGGCTCACGCTTGTAATCCCAGCACTTTGGGAGGCCGAGGTGGGCGGATCACGAGGTCAGGAGATCGAGACCATCCTGGCCAACATAGTGAAATGCCGTCTCTACTAAAATACAAAAAATTAGCCGGGAGTGGTGGCAGGTGCCTGTAGTCCCAGCTACTCGGGAGGCTGAGGCAGGAGAATGGTGTGAACCCGGGAGGCAGAGCTTGCAGTGAGCTGAGATCCCGTCACTGCACTCTAGCCTGGGCGACAGATCCAGACTCCGTCTCAAAAAAGAAAGAAAAGGACAAGGAAGCCCTCTTCTCGGGAGGTTAGTGTCGTTACTGTGCATATGAAATTTTCAACAGGATGCCTTGCCTTTAGCTTATTGGTCAGAAACTGCAAGGAATCCAGGCAGGTCAGTTGTTAACTGGCCGTACTGTCAGGATTCTGTAGTGAGGAAGGCTGCAAAATGGATCCTCAGGAGGCAGAAGGAAGTGTCTACCACACCTCTTACCTACTTGACTTATTTTACAGAGTAATGAATATGGGAATAGTGACTTAATTGTAAAATAAAACATCAGACAGAACCTCAAACTGAAAATGATCCTCGAAGGAATTCTTGCCAAGAAAAAGAGGGCCCTTGCTAGAAGGTCAAAATGTGAGCATTTACTCTGATTCAGAGGGCAGCTTCCTGCCTCTCTGCCTGAAACCAAAATGTCCATCACTGCGGGCAGGATATTCCCTCTCATGCCTGCCACTGGAGACCAGTCTACTTCTGCTTACCCCGAGGGTCTGAACAAAGACTTCGCATTTTTTTTTTAAACTACAACATGGTTACTGATCTCTTAACGTGTCTCTCCCATACCTTTTTGTTTAATGGATTGACTTTGCTGGTTAAAGCATTCCCTTCCAGACTTCTCTATAATATACTATACATAAAATCAAGAATATTTGCAGGCACAGAGGTAAACCAATGAGGTTGCTAACAGCCAGAGGTGGCCAGTCCAGGAACTTTAGCTTCCCAAGGCCTCACTTGGCCACCTGAGAACTGAGGAGATCTATATTACTGCAGCACTGTAGTCGTTGCTAACACAGAAGTAGAAGTAGAGAGAGAGTCTGCTTAGAAGACAGACAACGCAGAAAATATTCCTATGTCCAGTCTCTGAGGGTTTGTGTTTCCAGCCTCATTCATTTAGGAAGTTTTTCTCATGTACTTGATATAAGGAATCTATAGTTCCTTCTACCTCTTGAATGCTGGTCAACTGTCCTTCATTGGGCTTAATTCGTCCTTCACCGTCATGAGTTTCAAGGACACTTTCCTAGCACGGTGTGTATTATGTACTATCCCTGCTAAATTAACTTCTGTGGTCATAGTAATTATGGAATTGTGCCATGGCTTGTTGGATTAATTTATTCAGTTTTTTAATGTCTCAGAAAAGATACGTTTCATGCTGTATCTTGATGATTTCAGAGTGTTTTACACATGTGTAAAGAATACATTTTAAAACATTGTTGGGCCATAGCAAGCCTTCCTGTGCCCAAGTGGTAGAAGAAAAGTTTCCATAGCTCCTTTCAAATAAATGCAGTGAAGACCAAGCCCTCTCCTATCCCAGGCTTTGACCCCTGCTCTACAGTGTATGACACACAAAACTCTCCTTATCTCTCCTGTTGACATGACTTGGCTATTTGCCAGAAAATAAGATTGCAAATCTCCAGTCTTCTCAGTCAGTGACCATTCATTGTCTGTTTATAACTTATGCATAATATGGCCACAAGAAAGAGTTTCATACCATTGGAATGACTATGGCCTGACCAGGTGGCATGGTTGATGTGTTACTTTATATCTGCCTGTCTGCTCATAAAACTACATTATAAATAATCACATATGGTTTCAGGTGGTATAACTGCCAGGCAATATATAGACAAATACATAATTCTCTCAATAACCCTAATCAGAAGAAATGTTTATCAGGGACCTCACTCTACCCTAGTAGAGTATCACATGGTTGTGAAAAAGGTCTAGGAATATGATATATGAATGCAAGTAACTTGTTTTATTGAAATCTATTTTAGAATAAATGCAAATTAAGATAACAGAACATATTATATCCTGAAGGGAAAAGCAAGTGGCACCTGCCTCTTAAGACAGCTTCTAAACCAAATATGTAGCTACAAAGCAATGTTTCAGAGAATCGTCTTGGTTGGAAACAGCTGCTTAATTAGAATACATAATGTTTTGCTTTTTACATGATCAGATACTTTTTATTTCACAAGTTCTGATAAATATAGAACCAAAAAATGTACTCTTGTGTTGCTTAATGCCTTCGGCAGAACTTATTTAATCATTTACTTATTCAGCAACTACGTATTGGCCCCTACTTAGGGCCAGGCAGAATGCAGTACCTGCGGGAGGAATGTAAGTCATGTGAGGGGCAAGCGGGAGCTGATAGGCTAGTGGAGGAGAGGGGCTCCGATCAATTACTCCAACAAATTCAAGCAACTGAACCTGAATTTAGAAGGAATGAGGAAGGTGATTCTTTACGAGTTAAAAAAAGGGGGTGGCGGGGCTACGCTGGTGGAGCAGGGAAGTCCTTCCTGAGGAAGAGACACGTGAAAGCTGGAGGCTGCATGGCATTCGCCACTGGGCAGGGAAGGCATTCCCATCACATTGAGCCAGGCAAGCCAGGGCCCTGGATGAGGCACAGTCCAGGAATGGAAGGGAGGCTGGAGAGGCCGGAGGCAATGGAAGGGAGGCTGGAGAGGCCGGAGGCAATGGAAGGGACGCTGGAGAGGCCGGAGGCAATGGAAGGGAGGCTGGAGGGGCCGGAGGCAAGGGAAGGGAGGCTGGAGGGGCCAGAGGCAATGGAAGGGAGGCTGGAGAGGCTGGAGGCAATGGAAGGGAGGCTGGAGAGGCGGGAGGCAATGGAAGGGAGGCTAGAGAGGCTGGAGGCAATGGCACTGGGAGGAAGGTGGTGGAGATCTGGGCAGAAATGCTGCAGAACACCAGATCGTGCAGGGCCTTCAGTGGGCCACATGGAGAAGGCTTCACAATTTTCATAGCAGATTTAGCGACTGTTGCATATGCTCAATTTCAAATGGAATAGAAATAACAAGAAAAGCTAAGTCATGGTTACATAAACAGCAGAGGTGCTCTTTAAATACACAAAGAATTCAGGCAGCCAGTTTAAAACAAAGTTTCAGGCTGGGCGCCGTGGCTCATGCCTGTAATTTCAGCACTTTGGGAGGCTGAGGCAGGAGGATCACCTGAGGTTAGGAGTTCGAGACCAACCTGACCAACATGGTGAAACCCGTCTCTACTAAAAATACAAAAATTAGCCAGGTGTGGTGGCGCATGTCTGTAATCCCAGTTACTTGGGAGGCTGAGGCAGGAGAATCGCTTGAACCCAGGAGGTGGAGGTTGCAGTGAGCCGAGATCACCCCATTGCACTCCAGCCTGGGTGACAGAGTGAAACTCCATCTCAAAAATAAATGAATAAATAAAAATAAATAAATGAAACAAAGTTTCAACTAGAAAATTGAGCTTCTAACAGAGGTTTTAAGAAGTTATTTCTATATAATCTCTTTCAATGATACTGGTCCTTTAACCTTTTGTTAAGATTTTCACCTCACTTGATAAACCTCAACCCAGATGGCAAAATGACACATGTGATGACAAATCGCCTACTAAAAAGTATTTACTTAACATCAATAACCAGGCAGTAGAAGTCATTGGACGTATGATTTGACTCCTTTCAAACAGTGCTGCAAAAAGGCGTAAATCATGGCAGACTGCCGAATGTAATCCAGATAAGCCCAAGAGAAAGCATAGGTTTAAGAGTCAGTAAGGCAGTTGCAGTCCCATGCCTCTATCTGCCTTTCAGGACACAAGTGTAGGGAGCTTGCATGACTGGTCTAAAGTCACTCAATGTATGGGCTTTAGTTTCCAGCCCGATGCATGCATTACATTGTTCAGCAGGTGGCATACCATGGGTGAGGTTCCTGTAGATGACCCGACGGATGCTTGCTACGTGCCCAGAGCTACCAGGTATCCTTATTTTTCTTGCATATGCTTCACTTCATTGAGTGTGGTTGAAGCAGACAAGCATAAAAGGTGTTACTCCAGGCCAGGTGCAGTGGCTCACGCCTGTAATCCCAGCACTTTGGGAGGCTGAGGTGCGTGGATCACCTGAGGTCAGGAGCTTGAGACCAGCCTGACCAACATGGAAAAACCCCATCTCTACTAAAAACACAAAATTAACCGGGTGTGGTGATGCATGCCTGTAATCCCAGCTATTCGGGAGGCTGAGGCAGGAGAATTACTTGAACCTGGGAGGTAGAGGTTGCGGTGAGCCGAGATTGTGCTATTGCACTCCAGCCTGGGCAACAAGAGCAAAACTCCGTCTCAAAAAAAAAAAAAAAAAAAAAAAAATGTTACTCTACTTAGTCTAGCCTTCATTTTGCTTACAATGTGCGTGACTTCAGCACTTCCCTGTTCATCCCCATCCCTTCTTTTAGTCAGCATTAGCTGATTTCTATAGGAGAATCTGACTGCTGTTTCAATATGTCTTTGAAACTCACGCCAGTGTTTCAGATGGTCTTGCTGCCTCGCCCTAAGCACTAAAATATTTGACTAAGAGAATGACACATTGTTCTCCTGGGATACTAGACAATGCCACTAGAATGACAGGGACCAGGGAGGTCTCTAAACATCTATAGCACAACTCACTCTTCAAAGGACTGCAGGGGTAAAGAATGTTCTCTAGAAAACAATACTCATGGGAAAACTACATTTACTTCCTTCCTACTGGGATCCTCTCAAATAATAGGAAGCGATGAGGAATCAATTGAGAATTCTGTGCTGTCTTGGGAAAAAAATGTAAAACAACACTCAGAGAAACCCTCTAAATATATGTGTTCAAAAACTCACGCCCATGAAAGTCCTTGGAAATCACCACAGTATCTTTTAAAAATTACTAAATTTAGCCACATATGGAAATCTGCACAGTTTTTCAAATATATTTTGATTATTTAACCAACATTCATATAAAATTTACAAAGCAGCAGATTTTTCCATGGCTGTTTCAAATAACAATTTTCACCCTCACAACAACCCAATAAAAAAAGGTCTCATTACAGAGGAGGAAACCGAGGTATGGGGAGGCTAAGTAAGTGACCTACAGCCACAGCCACGCGTAAGTGGCAGGATGAGGATTCGAACCCAGGCACCCTGACTCCAGACTCTACTCTTAAGTATTATGCACTTTTAAAAGTTTTCTGAAAGGTTCAACCAAGAAAGTGAGAAGCAAAGCTGCAGATGGTCTTTGCATATAGAATTGGAAGTTTTAAATGTTACCAGCGTGAGCCCAGATTCTCTCTTACAGTGAGGATTTTATTTTTACCAAGCTCTGTGAAACACACAACGCTCAGGTGCCGCCTGAAAATGTGAGAAGTCATTCGGCAAACTAATGAGGTTATTCAGACACACTCTTAAAGTTGGCGTGCTCGTTTATTTAAGGCCGGAACAGAGGTGGAGCGAATAACAGAAGGCCTCTCTACTCCAAAATATGGGTCTTTCTCACCAGTTCTAACAATTGTAGAGTTATTGGGGTTAACAAGATCCTCTTTTGGGATGTAAATACCCTCTAATATGGTTTGATCTGTGTCAACTATGCCTTAATGATGTACAAATGATCTAGATCCTGGCCTTTCCACATCCAGTCTGATGGGACTCAGTGCTTGCTTTAATCTGGAATCAGCTGTTCACGTATGCAGATGCTCGAGTCACATCCAGAGTCATTAAATCTGACTCTCTAGGGGCGGGGCCGGGGTACTGGTGTTTGTAAAAGTTTACCTTATATTCACCCAGGGATGACAGACACTACTTCATATCATTTCTCTCAAGTTTCAACATGTTTACACGCAGCCTGGGGATGTTGTGAAAATGCACATGCTGGCTCAGTAGGTCTGGGTGGGGCCTGAGGTTTTGCGTTTCTAACAAGATCCTAAGTGATGACGTTAATGTTGGTCCGTGGACTACTTTTTTAAGAAGCAAGGCCCAAGACCAGCGGTTTTCAAAGTGAGGTCAAGAATCACCCGGGAATTTGTTAGGGATGCAGAATTTCAGGCCCCGCCAGACCTACTGAATCAGACGCTCTGGGGTGGACCCAGCAATCTGTTTTTACGAAGCTTCTGGGTCATTGATGCTCACTACCTTTTGAGAACCGTTGGCCTGCATGGCACTGCCCAGTAGAAATAGAATGCAAGTCACATAGGTAATTTTAAATTAGCTAGCAGTCAGATTTGAAAAAGTAAAAAAGAAACAAGTGAAATTAATTTTAGCAAAATATCCTATTTAACATACTATGTCCAAAATACTGTCATTTCAACACATAATATAAAAATTAATGTCATAATTTACATTCTTTTTTCAACGTGTGGTCAATATAAAAATGATATGATAGTTTACATGTTTTAGGAAGAGACAACATTAATCTATTTTTATTTGTACAAATTTGTGGGGTACAAGGAGAATTTTGTTACATGGATGGACTGCATAGTGGTAAAGTCACGGATTTAATGAATGTGTCCATCACCTGAATAATGAACATCGTACCCACTGAGTAATTTCTCATCATTCACCTTTTTTTTTTGTATAAAGACCTCAAAATCTAGCATGCATTTTACACTTATATGACATCTCAGTTCTGACTAGCCGCATTGAGCTCAGTAGCCACATGTAGCCACCATATTTGGAGAGCAAAGCTTTACACTTACAGCAGAGATGATGGTACTGACTTTCACCAAATGCTTGCTGTGTGTCAGACATTACCCAGGTAAGCATTTTCTGTGCATTATTCCTATGAGCCCTATGACAACTCATTATTATCCCTGTTTTATACGAGAGTGGGTTATGTTGATCTTTGTTTCCTTAATGCCATAGCTTCTCAAGGAAAGCCAATATTTAAATGCATTATACCCTTTTTTGGTATAAACTATTATAAGGAGGAAAAAGAAAAAAACAATTAAAAAATGTGTCTGTCTGCAGCTAGGCTTCCAATTATTACCAGTAGAATTACCATTCCACATTGAGGCCAAGAGAAACAAATATCCCATGTTAGATTGGCAGGTATTTAAGACATAGTAAAATGTAACCATTTAAAATAAGTGAAAAGAAAAATGCTTTATTCTAGAGTCATTTTTTAAAGCCTGGTATACATTTTTAAAACAAAGTTGATCTTATTTATAAAATTCAGATTAGAGATTTCAAAGTTAATTTATAATTTTTTAATTTGAAATACAGTTTTAATATAAGGTCTATTGAGCCAAAGGATTTCACTGTTTTTAAATAGTACTTGAAGTAGTAGTCATGTAACCCTTTTTTTTCACATGGCATAATCCTCAGTATTTTCCATAATCTATTTCAGTGTCTTTCTTTAATGGCAAAGAAAGAATTGAATTTGAATTTGATATAAGCATCTAGCAACCAACCCTCACATTAATTATAAAATATATCAGGGCATTTTTTTTTTTTTTTTTTGAGATGGAGTCTCACTCTGTTGCCCAGGCTGGAGTGCACTGGTGCGATCTCAGCTCACCGCAACCTCCACCTCCCGGCTTCAAGCGATTCTCCTGCCTCAGCCTCCCAAGTAGCTGGGACTACAGGCGCGTGCCACGACATCCTGCTAATTTTTTGCATTTTTTTTAGAGATGGGGTTTCACCATGTTAGCCAGGATGGTCTAGATCTCCTGACCTCATGATCCACCTGCCTCAGCCTCCCAAAGTGCTGGATTACGGGCCTGAGCCACCGGCAGTTTTTTATACTGAATTCAGGTTGAAGACTCTCTTTTCATCTCCCGATGGAAAGCCTCTCAGCAGTACTTTCTGACTACTTAAGCATTCTTTTTGTAATGGGGAGTAGGGGGTTGAAAAAAACCAGGGATTTCATCTATTGGAATGAAAGCGTTCATAAACATACTTAACTGCTTCCTTGGTAGAAAGTAAGTAATTTTCCTCCCTGGTGGTGGTGTAAAGGCACAATGACTCAATGGAAGCCTGAAGTTGGTCTGATGACACACAGTATCTTCCTTCATCCACAATAGAAAGAGATCTCAGTCTTCAGCTGCCATGATGTGAATAGTCTCATCATGTGAAAAAGTCTGGAAAATATTTAAAAATTCTGTTTTTATTTATTCTCACTGCATCTGTGTGCTCTAAACCCCTGAAGGCAAGGACACTTCATTCTGCCCACCACTGTATTCCCAGAGTGCTTGGCTTATAGTAAGCTCTGAAGTGCTCACCAAATAAATATTTGCTGAATGAATGAATGAATACGACTTCTTAATTTTTATTTCTAGAAACAAAATGAAGGCTCAAAGTTTGTCAGTCATTGCCAGTGACCCAACCAGAATGATTTCTTCATTGGCCTGTGGAGGCAGAAGCAGGGGTCACTGTTTGTCTGCCTCATGTCACTGAATGGTCCCCAGTCTCTGCCAATAGATAAGAGATGTCAACGCTTAACCCAGTAGCTTTCAAAAATAGCATAGTTGATGAAACTGGAAATTTAGGTGCGGGCTCTTTTAAGAAATCATTTGTCTTCAGTCTTAAGAATAGACTGACAACAGATACTGCTACCAGAGGGCTCTCAACTATTTCTTAAGACCCCCTAGGAAATATCAGAAGAAAAGCCTCCTTCTCAATAAAGCATAAGTAGGACATCTCGTTTTCAGTGAATCAGGTAATTCATTTTGAAAACTTGAGGAGCACTGTGTTTCTTTAAGATTCCAGTCAACTTTGGGTTTGTTTTGTTTTCAATGGTGCTGGCAGTTTTCCTCAAAATTTAAATGAATATTTGCACAATGAACCAAGTCGTTGTGGGTTTCCTGGTTGGTGTTTTCTCCCCCCTGGAGTGGGGGGTGGCGATCTGGGCAAGGCATTTTCATCCCTTTGCAGACAACCCCGGCTGCTGTTAATGCTGAAAATAGCTCAAATGCTCTCAGAACAGTAGCACCACCCAGCAGCTGGGATTCTTTCCCTCTCTCATTTGCCTCTCTCTTGCTTTTTTTCCTTCAGACACTTGGATTGGACTTAATCTTAAACCTCTGGAGTTCAAGACCTTTTAAAAAGGGCTAAATAAACAATCTCTACATGTAAAAGGCCACTGACTCCTACTTCCTCTGTATAGAGCAACTGTTGAACTCAGCTGCCTGTAGGTAAGATTTTTTATTCTGGAATTATTTAATTGTTTTCTGGTATGTTCATAACTAATGTCTTTAAAATAACTTACTTATAGTGAAAATAATAAGGGGAGTTGTGAACAATTTTCAGGTAAACACGGTGTTCCAGAATACAGCAGGAGCATCTGGGCATTTTTGTGGCTGTAAGTTTTAAACTTTGCTTAAAGCTCTCATAATAGTGACCTGCAGTACACGCTTGACTATGACTAAGCCATGGATCAGAGGTCTAATTAAGCCTGATTGCCAGAGCAATGAGAGGATGTTTCAGACATCATATTTTTGTTGTTTAGACTGCTTTATTTTTAACTTTCCAGGGGCATTAAAAAAAAAAAAAGAGGAAAAAGATGCAACCATCCACCTGAGTAAAGATAATATATATAAGTAATTGTTCTTTAAGGGCAATGAGCGAGCCGTATTGTATAATGTTCTCCTTTCATCACTGTTTCGTTCATTGCTCGTGTGGAATTAGAGTGGTTGATTTGGGGGAATCTGGGGGTTTTGTTTTTGTTATTGTTGTTTTGTATGTTCCTAGCACATTTTAGGGGACAGTGTTGAGGATTCCTTACTAAGCTGACTGTCTTTTGCTGGGTACATCTGCTGGCAGGTTTCTCTAACGTGACAATGTGATACTTCGGGTCAGTTTCTGTGGCTCCCCTCTCCCCCTCGTTACGCTTGCACTTGACATTTTGCGAAGTACTTTGATCTGTGGACTTTAACTTCAAACACAGCATTTACTTTGATTGTGGCTATTTACTATGCTCAGTAAAAAGTCTCCTTTTTTTTCCTTTTGGTTTAATGCTTTCATAGCATTTCCTTTAAACAATTTATTGGAGCTTTAGTTTTCCTCACTGATCTGTCTTAGATTTCACTTCTAGAGGGACCCCCAATTGTAAGAAAAGTGTTCTCTGGTAAAGTTCTCCCCAACACAGACTTCAGGACAGTTCATGGCCCCTGTCTGGCAGATGTGTAAGAGCAAGCAGCAAATGAGAGTGCACAGAGCCCCGCGCTGGCTGCCCTGCTGCCTCAGAATCTCCGTGTGCCTTGGGGCCCAACTGGTGCTTTTTAAAAACATGGATGCTGAAATCTTTGGAGTTCAGAAATACTTTTTTTTCAGAAAAGTTTATTGGTATCACAGAGCACATATCAAAGGAAAGCATGCATTTTAACCACATAAGGATCGTCTGAGTAACAAAAACGGGAAGAAATAACAAAGAAAAAGAAAATTAGAATCAAAAGAAAACTGGAAAAAAAAAAAAAACCTTAGTAGCCAGAAGTCTGTTTTACGAGTGAAACTTCTGCTGTGTAAGGGATAAGGGATTTCTTAAAAATGTATTTCCTAAAATGGGCAAAATGTAGCACTTACTAGCCATTCAATCAGCTTTGGAATATTCTCTTCATTGTGAAGAAAGCACAGGTGTGTGTGACATTTGTTCCCTTCTTCTTTCCCACCCCAAGCACAAGGTATTTTCACAGTCCTCAGCCAAATACAGAGTTTGACGTTCCCTGGCAAACGGTCCCTGCGTGTTCTGTTGAAGGTTAGGAGTAGAATGAGCCTAATCCTGTCAGGAGACTGTTTAAGTCCCAGTCAAGGACGCTAGCTCCTCAGCGCTGACGCAGTCTGCCCCGTCCTCTGCACCTTGCTAAGAAGGACAAACGCAAGTGGCCACAGGACAAATCTCCAAAGGGGCGGAGCTGTGGAGAAAGCTACGGCAGAGATCTCCCTGGATTAGGAGCAGATGCAATCGAATCTCCAGAACTTGGATTTATAGTAGAAAAACCTAGAGATGTTCAGTCTAATCTTTAAGTTTCCCAAACCTGGGCATTTCATTGCCACTTTTCCCCTTCAAATCTACATTATAAGAAGCATGTCAATCATCGCATTTATGTGTATGGTTACCATTTTAAATCCTCCCGTTATTTTGAGCCTGGGCTTTGTTGGGGGGATGGGGTGCGTCTAGCTAGAATACTCACTCTCCCTTAGTACTGGGAAGCCTTGGTCTGCAGGGCTGAGTGCAAATATATTGCTAGAGGTGATAGTCCAGCGGCAAAATTAAATGGCACCAGGATGAAATCTTTTTGGAGAATGGTAGGTGATCATTCCATTCCCAGGCAAGCCATTTTCCCCCTGTTTTGTTTTGTTTTTTTTTTCTTTCTGTTTCTCTTCACCCCTGAATTTTACGTTGAAACTTTGGATTGTTTGAATGTGAAACTTCAGGTGAAAGCTAGCCAAAGCCACCGAGTTTCACCCAGCTTCCACATGAAAGAAGTATTCTACCCAGCCTTGCACGAAACTTGGCCTGTGTTGCCAAAGGTTTCATGAATGTCAGTGAGCCTGGATTTGAAACATAACCCAAGGCCAGGTGACTTCTGGTGACTTTGAGGCTTTATTGTATTAGTATAGAATCTGCTGAACAGGGACAGTCCTATTTCCGCATCTTCTACTATAGTTTCATGAGGGCACACGTTTTCCCCCAGTAAACTCCCATTTATCTCATGATGTTTGAAAGCCAGGTTCAATCCTAATGTGAATGTTTGTAGCCGTGGGATCGAAGCACTGGCAGATAGAGGTCTGCGTTTTAAATTCCAGCAGCCTGGCCCTCAGTGGTGTGAACATGTTGGTATAATTCAGCTGAAGGAAGGAAGTCCCGGGAGAGCCGTGGAATGCCTTTCTTTGCTTAAATATACCTCTGTGCTCGTGAGGAACAAACAGTAACATTTTGTCCAGGTCTATCCGCTTGACAGTATGCCTTTTGTTCCCTCTCCAAAGGTGGTGTCAAATATATTGGTGGAAAAATAATAAACTTCCAGATATTTTTTTTCCGCCTGCTCAACTGATATACTCCAAGGGAACATTGCAAGCATTGAGAAGTTCAGTACTGTGGCTGGGAATGTAAGGTATACTGAGAATAAAGGAGCTCTCAGTGAAGGCAATGTCCCTCAGAAAAGCATGGCGACCCAGAGTTGATGTGGGTGTGAACGGTCAGATGGTCCCCGGTTGGGAAGGGGTGTGTGTGTGTTTTCTGGGTCGGGGTAGTAGCGAGCAGAGAGGAAAAGGGAGATTTGTAAGCTTTGTTCAGCAAATCTGTCACATCGAAAACAAAAATAATCAAGCCCAGGATCTGAAAACATTCCTTTCTTTTGTAGATCATATAAATTTGTGTTGGCTGAATATTGAATTTTTTTGTATTATTTTTCTCATTAGAGACACCAAGCATTAGGATTCCAGGCATAGTAAATAATCTCCAATGAAAATATGACCCATTGGGAAACATAAAATCATTGCAGATAACTCCCATGAGTCAGTCCCAGGAAGGTCCTCATGGTTCTCTGGCAGTTATGAAATGCTAAGCCACCCAGGACACTAAGATCTGACTTGTCCTTTTCTTAGTTGGGAGATTTCTAAACTCATGTGAAGAATTTTCATAAAAATGAATGTGTGGCCTCACTAAAGATTTAGGCTATCTTTGGTGAGATACATAGATATAGATTTATTATAAAATTAAATTGCCATCAAATTTCATTTTGAAATTTCATAGTCACTTATATATTCAATAAAACAGACTTTCATTAAAGATGTGGTTTGCATTTTAGCAGGTGACATGCAGTGGATGCCCTAGTAGAGAAAGCACTGGAAAAGCTAGCAATAACACAATTTGGAAGTGCCATATGTAGAAGCTGCTTTTTAGCACTGGCTTCACCAGTCATAGTGTAGCATTTATCAGCATATGTGATTTGATAGCCCCAGACTGGTACAGTGAGCAGAGGAAAGGAAGATGTTCAAATGGAGGTTCTAGAGAAAATCATTCAGAACCATCCCACAAGGAAGCTCTCACTAACCATATCAAGGTATAAGGAGTTCAGTAGTTTTAAGACATTCATCATCCATAACAAAACAGAAAAAGGGGAAGGATAGGCTTGGCGTGGTGGCTCACGCCTATAACCCCAGCACGTTGGGAGGCCGAGGCAGGTGGATCACTTGAGATCAGGAGTTCAAGACCAGCCTGACCAAAATGGTGAAACCCCATCTCTACTAAAAAAAAAAAAAAAATGCAAAATTAGCCAGGCATGGTGGTGCACACCTATAATCCCAGCTACTTGGGAGGCTGAAGTGGGAGAATAGCTTGAACCTGGGAGGCGGAGGGTGCAGTGAGCCAAGATCCCACCATTGCACTCCAGCCTGGGCAACAAGAGTGAAACTCTGTCTCAAAAAAAAAAAAAAAAAAAAAAGGAAACGATGAAAATGCCAGGGAAAGGATTAAAAAAAAATTAAAAATTGAGAATCAACACCAAGCTAGTGTATGTGCAAATATTTCTCTAAATCATTAAAAATCTTATTTCAAGAAGACTTCATTTGTCATTTAAGAATGCAAAAATCAGTGCTTTAAAAATCTTTTTGTGCTTAATTGACTGTCAGAGAAAAATGGAGTCCATATAATATTTATTTCTCAAGGATATATTATTACAGTCTAAATTTACATATACAATGTACTTGTTTTATTTTTTTTTTAAATCAGTGTTTGTCTGATCAGGACATGATGACACAAAACAGTAACAGCAGTAGTCTCCCCTTTGCAGTAGAGCAAAGAGGATTATTTATCATAAGCAGATTAAACAGTCATTTCTAGAAGTCTGCATTCTCCAACCAAGTTTTTATTAGTTATTTGGATATTATGTTTTTCTCTGAAATAAGAAGTAGTAGAGCCTGAGCATCTCTACTCTAAAAGTCCGAAATCCAAAATGTTCCAAAATCTGCAACGTTTTGAGCACCAACATGATGCCACAATTGGACAATGAAGATGACATTAACACGGCAGAAAATGTGCATACAGATGCCACAGTGACAATGTGATGGGCTAATTGAAGGACTAGAGTGGAGTGCATTCCTAACAGAATAAGCAGTCATGTCCATTTAGAAACTCAAAGAGAGACTTCTAAGACAAAAATCGCTGTTAATGAGGCAGATGACGCTGGAGAAAACATTTTAAAAGCCATCCTACTCGGGAGGCTGAGGCAGGAGAATCACTTGAAACTGGGAGGCGGAGGTTGCAGTGAGCCGAGATCGTGCCACTGCACTCTAGCCTGGGTGACAGGGTGAGACTTCGTCTCAAAAAAAAAAAAAAATGCCATCCGGCAGAATGCCTCTCATTTCTCAGAGGACCCGCTTCATGATCTGTCAACTGCTTCAGATGTTTCTTATCACCTAAAAAAGAAAAAAAATACAGTGTACAGTGCCCTTTACTCCAAACACAGCATCATAGGTGGCAACTGAAAGCCTGCATTGTTTGTTGCTGCTGTTGTCTAACAGCTGAGAAAGGAAAACGGTCTTTTTCCTGTGCTGCCCAGTTACCTAAACACATTATTTTTCACTGTATTAATAGGATGTATCTTTACTGTTTAAAAAATAGTAGTATTAGGCTGGGCACAGTGGCTCACGCCTACAATCCCAGCACTTTCGGAGGCCAAGGCGGGTGGATCACCTGAGGTCGGGAGTTCGAGACTAGCCTGACCAACATGGAGAAACCCCATCTCTATTAAAAATACAAAATTAGCCGGGCATGGTGGTGCATGCCTGTAATCCCAGCTACTCAGGAGGCTGAGGCAGGAGAATTGCTTGAACCCGGGAGGCACAGGTTGCCGTGAGCCGAGATGGTGTCATTGCACTCCAGCCTGGGCAACAAGAGCAAGACTCTTTCAAAAACAAAAATAGTAGTATTTTCTACTGTTAAGTACTCACGTCTGAGTAAGAGCAGGAAAATGATTGCTTATTGGTAGCAAATAAATTCAGTCAGGAATGATGGTGATGCCAAACAACACCAGATTTTCCATGTGGGTGGCTGAGATATTGATGCCTTTGCTTTCTGACGGTTCAGTGTACACAAACTTCATTTTATGCACAAAATTATTAAAAACGCTGTATAAAATTACCTTCAGGCTATTTGGATACACTACATATAACATAAGCGAATTTCACATTTGGATCTGGGTCCTGTCCCCAAGATGACGCAGGATGGATATGCAAATATTCCAAAATCTGAAAAAATCTGAAATCCAAAATGCATCTCCAGTCTCCCATGTGCCTTTGACTTACACCTTCATGCTAAGGGTTGACTTTTTTTTTTCCCTGGTACTACAAGATGCTCCCGCATCATTTTGTACATTTCATGTCCTAGTCCTAAAATCAATTATTTCTTCAAGGAGCTCTGGTTACTTTTATTGAAAAATGGTATCAGTAATCAAGACCAGGGCATCCATTTTTAATTTTTGAATGTGACCTTATTGGCCACTTACTTTTTTCACTTGAAGAAAATTTTCTTTTTGTGTATGGAATTTCACTCTGTAGCTGTCAATACCTTGATCTGGTGTATAAAGATAACCTTTCTTGCTTTTTCAGAAGAACAGGCCACATGTCGCCCTTGCATACTCCCCTTTCCCTTACTTTGAAACAAATTCAATTAAATATGATCAAATTTGCATTTTTTTTTGTTTTTTTGTTTTTTTTTTTTTGAGACAGAGTCTCACTCTGTTGCCCAAGCTGGAGTGCTGTGGTGCAATCTTGGCTCACTGCAACCTCCGCCTCCCAGGTTCAAGTGATTCTCGTGCCTCACCCTCCTGAGTAGCTGGGATTACAGGCACGTGTCACCACGCAAGCTAATTTTTGTGCTTTTAGAAGAGATGGGGTTTTGCCATGTTGCCCAGGCTGCCAGGCTGGTCTCATAGTCCAGACCTCAAGTGATCCACCCACCTCGGCCTTCCAAGATGCTGGGATTACAGGTGTGAGCCACTGCACTTGGCCAAATTTGTTTTTCATTGTTAGTCTTGGTGAGAGATTCAAAGCCTTTGATATGGTCTTGAAATGCAATCTTAAAAGATAGAAATCAGTTGTTTCTTCCTTAAATAGACGTGAGAACATTGTGCATTATTTAAAATGTGATCAGTCTAGGCCCTTCAATGAACATGGGATTCTGTTACCAAGCCTTGTACGTACTGTGTGCAAGGAGCCGTGCCACAGGCAGATGAACAGTCTGGTAGGAGAGCTGGGCACATACACCTGGATATAACACTCTGCAAAAGAAGATGGGCAATGTGAAGTCCCCCAGAACTCTAGGAGCTCAGAGCTGGAATTGGGAGCTGGGCGTATATTGTACTAGAAAATCAGTGGTATTATCACAAAGGAAAAGCTGTACTGGAATTAGGATTTTGGTTTGGATAAGAGGGTATTCAAATGGCAGAAGGTGATGGACAGCAAAGATTCAGAGGAGAGAAAACTCAGGACTCAAAGAATATTTAGGTCCCATGCAAAGCCCCTGGGAAGGTGCATTGAGTTTGTGTTTATTTATTGAGAACAAAAGTCTCACCATCAGGCTCATGTGTTAGTAATACTGCTGAGCAATGTTCAAGGTGATTAGAGAAATGAAACGCTGGACAGACCCTGTTACACAGATGTAACTGAGAAGAGGAGGACAAAGACGAGAGCACTTGAAATAAGATGAGACCAATTGGTGCAGAGACCGAGGCCTCGGGGCAGTCAGTACTGCCCTGTGTATCTAGACTTTGTCCTAGAAAGTAAAACTTACCTGTAAAATAATTGCACCTATAATTTTATTTAATGCTCAGTATTATCAGAGATGAAAGGTTGTGTTTTTATTATTTCACCAAATGCATAGCTCTTTCATTTTCTTTCTCTTTTTTTTTTTTTTTTTTTTGAGACAGAGTCTCACTCTGTCGCCCAGGCTGGAGTGCAGGGGCGCGATCTCGGCTCACTGCAAGCTCCGCCTCCCGGGTTCACGCCATTCCCCTGCCTCAGCCTCCCGAGTAACTGGAACTACAGGCGCCCGCCACCACGCCCGGCTAATTTTTTGTATTTTTAGTAGAGACGGGGTTTCACCGTGTGTTAGCCAGGCTGGTCTCGATCTCCTGACCTCGTGATCCGCCCGCCTCGGCCTCCCAAAGTGCTGGGATTACAGGCCTGAGCCACCGCGCCCGGCCAGCTCTTTCATTTTCAATAAAACAAGAAAACCATTGGTCCAGGCAGTGAAGACGACATTTCAAATCCTAAGTTTTGGCTTTCTGTACTTCACTGAGAGAAAAACAAGCACGGGAGGTGAAGATTACAGAGAAAGACATGAATGTGCCAATAGTATAATGAGCCAAATGTTAGGACGAGGCTGGTTGAAATAACCTGTCGGCATACCGAAAAGAATCGAGTTAGGAAATTGACACAGTTTAAAAAAAATTTTAAAGACCAGCTTGATATTAGAAAGGATAGAATAGAAACATTATTCTCTTGTTCTCAAATAAATTTATGCCTGAAAAAAAAAGAGATTGAATTTAGCTTAATAGAAAAACACACGTACAGCATGTATTTTTAAGGCATTGCATGTTGGCTACTGTGACCCCTGGAATATGCTGGTCCAAGTACAAATCTGAATTGGTTTAATGCTAGATCTTGACATGCCCTCAACTCAGTGGTACTTCTTTAGTTCAATTTTGCAAACCTAAAAAATTCGATTGGTATTGAATTTAGCTCCAGGTGGTATCCAGGAGTTTTGTGTGTGTTTGAACTGAACTTTGAAATATTTCAAAACTATGTAACTCTCAAGTTTTAGAACAAATTGTTAATTTTCAAAACACTCAAGAATGTTGAAAAGTTACAGATGGGTATATTTTTTGTGAATTACAAAAATATGTGAATATACAATTAAATGTGGTTTTCAAATATAACTTTGATCTGTAGATCTACAGTATTTTCTATTTCACATTTATCTTTTTTACCATAAGAGTATTCACTTTTAAAACAAAAACTGTTGAAGACCATGGTTAAGAATGGGAGACTATCCGAAACCCAATATGGCCATCTAAATGTACGGTGAGATGAGAAAGCCCATCCTTGTGGTCCCAGCAGAGCCAAGTGTTGGAAGGTGTGGCCTGGCACACCAGATGGTTCATTTCTGTGCACATCTATGAGTAGGCCCATAGTGAAGGGACTCAGCCAGGAATTGTTGGAGATAAAGATGGAGGTTCAGTGCAAATTCAAGAAGGATGTCAGATGTCAGACTAAGGGATCCACGCCTCATTCTGAAGTAGAAAATGGTTTTTCCCTCTGTTTGTAAAGGGCAGTAAAACACTCCCTTTTGGAGAAAACTTACAGAGTGACATCTCTTAGCAGCAGAAATTCGATGTTTTCTTTAAAAATTGTATTTCTGACATCAAATTAAATCATTAGAATTTTCTTTTTATATCCACTATGACTATTTTTATTCAAGGCAGAATAAGACAAAAATTAAGTGTAAACAAGTTTATAAAGTTTGTATTGATATAATAGAAGACTGGCTTATGATGGAAAACTAAAAAAACAAGTAAAAATGAAAAGCCGAGTGAAAAGGTAAATTCAGAGGTAGACTTTTATGTGGAAAAAGTAATAAAATACTACCTTTTTCTGTGGTAAAAAAATTGATGATGCCTACTTGTCTACATTCAAAATATATTTTATTTTGTGTTTGAGCATCTTTAAGAATTAACGGATGTATTTCATATTTGGAAATTAATTTAGAATTGGCACACACGTGTTTTTTTGTCTCACATGGTGAGATCCACCTCTTAATAACCACAGCTTGTAAAAACTTGTCTGAAATCAAAGTGATAATTTTTATGCAAAGGTGAGAAAGCTTGATTGCAGTGAGATTTTTATCCCCTTACAATTTTTTATGTATTTTGGATATCAAAATTAAAAAACGTTTGATGTTAAAAATCATTTGTGTCCACATCATAATTTTTTATGTTCACATGTATAATTTTTCTAATCAATATTCTAAAATACTTAAAACCACAGGTGTAAAAACATTTGGCAGAAGACTATTTGGTATGTTTAACCCTCAGCTGTGCTTATTAATTTAAGAATTATCTAACATATAAATCAGAAAGGAAGGAAATGAGGAATTCACTAGTAAAACCAAATAGTGTTTTAGGTGACCATAGATAACTACTTTTAATGCCTAAAGCAATTTCATTTTCATTGAATAAAATATTTTCATGAGGGTCTTTTCATATTGCTTCATTTATTTATTGAAGGCATTTCACCACCATATATGAATCATATGAGTTTTGTGGTTTAAAACTTTACATTCTGACTGTAGATCAGTCTGAATCAGTGCAGAAAAAAAAACTGATGAAACCCAACACAGGCTTTCAAGATAAAAACTCACAACCAGACAAAGGAAGGAATTACTTTAACCTTAAAAAGAGTATTCATTAAAAACCTACATCATCATAATGTAAAGAAATATATGGACTGATAAATATTACATTCAGATAATGGTTACCTCTGGAGGTAGGAAGGCACTTCCAATTAGAGACATGTGCAGCAGGCTTTAATTGAATTAGTATCTTCTATTTTAAGATAAATGATGGGTACATGGACATTTGTTATATTATTCTCTTCATCATTTGAACGACTCAATAAAGACCTGCATTAAAACATCTTTCCCTCTATTTGCTATTTCTTAAATTTAAGATAAATTCTACATAGGAAGTAAATTGTAAATATCTTTCACAGCTGCTAACATTGAGGAACTATGTAAAACATAAATACATTACTTAAAGCAGCCCAAATTTTCTGAAAATTTATCACAGATAGTATAATGTTTGGCCTATACTTCCATATTTTTGGTCTAGGGCTCAAAACTTCTATAAATGGTGAATTCAAAGAGAAAATGAATTTAGTTCCTTAGCAGACAAACATCTTTTGTAAACTTACATTCAAGATGGTTTTTGTAGTGTGTATCTTTTTGTATGGCATTGTTATAAATCTGATATTTACTCTTTAAGTTATCAAATAGTTTGTCATTATGTTTTATGAAAATTTATAATGGGCTTTGAATCTAGCAGTGTATACATTATCTTAACCTCTTTAACACTGGTTTTGGGTCAACAGGTTGAGAAGAAAGGATTTCTGTTTTAAGAGAATTTATGTAATAAATGTATGAAAAGTGAGTAAAACAGACAAGCAGTCCTCTCAGTTGCTACAGGACTATGGAGAGCAGTGATATGGCTGGATATGCTTGAGTTTCCTGTTGACACGATACCAGGCAAAATAGGACTACCTGTTTTTAATATAAAGACTTCATTCTGTAGCTTATATATTTCGTGTAATTTAATTTATTCAGAAAAGCTTATATACACACAGCTTTTCCTTAATAATATTTATACTTCCTTAATGTTATTGGAAAAAGCTAGTGACTTTTCATTACCATTTGGCAGGAACCAGTGCTTAATTTTGAGGATTTTTATTCCAATTTTTTCTATTTGTTTTATCCATAGACTCATTCCAATTATGCTAAAATGCGAAAGCTGGTAGACATCACTATCTTTTTAAGAGTTTTGACAAAATGGATAATATTGAATAATTTTTCTTTACAAGTAATTTCACATGTAATCTGAAAATTCAGTGCAAGCCAAAAGTCTTTATAATTTTAAATCATTAAATTCAAAGAAAAGATGGTTTCTATGTTTCTAGGTGTAAGGAAGGCAAAATTATACCTCTCCTCTGTTAGGATTTGTTAGGGGATGGGGCACGTGGGTGTTGTGCCTGAGAATTAAATTGACATAAGACAGATCCACAGGAGAAAAACATATACATTTATTTAATATAAGTTTATGTGGCATGAAAACCTTCAGAATTTGTGAAGACCCAAAGATGCAGTTTGTATTGACCACTTATATAAGGAATTAGACAAAGAGCAGTAAATTGCAGAAATGTGATGAGGTGGGGGGTCGGGGGCTTGGGCCAGGGCAGGTGATTGGAGGAGAATGGCTGGGAAGGAAGGGCCAGTATAGCAGGTGGTACAGGTTTCCCTCAGCCTCAGCTTCTGGTCCTTGCCCATAGGAATCATGCCTCCCACCTGGCCAAGGGAGGACACCTTTCACATGGGAATGTCATCTCCTGCTTTTCAGAAACAGAAGGAAGGTCAGAGTGATCTTCTTGTACCTGCTTTTTGTTTTTGTTTTTGTTTTTGTTTTTGAGAGAGTCTCTCTCTGTCACCCAGGCTGGAGTGCAGTGGCGCAATCTCGGCTCACTGCAACCTCCGCCTCCCGGGTTCAAGTGATTCTCCTGCCTCAGCCTCCTGAATAGCTGGGATTACAGGCACCTGCCACCACACCCAGCTAATTTTTGTATTTTTAGTAGAGATGGGATTTCACCATGTTGGCCAGGCTGGTCTCGAACTCCTGACCTCAGGTGATCCACCCGCTTCAGCCTCCCAAAGTGCTGGGATTACAGGCATAAGCCACCACGCCCGACCTCACCTGGTTTTTCTTAAGTGCCTTTAACTAAAAATACTGAATATGCCAGAGTGGTGTATTTTGGGATGCCATGTTCTTAACTCGTTCATAAGTAAAGTTCATGAAAGCATATAAATATATTTAAATAATAATAAACACACTGAGAGAAATGACACAAAAAATAATTTTGAATTTTCTCATGTCATTGTTACTAAAGCTGAGAAACCAGATATTACATAATTAACATAAAGCGGTATTGGAAACAAATGTGGAGACAAGTCTTTTAGATTACTGGCATTACATGCTGCTGACTCTCGCATCTTCATGAAATCTGTTCCCCTTTGCCTTCTGTGACACTGGAAGCTTCTGATTTACCTTCAGTCTCTCTGATTACATCTTCTGAATTCCACTTACAGGTGCCCTTTTTTTTTTTTGCCCAACCTTAAAGTTACTCCCTTGGGTTCTGTCCCTCTCGTCTAAATCTCTGTAATCTTCCCTGAGTTCACCTGTTTCTTCCTTCACGATAATCCCTAATCTCTATCCCTGATCTCTTGTGAAAGTTCCAGACTCACATTTCCAAGAAGCTGGTGAACATTCCCTTTGAATGTCTTCTGAGTACCTCAAATTCAATGCGTCTAAAACTCACTTTCCAACTCCCACCCTGCTCTTCCTTCCCAGGGCTGGATCTTGACGATGGTGCCACCCAGTTACTGAGAATTAGAATCTTAGACAAGCATTCGAATTTTTCTTCATACCAACTTAGTCCCTACTCATTGATTCTACTTACATACACGTCTTCAATATCACTCCTTTCCTAGTTCACAGGCTATTGCAACATCCTTGACTAGGATTTCTCAGTAGTATCCTGACTACACTTTACATCCATTCTCTCTGCCTTCCGTGTAACCCCTTGCGGCTGAGTTATCTTGCCAAAATAAATCAGCTTTGCATGTAGACTTCCCATCTACCAAACTTCTATTACATAGCAAGTTGTGCACTTTGCTGTCTGTTGAGGTTTTGAGGATCAGGAAAGATAACTGTGTCAACCAATGAAGGTAAATTCAGTGCATTGTGTTTAGACATAAATAGCCCTGTGTTTTCAAAGATAAAAGGCAGGGCTGGCAACATTTCCAGATTCCTTAGTAAGGAAAGGGTGTGGCTCACTGCTGGGCATGGAACTCAGATTCAATGTCAGCCCTGCTACTAACCTCAAAACACCCTTTTCCTCAGATTCTCTTTCGGACACAATGTTCACAAATCACTTGCTTCGTTGTCACTTACTCCTAATTTCCTTCCTTTCTGATTCACATATAAGATCATTCTTCTTCAATTAATAAGCACAACAATCATTTGTTGAGAGCCTACTCAAGACTCTGTACTTGTCCGTGACAGTCACTGGGAGCATAGCCTTTCTCCAATGACATCGCCCTGAACATCCACTCTAAAAATGCAGGTGAATTTATGTGATGGCCTTTGTGCCTTGGGAAAAATATCTTCAGAATGAGAGCTATCTATAGTAGCATATATACATTATCCATGGATTATAGAGATATTGTTGTATTTGCTTCTATGTAAATATCAAAGGAGTATTATTCTGATATGATCTATGGAAGTTGAATGTGACTTTGGAGAAAAACTTAAGCTTTCGGTACAGATTTTCAAGATCAACATTCAGGAAAAAGTCTAACAGAGGGATATTGAAGTAAAATCTCTGAATGAATAAAGACATTACTGATGGCAGCTATGAATTCAAGTATTTTAACATATGTTCAGGTGTTTGCTTTGGGGCATGGAAGGAGTTAAAAGTGAAGGAAAATGTTTAAAGTTTTCTTCTTCACTTTGAACTACATTTCAAAGAAGTACATAATTTTGACATAAAAGATATATTTCCTTCATAGACTAACACAAGTATATGTGTGTCTGAATGAATTAAATCTTATGTTTGGGGTTGTATCTATTAACTTTTATTATGTAACTGAAATAGCAATCATTTAAAATGAAATGTTTTCTGCTCTGCTAACATGGTGACAGATTATTCCGAGTAGGATTGGTGACACTGCTTTCTTCTGCTCCTTGTCCTCAGTCACATTCTTGAAATTGGCAACAAAGCAGATTTGATTTAATTTTTATATCCTCATGCAACTAATGAGAAGGAAATGTGTTTTTAATGCACTGCACACTTTTATCTTCCTGGACGTGTTCATGAACTCGTATTTGTGAAAGGCAGCCGAGCTTTTTTGTGGTGTATCTTTGCCAGGGATCAGTATTGTTCTATCCAATGCTGCTGCATCCCAAAGCCTGTGTAGACGCATTATGCAGACATAGGATGCCTATACAGATGCATTTTGTTAATTTTTTTTTTTGAGACAAAGTTTCACTCTTGTTGCCCAGGCTGGAGCGCAATGGCGCGATCTCAGCTCACTGCAATCTCCGCCTCCCAGGTTCAAGTGGTTCTCCTGCCTCAGTCTCCTGAGAAGCTGGTATTACAGGTGCCCACCACCACACTCAGCTAATTTTTTGTATATTTAGTAGAGATGGGGTTTCACCATGTTGACCAGGCTGGTCTTGAACTTCTGACCTCAGGTGATCCACCTGCCTCAGCCTCCCAAAGTGCAGGGATTACAGGCATGAGGCACTGCATGGCTGTAATGCCAGCCACATTTTGTTAATTTTTCAGAGTATTCTTTCCTCATATTTGGCCAACACATGGAGAGTAATTAAATAATGAGTCACTGCCAATTCGATGGAAACAAAACATAGTACATATGGTTGTTCCTGATCTGAGAGTTGAACCTGAGAGCTGGGAAGTCTAAGCATGGATGGAGAACGAGAATCTGTTGTATAAAGTTAAAATTGAAATGGCATTTGGAGTCCCCTAAGCTGGGCTATCCTTGAGTACACACCATTTCAAGGAGCCAACGTGGAGTCTACGATGGAAATTTGCCCCATAGGAATATGAAAGTGCTGTGGCATAGAGTATTTTATAGAAGTTAAATGTCTAACCTTAATGGATTGCTAACGTTGGCTTAGATTATTGCTAATGACTACAGGATTTTACAGAATGTGATAAGCTTTGAAATAATGACTATATTAGTAACATAAGACCATGAGAGCAACTAACAGAATTATAACTAAGGAACCCTGTTACAGGCAATAGAATAACGATTGACTTCTATCTAAAACATCACCATTTATCTTTGAATATTTATCACTGGGGATGATTCTTAGAGCATTCATCAAAACCACAGCTTAATATCATCAAATTATTCCATTTCCACATTCTTTTAAAACTGTAACAGAAAAAAAAAAAACCCTTTCAATTCCTAGAGAACTCACCCGTTTGAGAGATTTCTTAGGTCTTCTCTATTCATTCACCATCATTCACTATTATGAGATTTTTGTGAATTGTTGCACCTGCGTTCTCCCTACCCGTTAAATATGCAATATCCTTTGTCATCCAGCTCAATCCTTAGAAAAAGGTACACACCCCCCTCACATACACAAACTCTGTTCTGTTTCAAGATACATCCAATGGAGCACCTTACCCTCACATGTACAAAGAGGGCAATGGAACTTGATAGCATATGGTATTGTGAGAATCACTGAGGCAAGAGCAAGCAACTCCTTCTGGTTGGTAATTGGAAAATCCTCCTCTTACATTGGGCAGAAATCATTTTTAACGCCTACTCCATATCTTTAAGCGAGAAGCTGTTATCTCCTCTGCAGGCTCTGTCATACTATAGGATGTGCTTCATTTCTAAACCTAGCAATCCTGACATCCTCATCACTCTGGAGAGAGCACAGTCATTCACTCATGCAAATCCGAGCACTGTCCAAAGGCAAAGGACTGTTCTGAGCGCTTGAGACACATCAGTGAACAACCTTGGTAAAAATCCCTGCCCCCACAGAGCTTAAATTCCCATGGGCAGAACACACAGTAAAAGGTAAACATGTTAGGAGATTATACAGTAGGTAAGAGAGTAAAAGGGGCTCAAAACATAGCAGGGTAAAGAGGATCTGGAGAATGTGTTGAGGACAGTGCAGCTTGGAGTTTCAAATGTTGAGCAAGGAAGTTGAAGGGGGTTGCCCATAGGGTTACCCATCTGGGGGCAGAAGGCACTGCCTCTGCAAATGCCCTAAAGTGTGAGTGGCCTTCCAGTATGAGGCACAGCAAGGAGGCCAGGATAGCTGCAACCAAGAGAAAGAAAGGGTGAGTGCCAGAGGTTGAGGCTTTTGCACTGAAGGGAGTAGGTGGTAAGAAGGGGAAGGTGGAAGCTGGAGACTAATTAGGAAGCTATTGCAACGGCCAGGTGAGGAAGGAAGGTGCCTGGAATGGGTGGAAATGGAGGAGACGGCAAGAGATGGCTGGGTCTCCATGGTGTTTAAAGCCTTGAGACTGAATGAGGCAGTGAGTGCAGAAAGAGGACAAAAAGGCTAAGAAACTTCAAGGCTAAAAACCTCCAAGATTGAGAGGCCAGGAGGAGGAGGAGAACCCTATCAATGAAACTGAGAAGGCATGCCCAGGGAGATAGGAGGAAGGCAAGCGGGCACAGTGTGCTGACAGCCAAGAGAAGAAACTATGTCAGAGGGGGAGGTGCAATCAAGAAAGATGATGGCTTAGATATAACCTGATAATTTTACAATATGGACCTCAATGGGGTCCTGGCTAGAGCAATTTGGTGGAATGCTGTAATTCTGGAAAGTCTTTCGCATGATATTTAATTTTAAAAAGTCAAGTGTAACTCAAATGAAATAATGCTGATTTACTAGGTATGTGAAATTATCGGTTAGGACCCGAGAGTTTCTTCATCACCAGCCTCATTAACTGTGTCACTAGTTTCATGCCCTGGTGTCAGCAATGCTCTGAACAGCAGCCTCCACACAACTCTAGATAAACAAAATATATGCACCTGTAATCTGGTCATCAGTCTCTATGTTAACAATCCATAGCAGTTTCCATTTCTTACACTCAATTCCATCAGTGGCTCACCAGATTGTATCAGCAATTGCTTGAAAATATTCCAAAAATATGAGTAAAATAGGAAAGCTGCCATTAGGGGTCTCATTTTTAAATTTTACAGAACACCTAAGCCTGATCTTCTCCATCCAGTTGTATAGATCTAGCTGGAGAGAAAGCAGATGTTTTAAGAACTCGAAATTGCTGAACTAATGTATACCCTTGTCTCTGTAATATGTTCCACAACATGGAACAATCCATACCACCTAGGCTTCTCTCTGCTAGACCATCATGCCTCCATGTCTTCTTATGTCACCTGGAAGGAGTTGAGACAGTGATTTAATTTCCCAGGACATGGAATAACTCTTAAAATGGAATTGTGATGTTGGTATAAAGCAAGTGGCCTTAATGATAAATGCTATTTTAATATCTTGAAATTATGTTATACAGGCATTCATTTCTAACGTTTCTTGAATATCAAATACAAAGTTAACAAGAAAAAGGAACATTAACAGAAATCTCTAAAAGTTAGAAATGTACAGGTAAAGACTAAAAATTGATAGGAGGTTTAGTTGTGTTTCCTACCCGGAAATCAAAATTTGAAAAGCAGTAAAGGCATTTGCCCTGCTCTGCCTCCTTCACATAGGTGCATTTCCTGTCCATTTCAGAAGCTAATTATGAAATGGCCACACAACTGGATGTTTCTGTTTATAAAATAGTGTTCCTTGGAGGGGCTTGCAACATCTAAATATCTTATGTCAGAATAAAAGCCACTGAGATCCAAAGAAGTGGACTAAACTTGACAATATCTGAAAGTCTTCTGCTGGACCAGGAACCCCTACAGTGGACAGTGTGCTTCCTGCTTTTCCACGCAGTTCGACAGGAAAACCATCCCAAAGTGAACAAAAATGGAAGCCTGCGAAGTTCATCATGCAAGACATTGATGCCACTCACGTCTTTGTGATAGCAGAATTGGTTAACGTCCTCCAGGAGCGAGCGGGTGAATTAATGGACCAAAATGCTTTTTCCCTTACCCAGAAATGAAAATACTCAATATGGACCATTCAGGAATTATAAGCAGCAAATGTGAAAGACTTGCCACTCGATATCTTAGGTGACTGATTAGACGTAGAGGGTTGTTTTAGTTGTTTTAGGAGCATGCCACGGGAAAGACCAAAGGATCATTTGTTCAGAAAAAAACCTGGAACTGATTTTGTTATACCATAGAATTAAAAAAAAAAAAAAAAAAAGCTTTAACAGTTGGCTGTAATTTGGCTTTTATTAACCTTCATTAAAATACAAATGCCAAAAAAAAATGGAAGCCCGCTTCAGGATCCATCCCTGGATGTTACTTATATTACATATTACCTGTAAGCATATGTACAGATACATTTTTATAGACTGACCATATAGTTAAGGTAATGTAAAGATCCAGACAAAATTAACAATGAATAGTACTTGAGTTTTTAGGTGGCTTAAATATTTTTTTCTTTTGTGAACTGACTGATATGATTTCTTTCTGGAGAATGAGTTACCTAGAACCAAGATCCTAGAACAGAAGAGTGAATTTTGTGAAATATTCTCCTTATCAAATTGACTGCCTTCGTGTTTGGAAAATGTAATTAAAAATCCATGTGACATAAACAGCAAAATTATAGCTATACTAAGGGGAAATTTTTCATGCGATTTATAAAAATCTTTAAATTTTACAGAGTTACGTGTTCTAATATGAGTCATGACTTGTAAGGACATAAAATAACAGTTATGAACTGCATAGAGAAGAGCTTCTGTTGAGCATCTTGTATTCGATTTTCTTGGAACATCTTTCTAATGAGCTGTCAATGAAAATTCAGCTGATTTAATGTCAATGCTGCCAACCACCAGTCCAGATCACTTGCATACTATGAAAATTCTTGGATGTCTTCACTTGTTTTAAATCAAGTTACCTCAATTTTATGGTTTCTATAAAACAACATTTGTAAAAATCTGAGACCTCTTTTGCTTTTTGTTTTGCATTTTAACTGATATTTACTTCAGATCTGTTTTCTGACATGCAGAGTTACATTTTTTTCTTCTAATAAACATGAGGAGGTATGGGATTAAGATAAGTGAGATGAACAAACATTAGATTTTATGCCAAGTGAGATATGAGGAATGTAAAGACATTTCCTTTCTTATGTATAGTTAAAGGGAAAGTCTTGAAAGAATGAATGTGATTATTCTTCTGGTTCTAAATGCTGAGTGATAAGAGAGTCTAAGTGAGACCTTTAGCCTTTGTGGTCTGAGTTAATGTGTGGTCTAGCCCTCCTTGATAGTCAAATGAGTTTTCAAGACTTGTTGCTACTTCCAACCTCTATGAGAATTTTCATTGTGCTGTCTCCTGCTATGCCTGCCAGTAAAAATGTGGCTGGCAGGATTCAGGATCTGATATTTATACCAACTTTCAAGTTGTGTATTTTATGAGTAGAAAACTGTCTTCCATGCCAAACATCTCACATTTGTGTATGCTTCTGGTGCCTATTATTTTCTTGTGTCTTTTACCTCCAAATAGTTTAAAGGAGCATAATTTTGATGTAGTCTAAGGATAGTGGAGTCTATGGTCACATTCCAAGTGACAGTGACTCTTCCCTTATTCAGATGAAAATGCAAGTGACACTAGTCAACTCTTTTCAGTGAATTGGCTGTGCTTGCGATGGGAAGCAAAGGTGTCAGTCCCAAAGTGGGAAGAGGAGCATGATTGCCTGGAAGACCAGGAGGGTAATCTGGCCATGCTGACTGTTTGACAGAGTCTGTTGTCAGCTTGCCAGGACACATGCTGGTCATCTTGACGTAGCCTAATATTGGCCCTGTCCAAAGCTATATTTCCAATCGGCATTCTGCCAAGGGCAGAGAATTGGTCATTGATGATACATCTCTCAGGTATATAAAGATATGACATTAGTGGGTTTTTTCCTGCCAGTTTGTCAGAGATAATGCTGCACATTTTCACAAAGCCCATTTCCCTTCCTCCTGGGCACACAGGTAGATTACATTCCCCAGCCTCCTCTGCAGTTGGAAGGAATCGTGTGACAATTTCTGGCTCGTAGAAGTGATGTATTGCCCTTCCAGGTCTGCCTCATGAAACCCATACCTGATCCTGTACATTCTCGCTCCTCTCAGCTAACAGCTGGACTCAGGGGATGTGAAGGACTGTGAGACCCCATGGTATGGTGGAGTAATAGCTGCAAGGAGCATCATTTCTAAATGGCTGTTTGGAACACAGCCCCCCACCCCACACTCCACTGAGCTGCACTGGATATTCCATTTTCCATTGTTAAGCCACTAGGATTTGGAAGATGTGGGTTATGGTAGTTGGCCGACTGTACACAGTTGGAAAAACTGTAGAGCTAGCAGACTCTATAATATAATATGCAAATGTGCCTTAGTAGATTTAGTGATTATACATAAAACGTGTTATCAAGGGTAAACTTTCTGTTTTTATTATTCTTTTAACTTTTATTTTAAGTTCAGGGGTACATGTGCAGGTTTGTTATATAGATAGATTGATAGCATGTTACGGGGGTTACTGTGTGTTATGGGGGGTTTGTGTGCAGATTATTTCATGACCCAGGTAATAAGCATAGTACTTGATAGGTAGTTTTTCAACCCTCACCTCCTCCCACCTTCCACCCTCAAGTAGGCTGTGGTGTTTGTTATTCCCTTCTTTGTGTCCATATGTACTCAATGTTTAGCTCCCACTTATACTTGAGAACATGTAGAATTTGGTTTTCTTCTCCTGTGTTAGTTTGCTTAGAAAATGACCTCTAGCTCCATCCATGTTGCTGCAAAGGACATCATCTTGTCCTTTTTTATGGCTGCATGGTATTCCATGGTGTGTATATACCATATCTTCTTTATCAAGTCTACCATTGATGAGCATTTATGTTGATTCCATGTCTTTGCTATTGTGAATGATGCTGCAATGAATATATGCGTGCATGTGTCTTTATGATAAAATGATTTATATTCCTTTAGGTATAGACCCAATAATGGGATTACTGGGTCAATGATAGTTCTGTTTTAAGTTCTATCAGAAATCACCAAATGCTTTCCACAATGGTTGACCTAATTTACATCTCCACCAGCAGTGTATAAGCATTCAGGGGTAAATTTTTAAAAAGATAGGTGAATAATGTTAGAAACTCACATCCATTGGTGCTATGATTTTGAAAGAATACAAGAAAAAACACCAGAGAATTTCACTTTTCTATTCCATTTAAAAGCATTTAAATTACATGTATGTCTTTTGGACAGTGCTGCTTAAACATTTCTGCCTACTGATAGAATAAGAGTTATTCTATTGAGACTAAAGGATGCACAGACATTGATTCTTTTAACTCCCAAAACAAAATTATCTTTTTTACTTTATCTGAAAGGAGCATTTTTATAATCTATAAAAATAGACTTGAACCTGTTTAATCGAATTCCAAATTGGTACCCAAATTAAAGTTTGCCAGATTATATTTTTATAAAGTATATTTTACCTTTAATTTCTCAATGAATTAAAATAAGTTAAACAAGGAAGTTAAAATTTCTTTTTACAAAGTATTTTGCATTGAATCCTTATGCAATTTCTAATTCTCCCAGTAACTTTCTAGCCGCATCTATCTTTTCAAAGAGCCTCCCAGGCAATTCATCATTATTAAATGACTTAAGGAAATGAAAAATGTTCCCCAAAACCTTTTTTATTTTTTGTGTTTATGGGTTGGTGTCCTATAAAAGAATGGTGAATACAGAATTGAAATTCATCATTAGGTCCAATTAGGATCAAATATTTACTATGCATCAGCAGCTGCACTGAATGCACTTCCTCAGATGGAAATTGTTTATGGCTAACGTGCTGTAGCAGCCACGAAGCCCTCATGGCCGTGGTCACTGGTTCTGAGATCAGTTTCCTCCTTGTGGAATGTCTTTCATCTTAGTAGCAGCGGCTTTGTATATTTGGCTAGAATTTCCCCAGTACTCTAAGTGTGGCATATTAATGTCAATTTAAAGATCAACTATTGTGAATAATAGGCATGCCATATTTCCTTGCCGGCTAAACATCCATTAAGTACCTCAAAAGGGATACAGATTCTTCAGGATATATATTTTGCATGACTAAATGGGTCAGAATTCATTAGCAATTTGGAAGGATAAATAGAAAATGGAACCAGTAGCTGGGTTTCATTAAGTTGTCGCTTCTTTCAATCTTCTTTAAGGTTATTTTCCACTTATTCTATCTGAATTATTTCTGTAAAGGACTGTGCTTAGCATGTCATTGCTTTCCATCGGCATGATTTTGACAGAAGTAATTTCAGTTTTTTAAGAAAAGGGTGATGAAGCTGAATATATCTTTTTAAAAGTCTGCTGCAGGGCTGGGCACGGTGGCTCACGCCTGTAATCCCAGCACTTTGGGAGGCCGAGGCGGGCAGATCACAAGGTCAGGAGATCGAGACCATCCTGGCCAACACGGTGAAACCCCATATCTACTAAAAAATACAAAAAATTAGCTGGGTGTGGTGGCGGGCGCCTGTAGTCCAAGCTACTCGGGAGGCTGAGGCAGGAGAATGGCGCGAACCCGGGAGGCGGAGCTTGCAGTGAGCCAAGATCGTGCCACTGCACTCCAGCCTGGGCGACAGAGCGAGACTCTGTCTCATATAAGTAAATAAATAAATAAATAAAAGTCTGCTGCAGTATATGTACATATTTTAAAATTCTAACTACAGTAATAAATGTTGCTTACATTTGTTTTTAATAAATGCATAATGTTAACATTTGTCAACTGTACAATACTGGGTAATGTTTATTTTTAAGATACTTTTCTGTTTTCCCTGGGATCCTCTAAATTTGGTTTCTCAGCCTTGGTGCCATTGACATCTGGAGCCAGGTTGTGGGATCTTCTTGCGTGCTGCTGGGTGTTCAGCAGCGTCTCTGTCCTCTACCCACACGATGGCAGTTAGCACCCCCATCCCCACTGCCAGCTGTGGCAACCAAAACTGTCTCCCAGTTGTCAAATGTTCCCTGGGGAGCAAAATCGCCATGGTTGAGCACCACTATCCTAGATAATAACATATTTTTAAATCGCACCTTAATGCAAAGGTACTCTGCTTGTTTGCGATGCTGACTCTCTAGCAAAAACCCCTCTCCAGTGCATCTTGGAGTTGTTATCCCCACTGCTCCTGTGCAGAAGCTTCTCCTGTGGAATGTCAGGCATCTTTCCTTGACTTCCCTTCTCCCTGTATTTCCTCTCCCCTCTGATGCCCTAGCCTCTTTCGTTCATGTGTACGTGTGCACACACACACATTCTGTCTCTGTTGTGGTCAGTATGTATCTACACTCTTTGGAGTGGTGCCTTCACCATCTTCTGAGGACCTACTGGGCAGCTGCCTCTCCTGCACCTCCCTCTCATGCTAGAATCAGTCCTCATCTGCCCTCATCAAGCTTGGTCAGAGGTTGCCTTTGCCTAAGGATACCTGTTTCTTGCTCCTTTTTCACCTAATTTAGCAAAATGTCCAAGATGATCACCAAACTTCTGTCATCTTGCTTTGTCTCATCTCTTCTCACTTTGTCTCATCTCGCTTTGTCTCAGCCTGTCTCGTTTCGGTTTGCCCTTGGTCTTCCTCATCTCTTGATTCTCAGTGTAGTTCCTAACATCCAAACTGACTTAGCCACCTACATGCTTCTCAAAAAGTTCATTTCGTCCCTGTCCTTTACCTCAATCCTACCTGGACAGTTCCTGAATTTCTCTCTCTTTCTCTTTTTTTTTTTTTTTTTTTAGTATTTAGAGCTAAGAGCATTCCTTTACCATTTAATGGAAGAACCCATGTTATATAACAATTCCTCTATGATTTGTTGAGCCCTTGTTTAAATCCTGTATCATGAACTTTTCGTGTGGTATGTTTTGTCTCCCCAAACAAGGCAATAAACTTTTTGAGACAGAAACTATATTGTAAATTTTTTTTGGATCGCTAAAGTGCCTTATATATCATGTACATTTGAATGCTATTTGCTCATGTGATTTGAATTCCAACTCCTTGACCCACCTAAGGTCAAGGAGAAGAGAGAGAAATGATATCAAAAGGGCAGGGGGAAGAAATAAGGGTTCCTAAGCAGCTTGTACCTTACCCCCAACTTTCCAAATGTAATTGACAGCCAAAAATCTAAATCAAGAGCCCAGTTTTCTTATTCAAATTGTCTGTCACTCATGAGCACTACTCACTGCACCAAAGGGAGCATTTTATTCTCAAACTAGCAATAGAGGTTGAAAGTTATTGTTTGTTTGTTATTTTAGAATTAATGTATTTTCAATATGGTACCAAATAACTGTGTAAGGAGTGTATTAGCCAGCTTAATCAATAAACTTCAGCAAGGATCGGATGTTGGGGACTGCACAGCAGCAATTGATCCACTGCAGAGCTTTCTGTGGTGCAGTGTGAGTGGGACACTGGAACAGCATGTGTAATAATCTTAGCTGTTATACTCTGATGGGTCCTATGATGCTACGGAATATGTGAGTCTTTTCACACCTATGATTGGAGCCACGTGGATCCTGAATGCAGACCCGCTCTCAGTTCTTCCTGTTTCCACTGTTTCCAAACACACAGTGTTGTCGGGATTATGAGCAAATTTAAGCCTATGGTTTGATGGTGATGAAATGAAGCAGGATTTTACAATTTGTTCATAATTGGTATACACAGTGAACACTTAAAAAATCATGCTTTGCCATCCTTTTCTTTTTGCCCATGAGGAATAGTTTCGAAAGAGTTCTTAAGAACTTGCTGTGAGTTACATGTCTAGTGAGTGGCAGGGCAGGGGTGCTAACCTGGGTCTGTGGGACACTCCGGCGTCCAGCTTTAGTCCACTGCACGTAGTGTCTTTCTGCAACATGCAGATCTGAACAGAGGGTGGTATTTGCACATATCCACGTAAGTGGGGACATTTGAACAGTTAACTGTTTCCCCAGTGAGTTCTCTTAGCAACCAACCTTCCAGTGTTTGGTGTTTATAGATGGAAAATGAAGCCATAGCCCCATGACAGAGCAGCAGGAGAGCAACAGTCCCCAAAGAATAACTTCTCATTTCTGTTAATAAGGAGCCTAATGGGTGGACGTTTAGTCAGCATGCATTTTCTCTCTTTGGTTGCATTAAGAGCTGTGGTCTCTATTTCTGCATTTGTTTTCTCTAAATGAGCAACTGAAACTATTTCATTAGATCCATAAACTCCTGGCAAACTAGTCTATCTGGCCCATTCTGCTTTTGCACCAAAATTATTACCTTAAACACTAATGCATACATTGAACTAATGTATCTTTACTGTTTCTTCTCTCCATAAAATTCTACTGGTCTAAAAGTCCATATACCCTAAGGTAACACAGTGTCACACACTTATGTCTGTAATTCTGAGCCAGAATGACCAGGAATCAGAGGTCTGTGTGATTGATTAATTGATTTTCAATCCCATCAGGATTTCATCTTAAAAGTTTTTTTTCTTTCTTGTCATTGCTTAATACAAAATGACGACTCTATCTCCTTCTCCCTGAAGGGTGACTCTCAATGGGATATCAAGAAGGCAGGAAGATCAAAACAATTAAATCTTCTCTGACAGCTCTGCTGTTCCCAGAGGGTGGCTCAGAGAAGGAGCAGTTCCTAGGAGCTGCTCTTGGCAACAACCTCAGGCCATCATCAGGCTGTTGAGCTATGGCAATCCCAGTCCCCAGTTGCTTTCATGCTGACTGTCCCTGCACCTGTCTCCCTCCCAGATGGCTTGGAGCAGCATCCACATCCCAAACCCTCCCTGAACACCACTCCAGTGGTTAGCTGGGGCAATGTGCCTGCCGATCCCTACTGGTGGCTGTGGAGTTCCCTAAAAGGTTCTTGCTATAATCTTTTTTTAAAAGCCAAAACAGCAGCAAGCCGAGCCATACTTCTAACATCTTTTTGGGAACTTTCTGCCGTGCTCTGAGTTTGAATACCATCTTAGCTTGGGGCTCTCCTGCATTCTTCCCCAGGTCCTCATCCAAGAATATTGTAAATGGGGCCCCTCATTCTCAGGTGGAAAGGTGCTTCTTGGAGTAGGGCACAGAAGCTCATCAATAAATGAGGCTCCAGAAACAGCCTAGGGAAATCCTCCACTTGCCGAAGGCAAAATGTAAACCAGCTCTAATCATAAGCCAGGTTTAGCTATCATTTTTCAGTATACTACTTGAACTATCCAAACTGATGAGTGAGTTCACTAACAAAATCTAATTGAATGGGAAAATTATTTTGAGGTAGTTAACATATCAACCTTATTTATTCCTAAAATGCCACTAATGGCAAAACTGCAGATGCAAAATCCGTAACACACCATCTCTCGTCATCAGTGCTGAGGTCCTTAAAATTGCTCGTGAGGCCTCCCTTGCTAAGCTGGCATCCTGTGGAGGCTGCTTTTGCTTCTGTGTGGTGGGGGGGCTTAGGCAGTCCTTCAAGATTTCAGAGCCCTACTTCCCAGCTCGCCTTACTCCAAATTCTGGAAGCAGATGTCAGTGTGGAAGAATAAGATTGATGGAGACTAGACTATGAAAATATTTTCAAGACCATATTGCCTAAATCAAAACCAGCATGATTGAAAATTCTCCCTGAAGAATACGCGGGGCTCCTGGTGACAGAGCCAGTCACACACAGCAACTGCACTCCTCGCACGCCGAGGCCCTGAGCTGCAACTTACTTCATGAAAGCCCAGCCCTACCTGATGAAGCCCCAGTCATGTGCCCAGATATGGTACAGCTAGATGCTAATTTTCTAGTTCCAAAGCAAGTCACCAAGAGCAGGGCTCTCTACCTTACAGTGGGCCACCCGAAAACTTACAAAATGTACCTTAAATAAAAGCAAGCTTTGTTACCAGATTTTAGCACAGCTTAAAATGAGCCAGGGAGAAATGTGAGCATCTGTGGAAGCAGCAAAGACCTTGTTTTTTTTTTGAAACTGAGTCTCACTCTGTTACCCAGGCTAGAGTGCAGTGTTACGGTCTCAGCTCACTGCAACCTCCGCCTCCTGGGTTCAAGTGATTCTCCTGCCTCAGCCTCCCAAGTAGCTGGGATTACCGGCGCCCTCCACCGTGCCCGGCTAATTTTTTGTATTTTCGGTAGAGACGGGGTTTCACCATGTTGGCCAGGCTGGTCTCGAGCTCCTGATGTGCCCACTTCGACCTCCCAAAGTGCTGGGATTACAGGTGTGAGCCACCGCGCCCGAGCAAAGGCCAATTTTTCACAGCTCCAGGCACGGAGTAGTGCAGGCTGGGGGAGGACGAGGAGAAACCACTGCCCTGACCACCATGGGCCTGACTCATCTGTCCAGGGCCACAGTGGGGAGCAGCAAGTGACCAGTGACGGTGGTGTCCTGGAAGCTTGTGCTGCCCCTGAGACAGGGCCCAAGTGCCTTGTCTTCTATGGGGCTCTTCACAGAGGGGCCAGGTACCCCTGAGCACACTGCCATGAACTTGTGCCCTCTGCTTCTTTCCAGTCAGATCACTGACTATTGACTAATGCTTACACTCAAGCGTTTGCAAGAAATTCAAATTACTGGTCCTACAATAAAGTCACATCCCTTGTTCATCGTTTAAAGCCTGCAGGTTGTATTAGTCTGCTTGGGCTTCCATAACAAAGTACCACAGACTGGTGGCTTTGATGGCAGAAATTTATTTCTCAAAGTTCTCCAGGCTCGAGGTCCAAGATCAAGGTGAGAGCAGGTCTGGTTTCTTCTGAAGCCTTCCTCCTTGTCTTGCCGACGGCCACCTTCTTGCTGTGATCTCATATGGCCTTTCCTCTATGAATGCATCCCTGGTGTCTGGTGTCTTTTTTGTGTGTCCAAATTTCCTCCTTTTTTGTTTCGAGACAAGTCTCACACTGTTGCCCAGGCTGGAGTGCAGTGGCATCATAGGCGTGAGCCACTGCGCCCGGCACTCTTCTTAAGGACACCAGCTAGATTGGATTAAGGCCCACCCTAATGACTTCAGTTTAACTTTTCCCCTCTTTAAAGTCCCTGTCTTCAAATACAGGGCACAGGCACATTCTGAGGTCCTAGGGGGCCAGTCCTTCGATACATGAATTTAAGAGGGCACAATTCAGCCCATAACAAGGCTGCAACAAATTTGGTGGAAAATCTGGTAGATGGGAGAAGAAAGTCTCTTCATAAAGTGGTAGATTCTTACAGAGTCTAAGCCTCACACAAGAGTATTTTGCTTGGGTATTCCTCACCATGTGTCAACCACAGGATGCATTTCTCAGCTTGTCCTAACTTGGCCTGGTCTGGGACTGCTAACTCCATTCCCACCTAAGAAACTCTAACCAGATAAGGCCGGGCGCGGTGGCCCACACCTGTAATCCCAGCACTCTGGGAAGCCGAGGCAGGAGGACCACTTGAGGTCAGAAGTTCGAGAACCAGCCTGGCCAACATGGTGAAACTCTGTCTCTACTAAAAATACAAAAATTAGCCAGGCATGGTGGTGCACACCTCTAGTCCCAGCTACTCGGGAGGCTGAGGCAGGAGAATTGCTTGAACCCAGGACGCGGAGGTTGCAGCGAGCCAAGATGGTGCCACTGCCCTGCAGCCTGGGCGACAGAGTGAGACTCTGTGTCAAAAAAGAACAAAAAGAAAAAGAAGAAACTCTAACCAGATAAGAGAGACTACGTGGATCCAAAGAAATCCATCGCCCTTCTGAAAAACACCCCTGAAACCATGCCTTCTGGTGATGTCCGCGGAGGACTTTGAGACACAACTACGAGTGTTTGAATTCTGTCGCGAGTGAGTCCTCTTTCCATGACCTTTCAAGTCCCAGAGGCGCAGAGAAAACATTGTCTCCTGTAAATCTTACCCAAAGGCCCCTTGATGAAAAGCCACCTGCTGCTTTTCCCTCTATGCTTCTGTCACTTTGTTATTCCCTCTATTATTTCTTCTGCTGCTTCCTTTTCTGTAGTTCACAGAGTGGGAGGATAGAGTTAGGACTTTGGTGATATCGTTTGCTTCTCTTTCTGTAGAGACAACAAAAATGTGACCAGGAAACATATCTGTGAGGCTTAGGCTGCCTCACTTTTCAGAGAGGCCAAAATGGCAGTAACAGTCATGGCCAAGAGCAGTCACTGCAGCGATCAGTCACACAGGCTTTCCTCCCCACGTAGCCCGAGGGATGTCTTCAAATCGGGGGAGGGGGTAGATAGGCTTAAAAATGAAATATATCCGTTGAAGAAAACTAAAAAGAGAATGCATTTGTCTATTGCTGTTTTGTCTTTTGGCTGTGGAAATAATATTTAAATTTAAATTCTCTCCAAGTATTAATCTAAGTATTCTACTAAATATAGCTATTAAGTATAGTGTGATTGCTTGCAGTCTAAGGAAATTTGTAATAGGTCGCCATCAAATCAGGATCTGCACCTCGGGTGCACAGGTGCTATGAGGAAGATGTGATGTGAGGTTGGAAGGAGCCCACTGTGGCTTCAGTCCTCCTTGTCTACCTGAGCATAAGTCTGGACCATGATTAGTTAATTCTTAACGCAAGTGAAGCAGGCATTTTTTTTAAGACAACTGTCTAAAAAATATGAACGCCAAAAATTGGAACAGTCCCTGATCTCTCCTTACTTGCGGGAGAATCTGGGAGGTCTAGTTTGTGTTCTTACTGGCCATGTTCAGGTTGGTGCTCCCCTACCACCGGCATGCACTCTCGGATAGAGACACTGCTTCCCTAGTCCCCACTGACAGCACCTGCTCGGGCATCTTTGCAGCATCCCTCCCTCTCCATCCCTGATTAGTCCCACATCCACCTTCCCCCGCTGCAATGGAGATGTACTCACTGCCTGTATGCCCACCTACCTCAGAACAAGCCACCTGCATCACACAGGGAGAGCGGCCAGGTACTGTCCATCCCTGAGCCGGCCCACAAGTGTCTTCTGTTTTCTTTACCCTCTCCTTAGCACCAGCTGCCTAACAAAGTCAGCGGGCAGCCAGGGCAAAGAACAGTTTGGGCGACTTCAATATGACTCTCTCTTCTGAGCCCCCAATCCAAAAGAAGGCTCACCCTTAGTGAATGTGCCTTTGCCAGAGGGTCTTCCCTAGGGTGAAGGGGAAAATCATGTTTCACAATTTCAGGGAAGTCTGAATGGTAGGAGCCAGGTTTTCACATTCTGGTCTTTAATGCATAGTGGCCATTCATTCCATTAGGCTTCTTATGTCATGACATAATTTCATCTCTGAATGTTGGACCATTTGGTGGACTTGGACATTGTCAGTTCATCAAACAGTTTTGAATTTGTGGAAAGTTCTCATTCTGAGATTCTGAACATTCAAAGATTAATCCGATGTGGCAGGCTCATTAGTGCCACCACCTGCCTGCATGGTTTGCAAGATAACATCACTTCATTGTTTGATTTGAGCTAAAGAAGATTAATGATCTGAACAATGATAATTTATCAATATTCTTCTATGAAATTCAACCAAAACCATAGATCTCGTTTCGTGATGCAGAGTCTAAAATAGTCAATGGACTATTTCTAGCCCAACAGTACACTGTAGACTAGAGTAATATGCTGATTTAGTGAAACAGAAACCTGGATCCAAAACCCACAAAGTACTCTTGGGGACCCTGGAAAAGCCTGCATGGACCTCCTACAGTTCAAGTTCCACATGAATGCAATAATGCATACAATGGGGTACATTGTTTCAAAACCACCAGCCCACATGTAATCATTGTGTAATTGAATAATTATAATAGCATCCAACCATATGAAATTTTAGGAAGTGAAAATTGGAGATCAAATAACAAAAAAAGAGAGAAGGGAAGGAGGAGGAAGAAGAGGAAAAGGAGGAGGAGGGGGAGAAGAGAAAGGGGGAAGTGGAAGAGGAGGAGGAAAGGAAGGGGGAGAAGGAGGAAGAAGGGGAAGAAAGTGGAAATGGGAGAGGAGGGAAAGGGGAAAGGTGAGGGGGACAGGAGGAGGAGGAGGGGAGGAAGAAGAAGGAGAAGGAGAAGAAGGAGGAGGAGAAAGAGGAGGAGGAGGAAAGAAAATAGAAGAAGGAGAAGGAGAAGAAGAAGGAGGAGGAGAAAGAGGAGGAGGAGGAGGAAAGAAAATAGAAGGAGGAGGAGGAGGAAAGAAGATAGAAGAAGAGGAAGAAGGAGGAGGAAGAGGAATAAGAAGAAGAAGGAGAAGAAAGAACCAGAAGAGGAGGAGGAGGAGGAAGAGGAGGAAGAAATCATCTGAATCAGGAGGAGGAGGGGCTCACCATCAGAGTCTTAGTTTGCCCTGTCCTTCCACTCATTTGCTACCTGAACCCTCTTTCATGTAGAATTTGTGGGAGTTGGGGAGGGGAATGCAATGTGACTGAATAGATTTTGAAGCTAACAGAGTTCTAAACTACTAGGTGTGTACATGGAAAGGAGGTGATAAATCATTGTGTATCACAGTTTTTAGCTCTATGTTTTCATCCTCAGCAATGAAGGACAATGTGGAAGAAGCCATCACGAAACTCAGCCTGGTTTGGGACTGCTTTTGCTTCCGAAGGGCTATTTGTCTGTTCTTCACCATCCCAGGTAGCAAATGGGGAGCAAATTGGGAAATCTGCGCAAAATTAATAGCCCTATCAGGAATCAAGCGGGTATGCCAGAGAGAGAGTTGAAAACAGTCTGGGTTTTCATGCTGCACCAAAATTTAGTGAGCTCAAAAGACTTATTAACAGCAAATTTCCCCTAAGCAGCATGTTGTCAAACTAGCCTGCCTCACTAGGATGCCACGAAAAAATAATAAATGGAAATTATTGTAAAAATATAATTTAAAAAGGACAATGTGTCTAATAGAGTAGCACTCCGGAACCTCAACCTTACCCCCTTTCTAACCTTGAGATCTAAGGCTTAGATCTAGATTTCTTTCACAGATGGGTGTAAAGGAGATGCCTCTCCAGGAAACCAGCTGGTCGCCACCACGTCCAAAGGGCTGGGAGGTGCATTCGCTGTGCCCGCGGGGCTCTTTAGAGGTTAGGATGGTGCTGACTCATGCTGCAAGTTGTGCAGCTGTGGAGTGTGTCAGATAGAGTGCAGACAGTCTGAACTTCAGAAGCTCGTGTGTCCCAGGTGTGCAAATCCCACATCAAGTAGCACAGGTCAAGGCTTAGGACACGCCCAGAATCTAATGTGTCAGATTCATGAATGATTTTGGCAAATATTCCTCTTGCCTGACTTTCCTACATTTTCTCTCCTTTTCACTATAGCAAATATATCTTTATTTATGATTCTCACCTCATTTAGTTAAAACCTTTGCTAAAAGTTTATTTTTATTGTTACCGTGATAACAGCTAATGGCATGTGAGTGTTTACTGTGTCAAAGGCTCTATGATGTATAGTTTAGGGGGATATCTTATTGGATCCTTGAAGAAAAATGCCCTGGAATGGAAAATCCACGAGGCTGTGGCCTCTTAATCTGTGCTGGACATTTCTGGATCCGTATGTCTGGGCAGTAGTAGGTGCTCGATGGATATTTACTGAAGGAATGAACAAACGGATAGAAGACTAAAAGAACAATCTATGAAGCAGGTGCCTTATTATTCCCATCTTGTGATATGCAAGGTTAAGTGGCCAATCAATGGTGGCAATGAGATTCAAAGCCAGGCAGTCTGTCTGCACAGTCATGCTCCTGGGTGCATATGTTTATTTAGGCCTGTGGTTTTTGCTTTGTTTTGTTTTGTGTTTTAATTCACCACTTGCTTTAGCCCTAAAGTGCCAGCCAACAGCCTTGAAAAATAAGATTCTCAAGGGTTGTTTGAACACTACCCCCAAACTGTGTAGCCAGGGCTGGCCCCTGAGAGCTAGAGATTATCGTCTTCATCAGAATTAGCAGAGAAAACAAGCCAGAGAGACAAGTCCAATCAGAAATAATGCAGAGGAGCCAAGATGCCGATTTCAGAGAAAGGCAAATCAGCGGATGGGGAGGGCCTCCAGCCTTGGCAGGACCAGCAGCTGTATCAAACATGAACTGTTGGGAAATGTAGGTGGTGAGACAAAGTGAGCACAGGTCAGGGTCAGTGAGTGAAGGACCCGTGGGGCGGGAGGCCACGAGCACCCTAATACTTACCTCAAAGGACAAGCATTTGAGTTGGCTCCCAAAAACCAGCCCAGTGTATGATTTCTGGCTGGGTATGTCCAATGCTATGGACCAGAAGTAAAGCAGGTAATTTTTTTTTAAATGTATTTTAATTTATTTTATGTAGACCCTGTTGCTGTGTTCAAGCAGGGCCACAAGAGCAGGAGTATGTGATAAAAAGTGAGGACAGGCCGGGTGCGGTGGCTCACGCCTGTAATCCCAGCACTTTGGGAGGCCAAGGCGGGCATTTGAGGTCAAGAGTTTGAGACCAGCCTGGTCAACATGGTGAAACTCCATCTGTACTAAAAATACAAAAATTAGCTCCGGTGACTGAGGCAGGAGAATCTCTTGAACCTGGGAGGTGGAGGTTGCAGTGAGCCGAGATCATGCCACTGCACTTCAGCCTGGGCGACAGAGCGAGACTCCCCCTCAAAAAAAAAAAAAAAAACAAAAAAAAAAGAAAAGAAAGAAAGAAAAGTGAGGAGAGGGCAGCTCTTGGGCCTGACCTCTGTTCCTAATGCAATTGCAGGACTGAAGAAGAAAAAAGTACTTTTCATGCATGTCCCTCTGTTATTCTCTCTGCCTTTCTTCTACTTGAGTCCTCTTGCCCTTTCTGACATAATGCTAAAGGTTTCTAACGATGCCCCTCTTTACTGTCTTATGTTACATTATGCCTACTTGTGTTCATAGACAGAGTCATATTTAGTCAAGGTACTGACCACAGGTCCTAATTTTGCAAATTTTGGTTAGACTTTCTCGACATATTTTTGGAGTCTGAGTCTATGCCAGAGAATCAGTGCATGCTAGGCTGAGTTGGTGCTGGTTTGAGTTGGTGCTGGTTTGAGTTGGTGCTGGTCCGAGTTAGTGCTGGTTTGAGTTCGTGCTGATCTGAGTTGGTGCTGGGCTGAGTTTGTGCTGGTTTGAGTTGGTGCTGGTTTGAGTTAGTGCTGGTCCGAGTTAGTGCTGGTCCGAGTTAGTGCTGGTTCGAGTTGGTGCTGATCTGAGTTGGTGCTGGGCTGAGTTAGTGCTGGGTTGAGTTAGTGCTGGGCTGAGTTGGTGCTGGGCTGAGTTGGTGCTGGGCTGAGTTAGCGTTGGGCTGAGCTGGTGCTGGGCTGAGTTAGTGTTGGGCTGAGTTAATGTTGGGCTGAGTTAATGTTGGGCTGAGTTAGTGTTGGGCTGAGTTAGTGTTGGGCTGAGTTAATATTGGGCTGAGTTAATGTTGGGCTGAGTTAGTGTTGGGCTGAGTTAATGTTGGGCTGAGCTGCCTATTTTGCATTTGGGGCTCCCAAAATTCACTTCCTGCTGCAGCGCAGATTGGATGACCTTCAAGGCTCTATTTCACTGACTTTCAGCTTTCTTGACGCCAAAGCCACAGAGCATTCTTGAGTTGGAAATTACCTCTTTGCAAAAGCAAAGAGCACTGTAAAGAACTTGGCCTGCCCACTCCACAGTGATATTCCATAGGCTCAAGTTTCTGTGCCACTTGAATTCTAGCAGTTTAGCTCCCTGCCGTTTACGTGCCAGCAGGGATGAATGTCCTGACAGCGTGTGTCCACTGTGCATGTGCTTCCACTTGTCAGCATGGGCGAAGCCCAAGTATGATGTGTAGACAAGACCACCGCTTCTCTCTGCTCCATTCCTGCACAAGCCACACACAGCAGACTTGTATTTCTGTCAAGGGCTCCGGTTTTCCATCATCTATTTTTTATAGCACTGATACTCAACCAGTTGCAGCAAATGAAGGGTATTATTTCTGGTTTGAGGGCATCGCGATGCTGATTTGCCATTCCTAGGAAGCAAACTCACCGTGTTGGGCTCTCATTTTACCATGGGAGACCCGGCTCCACAAAACGTAAGTGTTTGGAGATGCTTGATATTTTCACAATGTAAATAACAATTTCCCCATGCATGAGGGGGAAGGGTCATATCATAAGATGGGAGAGGGATGGAAATTTTATTAGGTTCAATTTGTGGCAGGGTGACAGTGGGTTGAAGACAAGCAAAATAATTTGCTGTGTCCTTCAGTTTCTTAGTGTATCATTAATCTTTGAGAGAATTTGGGTATATTCTGAAGCAACTTGGTAGCATTTCAGAATCAGTGCCATGTGCTCTTTCTGAAATGTCACATCTCCTCATAGCAATGTGCTCTCCATATAAAGTAAACCTGCATTTTTAGATTTTAAAAAGAGTGATGAAGATTTGGAAACCAAGAAGCTTAGAGGGAACCATTTCTAAAGGACCAGAAGCCCTCATCCTGAACACACACCTCAATACGCACATCCCCTCATGCACCAACAAACACATAGACTTTCAGAATTTCCCTGCAAACTAGCAATAACATCAATTTAGAATGCTTTTCGCTTATAGTAGATTTACTTACAAGGATTAGTTAAATATCAATAACAAATACATGCATTTTAAGTTGCCCAATGTTAAGTTTCAAATCTGTAGCATATTAATTCCACCAGGCCTTTGGTGGTTTTGCAAGAGTTAATGCCCTACAATTCATTTCTCTATGAATATTTTTCACATTTTAGGTGTATAGCTATTATTGCTTTTTCAAGCCTGTGTTTTGTTTTGCCCTATATTTCCAACTGTAAGACTATTTATTCAGCTTTTTGACTTTGTGAATGTAATTAACATTTTAACTGGTAAAAAAGAAAATACCAGTCCAACCCATACAAATTGCTATTTTTCAGTGTTCCTATGTGCCTATGCTTTATCCAGCAGCAAGATCAATAGAACACCAGGGTGGAGACAAGTCAGCTCTCAGCTGCATTATTCACTTGCTATGAACCTTGACAGCTCATTTGCAAGTTCACACTTTTTTGATGCTAGAGTTCTTGAATCCCTGACAGCTGAACCTTCTAACTCCAGCTAACTATGCAAATAGAGAATGGAACCCAGAGGGTCCCCTTGCACTGGTATCACTTCCAACATATTATTTTGGTCAAACACACCAATCAATTCTTCTTGAATGCTTTCTAATAAAAGGAAACAGTATGTGGAGAGTGAAAAAAAGGGAGACTTGAAAGTGTAACAAAATAAGCCTGAACTTTGTGAGAGTCACAAAAAGAATTCAAGGCCTAATATTTAATCAAAATTAATTTAACAAAATTGTATTAAGACTCCTCCCTTAGACCCACTTGGGGAATGTTTCGGATGCTTTTTCTATATAAAGATATGTTTAATCTGATAGAGCAAGTGGAATTTTTATAACCCAGAAAAATTATTTATTCTTAGAAAAGAAAAAATCCTGGACATGTGACCAGATATGGGAAAAAATATTTAGGGGTGACATTTTTTGGCACGAAACAAAAAGAAAATAGTTTTTTTATGAAATACTTGGCAAAGTAGAAAGCTTAAAAATATTTCGAAACTTGCCCGGTTGCAAAACCACACAGCATGTCTTGTTTTTTCTGTTTTGGGAAAAGGAAAATCTCCGGGCTGGGATCGGCTTTATGAATCCCAACACTTCACTTCCCCTGACAGGAATTAGTTAAATCAACTGAAGTCCTGTTGGAATGCCTCGCCTGTCATCTGTTCTGCACAAAAATGAAACACATGGCATTCTAAGAAAATCCCGAAAGCAGCCAATTTCTCAGAAAATATTTGAATGACCCTGGAAGGTTAATGGCACAGTCATTTACACGAAAATTGCTTTAGATGTGGAAAGGGTATTGTTCTAGGGTCAGTAAAGTGTATGTGTCATCTCAAAGCTCCACATAAACAGGCTGTCTCGATTGACTTGGAAGTGGAGGCAGATGTTGAGGAAGGCGTGGACAGCACAAAAACATTCTGTGATTATTGCTTCTTGATGCCGTGGCTTCCCTCTCACTGTTTTCCATCCCGTAGTGTGTCCGTTTCACGAAGCAGTGTGGCTGCCATTGTGAAGGGACACCTGAGCGTGGCCCACACTGGGGAGCGCCTGTGCCCCTCCGCCTCCTCCCTGGAGCTCCCAAATGTGTTTCTGTAGCTGAGCGGAGGGTGGAAAGGTTTGCTTATTGGCAGGAAGCTTCACTGCACTGTTAAAACTGTTTTCCCATTTTACCTCAGAACTCAACATGAGGTCTCGATCTTTAGACGGTGGACAGACCCTGACTTCGTGAAGGTTTTGCATGGTCAATGGGAAAGTCCTTGCCTTCCTCATATCTGCCCACCACGCTGCGGTGCCCATCCCCGCAGAGGCAGCCGCCTTCTCCACGGCTGGCCTGAGACCCTGCTCACGGCCCCACCCCTCGGGTCCCCACCTATGCTCCGAAAGCAGGGTCTCCGAGCTCTCATGGGTCTCACAGGCTGTCTAGGTTTTGACCAGACAGTATTTTAGGTTTTATGTTTCATGACAGAATTCCCCGTTTCTCCCCACTGCCCACTTTATTTTAATGGAATTTCTTTTGAATTGCACCTGTATTGTCAGCACAGGCCTCCCTAAACGGTACAGCCATCCAGGGAGGGCGATGGTTCCAGTAAAGGAGCAGACACATTCCTGACCCTGATGGAGGAGACGGGAGACCACCTGCTCTCCACACCCCCTGTCCCCAGCCACTTTGCTTTCTCCTGCAGCCAGGCCTGGGCTGCTGCGGTTCTTTTCTATCAAACCTCTTTATACCCCCAACCTGGAACTTGAAAGCAGAGGAAATTCTAAGCAAGATTAACCTCTCCTTCTATCTTGCCTTGAAAACAGTAAGGAAGCAATGCTTTTGGAGCACTTAAATAATTGCTGAAAAGGGAAAAATCGTGGGCAATTCTGACACCAGTGAGCATTGCCAGTTCTTCCTTCAGGCACTGTTCTATAGGGAAGGAGGTTAGAAACTCAGATTCATGGATGTTGCTAAGAGCAACCCGGAACTCAGACATTTTTCACTGTGCTTTCCTTGGCATGCCAACTCGAAGGAGAAATGTTAGCAATGGGGCACAGGGAGAAACCGTGCCAGTAGGTATGGTATTGTTAGGTAAAATGGAGCAGCCTTGCTTGTTTGGGGAACCTTTCAGTCTCCCCAACTATGGACTATCGGGTTCCTGATTTTCCAAGTCCCTGCTGAGGGTGGGATGTTGTGTGGATGATGTCTTTCCCCTCTGCAGTGGTTGTGGCACACACAGACGTGTGAACCTTGACCACAGGCTCGACACACCCTGGTGTCATCGGGTGGGTTGTGTTCCAGTGGCCCTGAGCCAAGCAAGACCCCAGGAAAGACTCTGGAAAACTGAAGGGGGCTGGATGTCACCCACAGTACATACCTTGTGCCTGTAACGAAGCAGGCACTGGTTTCATTTAGGAAAGGTATTGTGTCCGAAGCCCCATTTTTAGACTGTTAAAAGTATACAAACAGAAACGAACACCGCCATCATTAACTGACAATCTGCCTTCTCTTCCTACTTTCTCTGGAGTCTCAGGTCTGCCCAGTAACCTCCAGAATGCCCAGTTGCTTTGTGGTCAGGCTTCTTTTACCTTTGCAGGCCCAGGGCACTCACAGACCAGGCAAGACTTTTAAATGAGAACATCAATTTGCTACTTGCTTTAATCCCACCATTGCCTTAGGTGCAAAGCACACTTTTTTATTTTAATAGAAGCCCAGGCTTGCACAACACCACCTTCATGAAGATTGGTCATTTCTGAGGATGACAAAACCACAAAGTTTATTGAGATTGCTCCTTCATTGACAGTCTCTAAGCACTTCAGAAGCAATGACAAGGCAAACTCTGTGGGATGATGACAAGGGTCCCTCGCGCTGCGGCAGTGGAGAGTGTGTCTGAGCCAGGCTGTCTGTGGGGAGACCCCACCCCACCCCTGAGACCTGGGTGACTTGGCACCTGTCCACGGCTCTGCTTCTCCATCCACAAATGGGAAATATCACAGGCCCTGCCTTGTGTGTTATTGATATAAGAACTTGGAAAAGAGCTTGCTGTAATAGTAAGCATGGTAGATGTTGGCTGCAATAAATAATTGTGTTGCTGGGAACTCAGCAACATTAGGATAATATTAAAAATAAAATTTAAAGATTTTTCTGGGATATGTGTTAATTGCAACGGTTAAATAAGGTAAACTTCATGAAGACATGTATAGAATTTTAGTTATCTATAGGTAAACTACTTATTTTAATTCATCATGGACTAAGGGGACAAAATTGCACCCACACACACACATACACACACACAAACGTACACACAGTAAATATTTTCATGATATCGTCTAGGGATGTCAAATTAACAAAAATTAACATAAAAACAGATGCATTTTCAATGAGATTATCATCAGATATTATTTATGAACAGCTTAAATAGAATGAAGACTTGGAAGGATTTGGGGGAAGGCTCGCATGTGAGTGTGTGTGTTTGTTTGTGTGTGTGAGTGTGTGTGTGTTTGCCCTTTTTTCCCTTTGTTTTCAGGATAGTTCCATTTAGAAAAAAAAGCTTTCCTACCAAATTTGCAGATATCTGCAAATAATATTCTGCCAAGAAGCAAAAAAAAAAAAAAATAGTTTACTCTGATTCAATGGAAGCGAATCTCCTAGGATGTCCTCCTAGCAGAGGACATGTTGCTGTTAGAGCACTGACGTATCTGCAGAAACATGCCTTGCTTTTCACCGTGAAATCAGGGCCATCCCTTGAAATAGGCTGATTAGGCAACTGTCTCATGAAGGGATATGAGGACCCCTGGCAAGTTCCCACCAGCCCCCAGGCAGCTCCCCACATCCCATGACCCTCTTTTCCTACCTGGTCTCAAATTCCTGCTCATTAGGTCAATCCTGTGTTTTGAAAATGCACAGGCCTTGTATAAAATTTCTTATAATGTGTCTGAGAGAGGAGTGTGATCCTTTTCTGTCTGCACAGTGTAGAGCCTTAAATGGTCAGATAAGCTGCTGCTGCAGCCATATAAGTTGTAGAGAGCAGTCCCTGAAAGGGAATTCCAATAGTGAAAAGAGTCTGCAACAGAAGATTGTTGCCAAATTTAGAGAAAGAAAGGATCCTCAAGAGCTGGTGTAATGATCAAGGATGAGGGGGACCTGAAGAGGCTTCCTTGCACCCTGAGTGGTTTCAGGTAGAGGGAAGGCTTTGAAGCCCCAGTAGGGAGAAGGCTATGGAGAGAGAGAGCATTTTGGGAGAGCTGACTTTAAAATGCTGGAAATGACTTTGCTTGCCTCTCACCCTTCCTAGCTCCCTCCTCTCCCCATCATCCTATGCAGAGTTGGAAAGGACTGGAAAAGCAAGGAGGAGGTGGGAACGGCAGATGCGAGGGATATTAACACTATGGCCTTTGCTGTGCTGCACCCTTCCATTCTATTAAAATGCTGACCAGTGGCCACACAGGAAGCTTTGTCAGAGGAATTTTGTATGAAATAGGGGGCAAGGAAAGAGGAACTGAATCAGCAAAACCAACCATGAGGCTGCCAATATCACCCTGCCTGCTTCACCCCCACCTAAAACCAACTCTGGGTAAAACAGCCCCAATTTCCCCTTTTCTATATAATTAGCTAATGGTGACTAATTGTAGTATGTAACAAACTAAAAACAGTAAGTATCCACCCAGTTTCCTTTCCGCGGTGTTTGTTCTGAGAAGTAGGTAGGTATCAAACTGTGTAAAGAAAAGAATATATGATGATAACGTTGTCCTCAGTTTGATCTCGCCGCTGTTTTGGTTGTTTTGGGGAGTGTGGGGCAGACCCCACCCACCTATTTATTGTGACATTTCTTTTCTAGAGCGAGAATAGGACAGACTCGTATACCATTCTGATCTGGGTGCATTTCTTCAGAAGGTACGCTGTCCTCACGGGAAACCGCCCGCCACTGCCTGGGTTTGGGGCTGATGAGGCCAGGAAGAAACTTAATGCGTGCACTCTAACAAAAAGATTTCCCAGTAAGTTAAGAAAATAAGACGGTGGGCACCAAAGAATATGCGCATGCCCTGACATCTCCTTGACGTTCACGTACGTGCCACTCCCAGCAGCATGTCTGTCTTGAGAACCTGCACAGACACCCTTGATTTAGGCTGATTGATTTGCAAGAGGGCAGGGGAACATCAGAGGAAATGAGGCCAGGAGAAAGCAAGGATATCAAGAGAACTCGCTTTTTTCTCCCAGAGTGATTGTTTTTGAATTCTTCACTCTGCCTTATTTCAGAGTGGAATAGCAAGCTGTAGGTCTAAGGCACATGGCGAAGAAACTGTAACTGATCCCCTTGTCCTAAAGCGCCTTCCTTCATGCTGCTTCTCCCTTCCCATGTAGTGTCTACCTCTTCTAGAGGATGCCTCTTGGTCACTGATGCTTCACCGGGGACCAGGAACGCCCTTATCCCCAAGCACACACCTTGTCTCAGCCCCTCCAAGCCCCTCCAGCCCACCAATGTGCAGTTTCCTGCTTCTCCACCTGGCTCTGCCCAGTGGGGCTCCAGAGAAGCACGGGATGGGCCCTTGCTCCAATGTCACTGTTCGCTGTTTCGGGGCCAGTGGGCGGACCCCCGCTGGCCTGCTGGCTCCCAGGCCTCCTGGCTCTCTCTTTCTGAAATCATCACACTCAAGGGTTATCTGGATTTTACCACCACCACATATCACTCATCTAACTCAGCATGGAGAAACTTACCCAAATCTATCTCCCCAAAAGCAAATTTATTTAGCTCTCTTACCCCTTCAAGTAGCACTGGTGCAGTCTTTGGATTGCAAAAGAAGAGACACCTAGAGGCTCTGTTTGAGCCACTGTATCAGTTTCTAGAGCGCTGCAACAAAGTGCAACCAATTGGGTGGCTTGAAACAACAGAAATCTATTGTCTCACACTCTACGTGGGGGTGTAGAAGTCTGAGATCAAGGTGTCAGCAGGGCCGGGTTGCCTGTGAAGGCTCCAGCAGCGAATCCTTCCTCACTTCTTCCCACTTCTGGTGGTTGCTGGCAGTCCTTGGCTTATGGCAGCATCACCCATCTCTGCCTGCATTGTCTCGCAATGTTCTTTCTATGGATCTGTCTCCAAATCTCTCTCTCCATGTAAGAATACCAGTCATTGGATTTAGGGCTCACTTTTCTCCAGTATGACCTCAATTAACTGGATTACATCTGTAAAGATCCTGTTTCCAAATAAGATCGCTCTCACAGGTACTGGGGGTGAGGAAGGACTTCAACATACCTTTTTGGGGAACACCACTTGCCCGCAATAGCTACTTTTGGATATTGGGTCATCTCTAAGCAAGAAGCAGCTCCAAATTGTCTACTGTAAGCTCAACACACAGCCTTTGGTTCCCAAACCCAACACTCATCCCTTCCCACATCTGCAGAACTGACCCACTCTGCAGGGGCCCCAGGAGGGGGCCTAATGTCTGTGGGGCAGGACTGACCCATGTGGTCCAGGCTATTTCTGAGTAAAGCCAGAACCCAGAGGACTAATAACCCCTCACAGTCACATAGGCACTTTGGTCTCCCTGAGAAATCATGAACCTCTAAAACCCTGGAAAATATCTATATGAATATCCACATAAGCCTGGAACTTACTTTTTCCTAAGTACTATGATCATGCTTGTAATAGGTGACTCTTCTCTGACACTCTCTCGGTCACACTTTGATGCTCTTCCTATTCACACATGCTATTGAGATTATCTTCCAAGGGAATGAGTTTTTCTAAAGCCTGATGTGTCCTCTTGATTGTTCTGACTTTGGAGAGTGACGGAATGCCTGGGAGTTTACTTATTCTCATGCACATAATTGAGAAGATCACCCATCTCCACTGAACTTTCCATCTTCTACTGATGCATTACTTTCAAAAGGAAAGGGTTAACTTCCTCAGTAGTAAATCAGGTTTCACATGTGCATATTTTGCAAAAAAGGAGGTCAGATATTGGAGCACAGACATCAGATTTTGAAATTTATTATCCACAAGTTACAATAATAATTTTGTGATACTCTTTGTCCTCCATCTGCACACTGATTTGATTGTATATCTAGAGTGAGACAGAGAAACAGACATATATATATATATATATATATATATATATATATATATATATAGAGAGAGAGAGAGAGAGAGAGAGAGAGAGAGAGAAAGAGAGAGACAGGCAGGGAGGGAGGGAAAGAGATAGGCAGGGAGGAAGAGAGAGAGACAGGCGGGGAGGGAGGGAGAGAGATAGGGAGGGAGGGAGAGAGACAGGCAGGGAGGGAGGGAGAGAGACAGGCAGGGAGGGAGGGAGAGAGGCAGGGAGGGAGGGAGAGAGATAGGGAGGGAGAGAGATAGGCAGGGAGGGAGAGAGATAGGCAGGGAGGGAGAGAGAGAGATAGGCAGGGAGGGAGGGAGAGAGGGAAGGAGAGAGATAGGCAGGGAGGGAGGGAGAGAGGCAGGGAGAGAGGGAGGGGGAGAGAGATAGGCAGGGAGGGAGGGAGAGAGACAGGCAGGGAGGGAGGGAGAGAGACAGGCAGGGAGGGAGGGAGGGGGAGAGAACACTTTCTAAAAGCCAGTGCTTGGTTATTGCATCAGAGAATCTCACTGAAAAAATAAATTCCAAGAGGCTTAGTTAGGTATGGCAGGGCAAAGATATTTTATAAATATTTTGGCAAGTAGAGACAAGAGAAAATGATGCGTGAGGTATTTTCAATAGAAGCCAATTGAGCTTCCTCATTTGCATGAAGCATCTGAGCTGTTTTCCTAAGTTCCAGTTCCTCCTCCTCAGGTGGGCAGCCTTACAGCCTCTGCATTTGACTCTGTCAAGATGAGACTGTAGTAAAGTGAGCTCTTTGTATCATTGATGAAAGAAAGAAAGGATTTAAATTAACCATTGGGACTGAGTTAAAATAAAATAAAGCTATAAAAAGATCATGGCTGCTTGACCATGAGAAAAACCTAGAAAATAGTCATTTGCATGAGTCATTTGTTCCCCGAGAACAGCATTCTGTTGAATGGTGTCCATGAGGAAAATGCTCAAATAGATACCATTGGTTTTTTAAAAAATTATTTCATCAGTAACAATGCAATTTGGGTACAGCCTGATCTGCAGCTACGTCAGGCTGCAGCCTTTTGAGGCTTCACAATGGCTGATACATACTCACCTGTTCCCAGCAGGCAGCCAGGTACCTGGATGTCCAGCTCCAAAGGCACAGCTGCATTTAACGCCTGGACCTGCCCAAGTCTGTGACCTCTGGGACTCTAGGGGCTGACCTGTTCCCTTGTTCTAGCTCTGGGATAGCCCAGTGCAAACTTACTACTGCAACCCGGTTGTCCTCTCCATGGCCTGCAGCTGTTCACCCAAGGAGTGCCTGAGCATCCTTTCTTGGAGGAACTACAAAGAGACTCGCTCAAGGACTTCCTGTCAGCAGCAGAAATGCTGAGTCATCAGTATTCTGTTACAGTTCATTGAAAGCAGTGCTGACAGTGGTGCGGCCAGATGGACAATAGTGAGAGCTCCAGGGCCCCAGCTCAGTGCTGCACACAATGGGTGACACCAAAGAAAAGCTTTTATTAAAATAATACAGTCTATAATGAAGAAATTAAATTTTACAAAACTTCAACCCACTCTCCAGATGATTAAATGAATTATTAGGAATATTTCTTTTCCAAAAAAAAAAAAAAAAAAGAAAGTATATTGACCTTTAAAAAAAAAAAATTAGAATTACACTTTCCTGGTTTGTACCTTGTACTTGCACATCATTGTTTGGAGAATATTTTTCCATATCATTAAAACATTCTTTGAAAATGTAAACTTCACAGATCGAGACCATCCTGGCTAACACAGTGAAACCCCGTCTCTACTAAAAATACAAAAAATTAGCCAGGTGCCGTGGCAGGCACCTGTAGTCCCAGCTACTCGGGAGGCTGAGGCAGGAGAATGGCGTGAACCCGGGAGGCGGAGCTTGCAGTGAGCCGAGATGGCTCTACTGCACTCCAGTCTGGGCGATAGAGCAAGACTCCATCTCAAAAAAAAAGAAAAAAGAAAATGTAAACTTCACTAGCTACAGAAGGAATTAGACAGTAAATAAGTAAATTACAATACACCCCAATGACAGAATACGAAACATTGATATCTAATGTTAGAGCCAAAAGTTCTTCTACACTGCGTGTTATATTTTTCTCACTTCCCTGAAAAAAAATTACATAAGTTGTACTGTACAAGAAATGTTTTCTTTTCTCTCTACAAAGTAGATCATGATAATTCTAAACTTAGGCAGAACCATCTGGAATCTGAGTCATTAGACTAAGTAGAAAGAAAAAGAGGAAAAGTAATGAAGCACTCCCCCAGGAAACTGAAGAGCTGTACTATTCCTTGTCTTTCACAGAGTAGAAATTAGGGAATCTGAGCAAATGTTAGACTGGATGATTTTCTGGAACTAACTGACCTCGAGTACACAGATCCACGTGGCTACAGAACTGTGGTCATCACTAGACTGGACAGTGAGGAGTGTTCTCCCCACATCAGCTCCATAAGGACGAAGCAGGCAGAGGAGGCCCTGAGAGTCTAGTTCCCCTTGTTACTTATTCAGAAAATGGAAATACGGATGGAAACCCTGTCTATAGTTCCTTACAGGGCAGTCCTCTGAAACCGGGGATTTGCTGAGCGGGCCCAGAAAGAGATGAGTAGAAAGTTAATGAAAAAACTAGATTTTCTCTCATTTTAAAATATGCAGACTTAAAAGTTAGTAGCACATTACCCTGAACAAGAGTTTTACTTGTTGAATACCAGTGGAACTTATACTTCACCACATAAGGAAATAAAGGAAAGTGGGAAATAAGAAGCAATTTCTATGACTCAGAGATCTGCCCTTCCTGTAGGAAGATGAACAACCGCCATTTATAGAATTCTTCTCATGTGCCCATTCACTGTGCTAAATGCATTACATCTATGATTTAATCCTCACAACAACCACTGGCAAATAGGTATTTTGTCATCCTATTTGACAGCTAAGGAAGAAGAGATGGAAGGGCTGACTTCATTCATTCTTCCACTTACTCCCCTCAGAAAACATGCATTTGGCTCCTCGTGTGCACCCAGCACAGTTCCAGGGCTGGAGATGCCACTGGCAGCAAGGCCATCATCTCTGCCCCTCAGGGAGCAAATGGCACATGCAGCTGGGGTTTGCATCTGGTCTGCCTGGCTCCAAAGCACTGAAACCAAACACTAAATGGGCGATTTAATGAGAAACCTGGGAGATGTCACCCTGGGAGAGAAGAAAATAGCATTGCATCTTAATTAATTTTCTCCCTGATCTGAGAATCGCCATGATTAACTTTAGAATTAGGAACGACTCCGATTAAAATAATGAGTGCTCCTGCGCATCCTTTTGTGATGACAGGTGAACACAGAAGGCATTCAGTTAACCAGATTTAGAAACAAGAGCCTGTGGTTTTGCTGCTTCACCAGAAATCATCTTACCGACCACCATGCTTACACAAAACAAATGGAGAAAGAAGTATTACCAGTTTTCATCCAGAGCATAAGAGATAAGAGCCATCAAGATTACTAGAGCTAGATGGAATGGCAAAGACAGGACCCTAGCAAAATACTTCCAACTGATTCCCATCCAGAAATACAGGGGTTTTTGGGGCAAGCCAAAAGCCTTAATCAACCCTACAGTCAGGTGAAAACATTTGCCTAAGTAACAGACGGTAGAACCAGAGCTTGAAAGCATGGAGTCCTGGTCAGGTTCTGTCCAGCACGCTACTCAGTGGACTTTCTCGGGGAGCACAGTCACTGGTTTTGCATAAAACCTTCCAGGCTCCATAATGGAAGGGAGAACCTTAGCTGAATCGAGTTCTTGGGCAGGCTGGATAGACCCGCAGACTCAGAAAGCAAGCACTGGGTTTTCACAATAGAAATATGTTTTTGAACATTCTAATAATCACCACAAAAGTTATTCTCCATGAGTTTACTGAAAAAAATCAATTATAAGAAATTGACCATGTATAGTTTTAAGTGTTTTTCAATGTCTAACTCCTAGTCAAGGATTATACCATAAGGATGGGTTTAATCATAAAAGCCAACCATATTCCAGTGAAAGTCATCAAAGAAAACATAAAATCTGTCTGGAGCAGATTCAGGGACAAACATTAATCAGTAACTCAAAACAGTGATTAAGGTGCATTTTTCTGAAGCTTTATTTTTTCTGAACAAGCTGTTTATCTTGATTTATGTTAAAATGTGTAGCAAACCTGGTCGTATCAAAATAAAATAAGCCTAATCATGGGACATTTTTGTAAATCATGCTTTTTGTTACAAAATGGTTTAATAACCTTGATAAATAGGGCTGGTTTCCTAATGAAAGCCTATTTATTTACAGAAGCTTGTTGAAATGAAGTTAATAATGTCTTCAGGCTTTTCTTTTTTAATGTAAACATGATCTGATAAAAGCTTAATTTAGTAATCTGATAACAAAGTTATTAACCTGTCACTGATTTCAGAACAATCAAATACATTGAAATAAATAAGATTTGCTAAGTATAAATGCCTGACACAAACGTATAGTTAAAAAGTCAATTACCAAATTTATTGAAATCCTTTTAACTTCTACTTGTATGTGAGTATTGTTACTTTGAAGGTAAATCATTGACAAAATCCATTGACTGCACCTATCTGGTTAGCTGTAATTGTGACGGCATAAGCAATAGGGTCGTTAATACAAACGTGGACAATCCTTAAGAATCTGTCCACTCTTCAGAGGGGATGAGAATTTGCTCTGATGAAACTATTTTGATCACATCAATGTAGGTTGAAGTGAATGACTCGTTTAGTAGCCATGGAAATCACACCAAGCAATACAAAGAGATGAGCACGTGTACTTCCAGATGCTGCTGCTTTTGTGGTGGCGTCTGTCCAGGGCTTCTGATCTGTTCAAAGCGTACTTAATGTCCCTAAATCCAAACTCGCTTGGTTTTGCTCTCCCTTTACACTGTAGTTGATTCTCTGTAATAGCCTCAAGTAAATATAAAACAAGGCAACCCAATACTTTACCCACAGGACCCTATGTTCCTTCCAGAAATGTGTCTCCTATTTAAAGATGCATGCCCAAATGTGCTAAAACAGACCCTCCTCCCGGATGCATCTCCATAGCTTCTATTTCTGAAATCCCTGGTTTATGTCCAGGCTTCCATACTATATTTGTGTCTATTTTTCCTTCATCTGTTTCTATAACTTTCTAATATATTAATATTTATACATTTGTAGAACAAACCGTGTAAGAAAAGAACATCAAGGAAATAAGCAAGCAATATTCTGGTTCATTCAAGCCAAGTCTAGTGGTGTAACAAAATATATTATATATATAATATATTATACATCTAAATATCCTTATGTTTCTGTATATGAGGTTTCCAGAACTATTGTTTGTTAGCTTAAGTAACAGAGCTTATACAAAGTAAGCATTGTAGGTTAAGTATCTTGGGGGAATGGGTCTTTTGAAAAATGGTCCCTGAAAACTTTGGTTATTATTCTATTTAAAGTCAAATTGTACTATTACATTCCTTTGATATTTAACCCATATTTATTGCAAGCCTGTTATACATAAGGTACGATGAAAGACACAGATGTGAATAAAGCATGATCCCTGCCCTCAAGAAAACACCAACATAAATAACATAAAGTAAGACAAGATGAAGTGGCACAGAAAAGGAACTATATTAGTTTAAATGAGTGAGAGGGATTTATGTGGTTTTCATAGGGGACTATTTTGAGATGGACTTCTAAAACTGTGTGTAATTTTAAGAGTAATTAGAGGTAATCTCAACGAATAAAACATCTCACAAAAGATGAATCAAAATCACACCTGCCTCGCCACACCAGTCATGGGCTCCTGGAAGGCAGGGATTCTTTTGGATTATCCTGACACTCCTACTACCCAGAAAATATCTGACACAATGTAGGCATCTGGTTAAAATGTGCTAATTAAACTCAAATGAAGGCTAAAACATGAAATGTACAAAAAAAGGAGCAACAAAAAGTTCAGTTTGACTAAAAAACAAAAAAAAACTGAGAAGGAAAATAAATTCTTGAAAATTAGGTTAGGATCATGTTGTGTTGGGCTTGGTTTAGAATTTATTAATAGATAATGTGAAGTCAGTGTTCCTTTCAAAATATTAGCCTTGCAATTGCAGCTTGGAATTAAAAGGAGAGAGATCAATATTAGGGGGAGAACTAGGGACAGGAGAGCCAATGAAAAGATTATTATGATAATTTATTTGATAAAATAAAATTAAAACGACAGAAATGACAAACCTGAAATTAGAAGCCATATTAATAAGTACTATATGAACAACAGCAAAAACAAAGATCAAGACAATAATAGCCCACATTTATGATCAATCCCTATGTCCAAGCACAAAGTTAGAATTTTGATTAATTACTTGGGGTTCTTGCCACACAAAGTCGTTACTCCCAAGTTTATAGGTGAGGAAATTGAAACTCAGAGAGATTAGCTATGTCAAAGAAGCTCTGCTAGAATCTATATTGGGATGCTAAATTAGACGGCAAGTATGTTTGACCCACTGGCATAGAGTTCTACATGGTAGGTGGCAGAACCCACATTTAGAAGCTTTCTCAAATGCCGCTTCTCCTTTGAACACAAGTGGGTAGTTAGAATATCCAACAGCAGTGTAATAATTCCAAACAAGAACCTCTGCAGCCTGGCGCTTTTTGCAGGATAATTTCCATCCTTTTGTAACTAATGGATTATAGCAGGCTGTGATGGTTTCTAGCTGTTGACCCCAAAAGGCTGAAGTTCAATATAAATATTAACAGGAGAAATGCTCAAAAATAGATCTGCCTAAATCCCTTTTTGAACTAGTCAAAGATTTACCATAATTGATAAAAGAAAAAAGCCTCTTCATTAAATGATAAACTGGCAACACCGTCTTATGTATGATTCTTTTGTTTTTAAGTACACTGAGCATGAAAGATATGCAAGGTGCTGAACTAGGAGCAGTGAGAGATAAATGGTGAAAAAGACACTATCCTTAATCTCACAGATGCTGCGGTGAGAGAAACAGACGTGAAGGAAACTAGTATTTAGCATTGCTCAAGGAAAGTGTTTTGAGAACACAGAAACAAAGAATAATCAACTCAGGAAAAGGAAAATCTTGAAAGATGGGTAGAATTTTGTAAATAAAAAGGTCAGGGAAATTCTACATCCAGATTCGGGAAACAGCATGAGCGTCCATGGTGGATTCCAGGGAGAGCAGATAGTCTGGCAAATTGAGAGAGGTGGCCGAAGACGAGAGTGAAAAAGGAGAATGGAGTCAGGTCATGGGGTGGCCTTGAGGTCACACTAAATTGTTAGAAGTTGACCTCTCAGACAGCAGAGGCCCCCCATACTTTGGCTAGGTATTAGGAAGAGTCCTCAGGCAACAATATAAATGACAGTGAAGAGAGGTAGGAAAGTTAGGTTAGAACACCCACCGGAGTTCTCAAAGGCAAACTCAGTCTCATCACCGGTTGGCCCATAGGATACTGTTTTGTGGGTTAATTCTGCAAATATCACAGCACTCTAGAAAATACTAGATTAAAGGATAACTGGTGGCTATGAAGACTATTAACTAGCTGCTCATCCTTTTGTCTTTTTTTTTTTTTAACTCTCTGGGCAGTGGAATATCCCAAGTATTCAATAAAAACATGCAAAAGTTGTCCCAGCACAGCTTAAGATCAAATTTATGGTGTTTCCACTCCCCAAACACCCAAACATCATCAAAAAAAAGCCAATACTGAAAGAAAATAAGAAACAAGAGGTAGGTTAAGAAACCCTGGATCTTTTTCATACTAAGCTTCTTTTATTGTTAACTTCACTTGGAAGTTGAAACAACGAAAGGCTAATTTATTAGACCCTTGAAAGCACTTCCTGCTGTTCAACAGTACAGAAATCGGCATGCCGAGTAGAGGAGGAAATAACTTGGAATGTCAGGTGCTGATCAGTAGATGCCAAAAACACTGAGAAGGGTTGCTTCTTAGTTATCTGTTCTTAATGTACATGGCACACCAAGAAAAGTTTGAAGTAAGCAAAGTGATTGAAAATATGTAGCTGCCACGTGGCTGGAGCCCATGGATTAATATACTGAGGTTCCTCTTCCTTATTCCCTTATGAGCCCAGGACCTTGACGTTCACTGAAGAAAGGTCAGCGTGCTGCCCTGTGTCTATGAATTACTTTCTTTCCTCAACTCCACAGAGATAGTGGAACTAGAAAGATGCCTGCTTTAAAAAAGAAACATTACAAAACTTCAAAAGCTGTTACATTTCCAAGCATGGATAAGACACACTCCCTACCTCAAGCCCCCAAATTCTGTATGCCTTAACAAATACTGGAAATTACTCTAAGGAAATGAATAGAATAAGACTCAGACTACTGCTTGGAGCAATCAGCATCTCTGCTCTTTCTGGCTATTTGAGTGCACTGGTACGGGCTGTCCTTTCTTCTCCCAACTTCCCTTAGAGCCTCTGAATTATTTTCTCACGAACCTCATGGAAATAGATTGCTCTGTTAAATACATTGCTTAGGTTTTAGCACATTAAAACATACCCTGTTCTATATGATCCATGATGCAAGCTAAATTGGTGCTCCTTCTCCAAAGACATAAAACTGTTTTCAAAGTTCTTAAGGGAGACAGAGTGAAACAGTCCTTGTCTCTGTGTTTTCAGCGAAGTTGCCACCATGCTACCAGCAAGAAGCCATCTGTGTTATGTCAGGTGCTTGCCTCTATGGCCAGAGTTGTGCCCCAAATACGATATGCTTTTAGTGGCTGTGGGATTTATTTTATTTTATTTTTTTTTAATGGTTATTGATTTATTACAATTTTATAAATTAATTTACTAATTTACAAATAACTTTCTGAGCTCTTACATGTGCAGGCACTGTGCTAGGCCTGTTACAAACTCTGGAGAACTGAGTTATCCCCATATACAGATGCAGATACTGAGGCCCTTTGGGGTTGGGTGACAGCTCAGATCGGCTGTGGGATTTATTAATTTCTCAGATGTTTGCCTTCTTCCCACTGTGATGACATGAATACAGCTCTGGCGCATTTTAGCTACAAAACAAAATAAAATTATACTGAATCTTAGAAAACTGTTTATTTTCCTGGGCACTTTGGGTAGGCTTTTGGGTGACATTAAAAGTGTTAAAAGCTCATGCTGCTGGTTAGTAGGCACTTAATATCAACAATATTATCAGTGATTCAGCCTTTAATTAAGAAAAAAGAGTCAACATTCTTAGCCAGAGTATGGGTGTGAAGGAGGAGGTTCCTTATGGGCTCTTCAAACAAGACTCTTTCAACAAGTTTCTCAAAATTCTGTCTCAGAATAACTAATAATCTATTCCCAATAATTTTTTTTATCACCAATCAGATGCCAGACACAGATTCATTGTAGAGTACCATTCTGCAAAGCCTGAAGTGATATTCACAGTTTTCACACTTCTGAAAATATCCAAAAAGGCAATGTAGCTGCTTCGTGTTAAACTACATTAGAATAAATTGCAGAGACTGTTTTCCAAATAATGCCACTTTTTAAATTAAATGCCCACATGAATGATAATAATTTAGAATTAACATAATTTATCATAGCTAATTAGAACTGAAGAATCATTTTGCGATCCAAAGAATTAGAAACTCTTTTTGTCTTACCAGAATTTCACAGATGTTTTTCATATTTTTTAAACAAAATTTGGAAAGTAACCCATATGTCCCTGACACTGTTCTCTGGAAAGATAGATAAAGCTTATACGTGATCATAGCCGTTTCATCATCCTGTCTGGACCCAGTGACATAATATGATCTCTTTTTTGTTTATTTTTGTGGGTAGTTCTGAAGCACTGTTTGTTCCAAACATCTCTTACAGAATTCACGACCTTTTAACAGGTATTAATGGTGTTTATATAGTGACTTGGAGCTTAAGTGATTGTTTTGGCTGAAATCTAAAGAACTTCTCATTTTTTTTCTTCCTTGACTACATTTTGCTACATATTGAGAAGGTTGTTTTGGAAAAAAATGTATATATGTGCACTCTCACATGATAATTCTCTCTAAATTATTTGGAAGTTGAGCAACACAGGGCCTAATTATACGGAACCAAAGTCTGTAATTCCTAAGAGGAAGACCTCAGCTCTCTGGAGCAGTGCCACTCCTCATGTGATTGATTTCGTCTTCTAAGACAGCTTTTGTTTTCCCTTCTTTCCAATGCGTGCAAAACATAAGCCACTTGACTATGCAGAAAGATCTGGGTATTTTCTTCTTCCACTTTACAGTAAAATATTTGACTTTGAAACTGTGCCCAAGGGTTCATCTTCCGGCTATACCAAAAAAGTTATTTCTCCATTATGCTTGGTTTCCAAAATTCCAACTGAATGTGACGAAAAGGAGGGGCTCTGACTTTCTTGGGCTGCTCCAGGAAGTTTGCCTGCAGAAGCTTCAGGGGCTCCAGTTCTGCTACCAGTTCTGTCATTTGCTTAGGAAGGTAGGGCAAAGACCCAGTCACCGTGCTGATCTTGTCTGCAAAGAGATCAAACGTTCACATCTGTCATAGTTAAAGAGTAGGTGGGGACCGGGTATGCTGGCTCACGCCTGTAATCCTAGCACTTTGGGAGGCCAAGGCAGGCGGATCACCCAAGGTCAGGAGTTTGAGACCAGCCTGGCCAACATGGCAAAACCCCGTTTCTACTAAAAATACAAAAATTATCTGGGCGTGGTGGCAGGCACCTATAATCCCAACTACTCAGGAGGCTGAGGCAGGAGAATCACTTGAACCCGAGAGGCAGAGGTTGCAGTGAGCCAGATCACAGCCAGGGCGACAGAGTGAGATTCTGTCTCAAAAAAAAAAAAAAAAAAAAAAGAATAGGTGGGAAAGCAGGAGTTAGGAAGTGGCTCACAGTTGTACTTTGTGGTAGATTGTCTCACACTATCCTCTGAGCAATCCCATGAGGCAGGTGGATGAGGAACTTTAGTATCATTCCCAATGCAAGGGTGAGAAGATTGAGGCCCAGGGAGACAGAGCGATGGGCCTACGGTCACGCGGCTGTCACTTTGTGTCGGAGCCGTGGCTGGAATCTAAGCTTTTAAGGTCCTGGTTCAAGGTTGCTCATCCCACACGGCCTCATTTCAAGGGGTGAATTATCAGTACCTCCACTGTGAAAAAACTGCAATTCATTCTTTGAGATGATCATGTAAATACCAGTCAAAAAATTCAGTAAATGCATCCTCAAGGTCTCCAAACCAAAATATAATTTGCAAACTGTTTTCTAGCACCTGGCACAGTTTTCACATAAGATGGAGTCACAAGGCAGAGCACCTGGGTACCGGAGGCCCAGGCCAATCTCTTAGATACATGGAAGGAAGGAAGAAAGGGAGAGAGGGAGGGAGGGACACAGAAAGGAAATACAGTCTTTAAAGAGGTGCAGGTGAAGTGACCTGGGCCTAAGGAAGAGAAAGCAATTGCATGGGTGTGATCTACTGGGTTACAGTGCCACAGAAATACGTTCAATAGCCGCCGTGTCACTCAACCCAAGACAGTTAGAAGGAATACAGAGTTTAATGTAAAATTGGGGACTTTCTTCTTATGATTATACATAAATATAAAATGGAACTATTGAAATTGTCTGGATTCTGACTGTGGGAATACATTTATTGCGATAAAACCTCAGCTGCCGTTACAGAGATTCAAATTAACAGAGGTTAAACATAAAAGATGTGTATTGCTCACTCATGTAAAAGTACAGATTGGTGGTGCAAGGCTAGTACGGAGGCTTCACAATTCTGGGAACCTGGGCTCCTTCCATTTATTGCTCTGTCTTTCTCAGCGCTAAACATGGCTTCCCTTGGTGGTCAAGAGGGCTGCCCCAGCTCCTGACATCAGTTCTGCGTTCCAGCCAGCAGGAAAGGGAAAAGCAAAGAGGGCACCTCTTGCCTTTAAGGCCACAGCCTCTTGGAAGATGCACACAGCATTTCCTCTCACACCCACTGGTCAAAATTTGGTGATAAAACAAGGGAAACTGAAAAATGTAATCTTAGCCTGGCTAAAGCCATGTGTTCAGCTGAAACTTCCGTTATAAATTAAGAAGAGGGACTGGGTGCAAGAGGACACGTAGCTTTCTCTGCCATGTGTAATAACCATCCCACAAGACCCTAGAGCAGAATCCAGTTATACAGGCAAGAAGAATTCCTATTGCATTATGCTAGGGCTTTTGTTTTCAAAATGTAGATTAGAAACACGTCTTGGATGATTTCAACAATTGAAGGAAGATTTCTCACCTTGTCAAGTGCTACTCATTTGCGGCTAAAAACTAACATCTCATGCTAAGCTAGTCAGAGCCAAATATAGTTAGTTTGATGATGCTTGCCACCAAAATATCAAGACAAATGTTCTTGAAGCATAGCACTTTTTCTCTTTGCCTTTTCCCCACATTCAGTCTATTTACAATAAAAAAGTAGGTTGAGGGATGGAGTTGCAGAAACTGATCCTTATAACTGTTACTCTATATGTCACAAAACTGATAACCAAATGCTGGAGAGAAAAACGTGTCTGAATTCTGTTAGTATAGCCTGACCTAGCCTGAGCACATTTAATAATTAATTGCAGTGTACAGTTCACGCTGGTTTGAGAGTACCTACCGGCAAGTCTGATTACCTCATTCTTCAAGGAGCTTTCTTGCTTTGGTTCCAGAGCTGTGACTTTTACTTGCTGCTTCTCCAAGCCAGAAAAACTAAATTTTTCTTTTCTCTTTTCTCGGTAACCTCTCTCTAAGAAAATTATTTGCCAGAGTAGTTTCTAAAACATATACTTTAACGATGCTATCACATACCTTTCTTTATACAACAGAGAACAGGTACACCGATTTTTTTTTAAAACCAGATTCTATTTTAGAATTATTGGGCAAGCTTGTTATTTAATGGAATTTAATAATCCACTTGTAGAGAGTGTGACTCATTTGCAGGGCAAAAATAAATCATTTACCTGTTTCTAATTTATAACTCTGAGTTTCCACATGACAGGTCTGCATAGAGCAAACCTGCAAAGAAAATTAAGGCACACAACTGCTCTTATGAAGGTAGATCAGAACATTATTTTTTTTAAAGGTGGAGATTAAGGGAACATAACCTGAGTGTCTGACTCTCTCACTTTGCAAACGAGGGAGCAGAAGTCCACAAAGGTGGAATGATGCCTAAAGACACTCACCCAGTTAATGACCAGAATCTGGAATGCCCCAGCTCTCCCAAAGAAGTGCATTGTTTTGTTGCTTGACATTCAGAACAACCTCAGACTTCTAAGTGGAATAAACATAGGTGTCCTTGTGCACAGGATATGCTCAATCAGTATCCAGCCCTAGGTAACCTGTACGCCAACTGTGCACCTATCATGGAGAATGAGGTGGTGATCAGCAACCAACAAGACAGCAGATTTAAGAAAACTTTCTCAGCTTCTCTTGGCTTCCTTGAACTCTCCTGCTTTCAGTAGTTTGTCCTGTTTATACAAACTTGTCTTTTCTCAAGATGGGTGACCTTCTAATTTTTTGTAATTTTATACAACTGATCCTGAAACTCTTGAGTACTGTTCAGCTGCATTCAGAGCACAACGAAATAATGTTTATGATGCTAATAATAATAATGAAAATGATAGCTCATATTTCTGTAATCATTTGTTCTGCGCCAGCTATTTTTCTAAGTATATTACATATTTTCTTTTTTTTTTTCTTTGAGACAGACACTCTGACACCCAGGCTGAAGTGCAATGGCGCGATCTTGGCTTCCTACAGCGCCTGTCTCCCAGGCTCAAGCGATTCTCCTGCCTCAGCCTCCCGAGTAGCTGGGATTATAGGCGCCCGCCACCACACCCAGCTAATTTTTGTATTTGTAGTAGAGATGGGGTTGCACCATGTTGGCCAGGCTGTTCTGGAACTCCTGACCTCAAGTGGTCCACCTCCCAAAGTGTCGGGGTTGCAGGCGTGAGCCACTGCGCCCGGCCATACATATATGATTTCATTCCATTCTCACGGTGATCCTATCAAGTGCTTACTGTAACGTATTTCGGTTTTATAGTTGTAGAAACCAAGGCACAGAGAGAGAAAGTAACTCACCCCAGGTCATGCGGCTAATAAGCAGAAGAGTTGTGTTGTAAACCCAGATTGTGACTTTTAAGCCCTACCTGATATTGGCTGTCACGGAAAAAGAATTGTCTATCTAATAACTGCATATACAGGAGATAGTGTGGCAGAGTGAAATGTCTTGGGCTCAGAAGTATCACAGTCTTTTTCTACTTTACCTCAATCCAGGGCGCCCAGCTAACTACACTCCTCAGTTTGTGGTACTTTATCTCCTTTGACCACATGCGGCTTCTACCTATATGTGTAAGCCCTGCTTTTAAACCACAAGCCACCCCCCATGCCTATGTGTAATACCGTCTAGCGTCTTAAGAAATTACTGAAAGATACGACTCAATTTGAAGAAGCAAATAATACGCGTTGCACACAGGATCGCTATTGGAGGATGTCGGCCTTCCTCAGATAATAGTTGCCATGTTTCTGCTACAGAGATATCCATGGCTCCCTTAGTCTCCTCCCTTTGTGCAAAACAATATCTCACAGGAAGTAACAGAAAAAAATTATGTCCAGCAATCACTGCCCTTTTCTTCTGGCATTTTGACAGTGGCAGGGTTATGCCCTATAATCAAAGGAAACACAGAGCGGCCATCTCCTAGCAACTCCCTGAAGGTCGCTCCCGGGGAATCACTGCTGTGGCTGGGTGTGGGTGCACTTCACTTCCAGGTTTGAAGACAGCGGCGCTCCCACGCCAGCCACGAGCTCTTCTCAGTATACTTCCAATACAGTGAACCTGTGGTGGGTAGTGTTGCAGGAAGAATGAGCACTAAAGTGTCCTAAGCTCGGACAGTTTTATGGAAAATACATGGAAAAGCTTTATCATCTTCTTGGTTGTGGTTAAAAATCTAATTGCAATTAAATGTCACTAGTAATCAAAATCATCTTGCTACTCTGCCGTTTCCCTTTGCCAAAGTCTGTTTCCCACTTCTTTTCTGTAAAGGGACATCTGTCATGCAGGGGTGGACCGCTCACAGCATCCTCCCTCCACTGATGTTTCCTCCCCGTGGGCCTCTGACCCGCCTGCGCAGTCTGGTGTGCTGGTGAGACCAGTCAGGCAGAACTGGCTCCCACTCAATCCAGGGAGCTGCTGCTCCTGGAGCCTAAAGCACCAGCGGAAGGTGCAATGAACACAGATTTTACTCCACCATCTGTGGAGTAAAGAAGCAAATGTGAGCCCAGAAGAATTCATCCTTCAAACCAAGATTTAGTAGACGCCCTTAAAAAAAACTCATTTATACAAGAGAAAACCTGATTCGTGAATTCATTTGAATGAGGGACCAAGGCAAGAAGGGGCCCCGTATCTGAAATATTTCAACCGCTAGTCACACCTGTCGGTGCCAAGGCAACATCCCCTGTTTAATAGCAGCAGGAGTCACATTTTTGGCAGTACCTGCCAGACTCACTTCTAAGTGCTTCGTGTATACGCATCCACTGGGTCCTTCAGCCACCCCAGGAGGTTGGCACCGTTGTTATCCCTGTTTCTAGAGGAGGAAATGTGGGCAGGTTCAGAGAGAGGATAAGTCACTTTCTGAAGTGATCCATCTGGATATGGTAGAATGGGCTTTTCACAAAGCTGGCTTGGCTCCAGCATCTACACTCTTGACTACCTCGCCAGCCTGCCCCAGCAGCAGGTGTTACGGGAGACCACGCCCATCTCTGTCTGGGAGTTGAGCAGCAGGTGATGCCACAGTTCTTAAAAGTAGCCCATAATCAGGATCATAAGCCTTCGTTATGAAATACTTTTTCTATGAAATCCTCTGATGATATAGGAACTGTCTATTTCTATTTATTAGAAGAGGAAGAGGACTACTTTCTCTTAGGTCTCTGACTGTGTGGCTTGCCATAGAAAAAGATGTTACTTCTAATCTCTCTCCAGCAGTCACATTGTAGGACATGGCACAGTGGGCATGACTGTTAAGAATAGCCTTCCTTTCAGAATATTCTGTTACACATTCCAGCAACATTTATTAAGCACTTAAGATTTATTATTTATCTATTGAGCATTTAGTAGTTTTCACTCTTTTTTTATGACCTCTGTCTTTAAGCCACTTGTAGTCGAGGGAGGAAAACATGGATGGAGCTGTCACTCCTGCATATTTCTAAAGGATTTAGATTCTGTCTACATTTTTGGTCTGTTGTATTTCAAGTTGTTGAGTTCCAGAAATGTTCTACTCGCTACATAAAGTACTTTTTAATCTATTTCTATCAAAAACAATTTTGAAATATAATGGAGTGTCTTTTAATCCTGGTAAGTTAGGGCTTAGGGAAAAATAGAGTTAACTTTACCAGTTTTTTTCTGATTTTAAATTTTCAGTCTCATGTTTCTTTAGTCTTAATTATTCTAGGTTAAATTATTTCTTTTTATTTTTTAAACTAAATATTTATTTTATTTTTTATTTCGTGTCTGTTCCTTTGGCCTTTTCATAGGGCTTTTCTCAACTTTACTATCTCCTTGGGGTACAGGAGTGGTGTTTCTTGGAGAGAAAAGCTATAAATTGCTGGAGACTAAATTAATATCAAAATAGAAGGAATTTTGTTACATCATCTCTTTTTCGCCTTATTGCCTGGCATAATCCCATTTTATGCCTGTTACATCAGCATAAATACTGATAACTTCTACTTTTAGTCTTAACATCACTCTTTCAGTTTAGGCAACTTATTTAGTCATGCTATCCAAAAGCAGAATAAAGCTAATGATTAAGTAAATTTATTCTTTGCAAACAAATTCATGGAGATTAATGAGAAAATGTTGATATTTTTAAAAAATCTGTCGTGAAAAATGCCATGGTAAAGTGGTCTTCTTTTTAATGATTTACAAGCCTTTAACTTATAACCCAAAACACAGTTGCTTATTTCTTTATAGACTCATGTGTTCTGAAGATAAGTGAAACTTTTAAATGATTTGAGAGGTTTAGGTAGCATGCCTGTTGATATGGTTTGGCTCTGTGGCCCCACCCAAATCTCACCTTGAATTGTAATAATCCCCATGTGTCAAGGGTGGGGCCAGGTGGAGATAATTGGATCATGGGGGTGGTTTCCCTCAAGCTGTTCTCGTGGTAGTGAATACATCTACGAGATCTGACGGTTTTATAAAGGAGAGTTCCCCTGCACATGCTCTCTTGTCTGCCACCATGGAAGACATGACTTTGCTCCTCCTTTGCCTTCTGCCATGACGGTGAGGCCTCCCCAGCCATGTGGAGCTGTGAGTCCATTAAACCTCTTTCCTTTATAAATTACCCAGTCTCAGGTATGTCTTTATTAGCAGTGCGAGAACAGATTAATACACCTGTATACCTAATTGCTGTTGTGAAACACATTTCTGCACAAATTTTAGGTTATAGGTTTTCTGTGTTGATGAGGTGAAAAAAAAAAGCCTAAACTAAATTTAAGTGAAGTTATATAAACATTACATCTGCCATTATTCTACTTAATGCCACCTAAGTGTATCCATGAAACTCAGTATATAAACCTGGTATAGACCAAGTGTAGGGTCAGAGGCTGGCTGAGGGAGCAATGGGATGACGTGAAGCTGAAAGCAAGACACTGCTGCAAAATATCCTACACTCTAGCCTGCTGACTCCTCCCATTATTTGAGATACTCCTTTAGAAAGAATGGAAGAAAATCTGTTAAAATGCAAATGTATTATTTTGATAAAGCAATGCCTCATCATTCATAATTTTAACAAAACCCAAGGAAATTAAATGTAAGATAGAAAATCAACCATATATCCACTTAAATAATGAAGGTTATGTTATCACCAGGAAAGTAATTTTTTCATTATACTTAAGGATAGGTGGGTAGCTGTTCCATCCCATTTCTAGAATTGAAGTTTAAGATCCTGTGTAGTGGTGGTGATTCCATATTTCACAGAATTGCCTCAGCACTGTTTGAAATCAATGCTAATGGTCAGAGTCCAAAGTCAGATTGTGATGTTTGTCTAGTTTCACACAAAACGACAAAGGCAAATAATGGTGTGCAGTATGAACATATGGCAATATTAATGTGTACCAGGCTGCAATATCATGACAGTGGGAAACTAAATGATAGTAATGATTAAATTATAGTAATGATTACAGATTCTACTCACTAAATTATAAAGCACCGATTTGTTTCACTCTGACTTTCTCTTGCACCCTTTTCCACAGCAGCAATATTTCTGCATTTGCCTAAGTGGTGAAGCTGACTACCTCTTTGCATTTGCTAAAGGAAAAAAGTATATATTGTTTTCAGCAACTTGTAATACTCATCCCTTCCCCTAACTACCCTGTGTAGAGCCACACGATGCCAGTACGTGGACTGAACGTCCTTATAGGTTCCACCCCATGATTAAATTTCCTGCCTCTGAATCACGTTCTCCTGATGAAAGTCTCTGCTCTTCTGAGCTAATCCTTGTGGTGGGAAAGAGATAAAAAGCAAACACGTAAGATGAGAGGTGATAAGAAGTGTTCTGCAGAAAAACTTTTAAAAGACAAAGGAAACATGGAGGACTGCATTTTATATGGGGCAGTTAGGAAAGGTCTCTGATACAGAGGTGCTGGAGCATAAATCTGAAGAACTCAAGGAGAGACCTGGGGCTCCAGGGAGAGGACAGTGTGGGCTTGGAGTGTCCAAGGCTTAACGAGGTAGCCAGCCTCATTAGAGGCTGGAGGACAAAGAGGAAGAGTGGTAGCCATGAGCTAGAGGTGCAGTGAGGGCCCAGGACACAGAGGATGCTGCCGGCCAGCAAAGGAGGGGAGATGGGAGGTGACTGGAGGGCTTTGAATAGGAGAATGCCTGATGTCTCTCAGATGTTTGAGCATCACTCTGGATACTTTGGGAACAGTGGAACGCAGGTGATGTCAATGGAGGAAGGGAGAAAAACCATAAGGTTACTGGAAAGCTAGACTAAGGTGTTAGGTGGTAAACAGAAGGTGGTGATGAGAGGTGTGCAGGTTCTGGAGAGATTTTAAAGAGACAGTAGCGATGCAGGATATTCCCCTGACCCCTTCACGGCACTTGCGAGGGGGGTGCCTCATTTACTCAGCCTGCCCCTCTCAACTCCTCACAGGAGGGAGTGCACCAGCAAGCAGAGTGGAAGCTGGCGTGCATGAGCGCTGGAACCCGCTGGCCGCTTTGGCACTGGCAGGAGCGAACTCCATGCAGTCCCCGTTCGAGCATCCAGGTGGGGGTGCCTGTGACTCCCAAAGCCCCAGAGGGCGTGTTGCAGTGCTGTTCTAGCTCTGCTGTCCACGGGCGGCTTAAGTGTTAACAGCTTAGTGGGCCCTCTGCCTTTTCGCATGAGGCAGCTACCCCCGCCAGCGAGGGCAAAGGCCAGTGTGACAGCCTTTTATATTTGCACTGGTGGCTTCTGAGCTCTTGCCTGGCATCCAGGAAAAATGAGGTTGCACAAACAAATTGAAGGATGATAAATGTGGGGGATTTTATTGCCGATAAAGTGGCTCTCAGTGGGAAGGGGAGCTGAACAGGGGATGGGCAGGTAGGTAGTCTTCCCCTTGAATCCAGCTGTCTCTGGCTGGATTCTTCTCCGAAGTTACGCCGTCAAGCTGTCCCTCCAAAGTCAAGCTGCTTCTCTCTGACATTCATCTGTAGTCCCACCTACCAGCTAAGTCTGGGGTTTTTATGGGCACAGGATGGGGTGGGGCATGGTTATAGGTAGTTTAGGAAAGGCAACATTTTAGCGGGTAAAGAGGGATACAAGTTCTCACTTTGGGCCATGGTTTCAGGCTTTTCAGCTTGAGGGTGGGGTTTTGCTGGGGAATCACCCTTTTCTGCCTAGAATTTCTCTGGCTTCTGTTCATATCAGTAGGATCTGCTCCAACATGAGGATAGTAGGAGGAGTTATGAGTCAAATATGATGTCAGTGTTTTGGGGCTGGACAAGCAAAATGGTGATGCTCTTGATAGAAAAATGAAACTCCATCAGTGGAGAGGATAGGTGGCGGGGAGCACGGTCAGCTGAGTGTGGTGTTGGGCAGCTTGTGCGTGTGCTGAATAGGTGCTGATATACCAAGTCTGGCCTTTTAAAGACAGACCCGGGCTTCAGAAGTACATTTCTGAATCTTCAAATAGCTCTACATGAGGTTAAACAGCCCCTCATTCAAACACATTTGGACATTCCTCTACGATTGCCTCAAATATTATTGCCTAAACCCCAACATATGTTGGGAATTTGGATGGGGAAGGATGTAGAACAGATTGCTTTGAGACAGAAAATAATGCAAAAAGATGAAGGGAAGTGAATACACAGTAAAAATATGTTAGACACCAAAGATTAGCTTCACTTACACTGCAGTTTTTGTGGGCACTTTGACACTTAGAACTCACCTGGCTGTTGCTGTACAGCAAGAGACCATGTGAACTGAAGCATTGGTTAGACCTATACATTTCTACAAACCGCTCTAGCCCTAGTTGAACTTGGGAAAATAAATATCTGTATGAAAAAGTTGTCTAGATCTGTTACACAATTACTATCTTGTTTAATTGTAGAATGCATGAAATTGGTTGTAAAATGGCCTGGTTAAGAGTCTCATGTCAGGGCCAGGCATAGTGGCTCATGCCTGTCATCCCAGCACTTTGAGAGGCTGAGATGGGAGGATGAGATGGGAGAGGCTGAGATGGGAGGCCAGGAGTTCAAGACCAGCCCAGGCAACAAGGCAAGACCCCAGCTCTACAAAAAAAAAATGAAAAGATTTGCTGAGTGTGATGGTGTATATCTGTACTCCCAGCTACTCAAGAGGCTGAGGTGGGAGGGTCCCTTGAATCCAGGCAGTCAAGGCTGCAGTGAGCCATAATCACACCACGGCACTCCAGCCTGGGCAATGGAGAGAGACCCTGTCTCTAAAAAAAATAAAAAATAAAATAAAGTTATCCCAAATTAATTAATAGGATCCTTGTTCCGTTTTGCACACGATTTATTTGCAGTTTCCTGACAGGGATGTGACTCAGTTTGCATCTGGGAGAGCACATCGGTGTTTACCGGGTTTCCCTAAGCTCATCAGGCAGCACCACCTCTCCACGGGCACTGTGCCCGCTCACCTCCCACGCTGCATGAGCAACAGGCTGGCCAGTGCCCACCGTTACCATCAGCAGCCACGACGAATCCATCACTCAAGTTCTGAAACTGATGAGACGGGAGCTCCCTCCTTCAGCACAAAAGCCACTGCATAGCTCACACAGAGAACAAAGGCAAAAACCAAAACCCCTTCAGTACTAGAATCTAATGACCATAACACAAACAGTCAGCATGTAGGAAAGAAAAAACTTGAGTGGTAAATATAGGAGAAAACACATTCATTCCATCTTCAAAATTTGGGGGGGAGTGTGGATCTAATATAAATCCTAAGAACTCAGACACAGTCGATTGAGAACAGAGCAATTCCCTTTTCCCTCGTTTTAAAGAATCATGTACATAAAAGGTTTGAACACTTTGAACTTTGAATAAGTTTGAACACTTCATGCCTTTTGGCCACTAGCATGCTGTTATTTTATGTCGCAAGACGAGCAACAATGAGGCATCCACAGCTCCCAGGCGTCAAGACTGAAGGACACTCTGCCTCTCCCTTAGGGTTTGAGATCTCTGAGTCAGGGAACACTGAGTGAAAGCAAAGCTGAAATATTACTGGGGATCTTCAGTCTTGGGGAAAAGAGTTATAGGTGTTGGATTAACATCGAGTGAAAGCAAGCTGAAATATTACTGGGGATCTTCAACCTTGGGAAAAAGAGTTATAGGTGTTGGATTAACAACATTCGGAGGCCTGGTTCCCTTCATTTTACAGATGAGGAAACCGAGGCCAAAAACTTCAAGTGACTTTGTCCCTCTCCTTAACATACTTACCAATGTAGCCAGAAAGGCAATGCAGGCTGGTCCACAGAGTGAGTCACCTTAGTCAATTACAGCTGAACTCCTTGTTCCACTCTTTCTTCCTTCTCACTACTGCACTTGACTAGTCTTAAAAAAAAAAAAGGCAATGCATATAAAAAGTTAAATTAAATGGCAGTAATATCAGAAATGTTGCAAGACAGCCTAGATTCAATGTCAGATGAAGGGCACATGCAGTGAGCCTACAGTAATGCAGAGATGTGGGTGACGGGGCAGGTGAGGAGATGGGAGGATCTTGAACTCAACTTCAAAAAGCAAATGAGTGGAGTTTGCTAACAGAGGACAGGATCTACAGATGGCCACAGGCATTAAAGGGAAGTTTGTGTTAGGGAAGGGTAGGTTAATTTTTCTGCCTTATCATAGGAATATATTGTTTTAAATGTAGGGGTAGACATGTATGCTATAATTTATATGTCTTTTTCATTTCATTTTAAAAGTAACAAAAACACATTTAAAAAGTAACAACATGTATTACCAACACTTGGAAAATTGGCAGAGAAAGTCACCAATAATTATTCCTACCCTAATAAAAAAGATTAGTCTTTGTATGAAACCTGCCATTTAGTGTCAACAAAATGTAAGTTTCTTTATTTCTTTATTGTAACTTTAGTTTCCTTTTACTAAAAAAAAAAAAAAAAAAAAGATTTGGCCAGCACAGCGGCTCATGCCTATAATCCCAGCACTTTGGGAGGCCAAGGCGGGAGTTCAAGACCAGCCTGGCCAATATGGCAAAACCCCATCTCTACTAAAAAATACAAAAGTTAGCTGGGTGTGGTGGTGCATGCCTGTAATCCCAGCTACCTGGGAGGTTGAGGCAGGGAGAATCGCTTGAACCCGAGAGGCGGAGGTTGCAGTGAGCAGAGATCCCGCCACTGCACTCCAGCCTGGGCAACAGAGCGAGACTCCGTCTCAAAAAAAGAGAAAAGGTTGAAGAGTTCTCTGGTTCACAAGAACTGAATTGAAATTTTTTGAGGGACACATACAGTCATACCCACGTAGAAATAGATATAAAGATTGGAGATCCAGAAATAATATTCTAATGCAGATTTTAAAAGATAGTAGTAGATTATAAAAGTCATGATAAAAATAACATGAAACTCTCTAGAAAACACTTTATTTGGATCTTGGAAAGGCGCTCCACGTTTCAGAGCCACCTTTTGTGGGCCTTTTCCCCCTTGCCTTAATGATTTGAAGGTTATCAAAACCACATGTTTCTTCCCCCTTTCCTTTTTGATTAGCATGACCAAGAAAGCACTGGGAAGGGGTAAAATGGAGGCAGGCATCACGGAGGGCGGAAAGAAGGGCTAAGATAATTCCAGGAAAAACTAAAAATAGCTCATTAGCCTTATGCCAAATGTATATGAAGTCATTTACTTTTTATAAGGTTCATCCAGCTGAATAAAGTGATTTCATTTTTGAATGCTCCTGTGATTATAACTAAAAGGTGACTCATCCAATCTGATGGCTCATAATTCCTCTTGAGACTAAACATTCAGAATCAGCATGAACAAAAAATTAATGAAGACACAAAGGGTGGTTCTGATGATGGTTTGATCCTTGCAAAGTTAAACAAACGCTGGTTGTGCTCCCTGTCTTTATCTATTACATGTACCTGTGACAATATAGTTTCTTGACCACATTTATTTATCGTGAGTTATTATGTAGTGACAGATATTAACTTAAGGAATGACATGCTTAATATGTTTGCCACAATTCCATACATTGATGAGGATGCTGCTTTTCTGACTAAGGAGAATTTTTGTTCATCTAAGAACATCTCCCCTGGAGAGTGAGAGCCCAAGTCGGCTCTGCCTTAAATTCATGATCTGATTTTATGAGGGTCACCCAGAACCCACTGTGCCCTTAACACTGAAGCCTAGGAGAAGCCTGGGCTCCTTCAAGGGGAAGAAAGATGGGCCTGACCATCCTATGGTGGGTGATAACAATAAAGTGCTCAGGGATGTTTGTGAGAAACACAGAGAAATACTGATAAGGTTTGGCTGTGTCCCCACCCAAATCTCATCTTGAATTGTAGCTCCCATAATCCCACGTGTCATGGGAGGGATCCGGTGGGAGGTAAGTGACTCATGGGGTGCGTCTTTCTCGTGCTGTTCTTGTGGTAGTGAATAAGTCTCATGAGATCTGATGGTTTTATAAATGGGAATTCCCCTGCACAAGCTCTCTTGCCTGCTGTCATGTAAGATGCCCTTTGCCTTCTGCCATGATTGTGAGGCCTCCCCAGCCATGTGGAACTGTGAGTCAATTAAATCTCTTTCCTTTATAAATTACCCAGTCTTGGGTATGTCTTTATTAGGAACATGAGAACAAACAAATACAACTACCACCACGGAATTGTGAGAACAAGCATCAAAAGCAGCAGCTGTCCTATTGAAATAAATTTATGTGCCTTGTACCCATGATAAAAAAAAAAAACAAAGATGTTTATGACATTTGTCTTAGAGTAATTATAGTATACATGAGCATTTCCAATATTGCTCATTACAGGGTGTACTGTACCTGATTAATCCTGATTATGACAGACTCACACTCAAATTCTGGTCAATAACTAAGTTATGTGTTATAAACTGTTGCAATCCTTTATGTCCTTAGATCCAAGAAAGACATTATAGTACAAAAACTCTGAAGCCAAACTGCCTGCATTCCCAAGCTTCACTCACTACTTAATAGCTGTGTGACCTTGTACCTTCCCTGTGGTTTGGCGTTTCTTTGCAGTAAAATAAGATAACAATAGTATTTAGCTTGTTTGGTTGTTGTGAGGCCTCAGGTCAATTAATATATGTGTAATATGTAATATATATGTAACACATATGTAATTAATATACATGTAATATCTGTAAATATTCTTAGATCAGTTTTTGGCACATAGAAAATACTTTTTAAGTAGGAGCTATATCATTTAAATTATCTGCCAAGCAGTTAATTCACAAGAAAAGCATTAAGAAACATGTACATACGTGTTTATGACAGAACTCTCCAATATAGCAAAAATCTAGAAGCAACCCAAATGCCCCTGAACAGGAAGTGGATGTACAAAATGTGGTATTTTGACAAAATTAAATATTATATAGGAGACCAAGTGAACACACTACAGGGATAACCAACAATATAGATGAATCTTAGCAATGTAATTATATGCAGCATTATATCATTATAAAGATTAAAACAACTAAAATAAATGTGCTTTTAGAAGACATATAAATACAATGAAATTATATGAACAGGAAAGGAAGAGAATGATAAGCATGGAATTCAGAATGATGGCTACTCAAATGCATGGAGCTGAGGGATGTTATAACAGCAGAAGTCATCTGGATAGACACAGGTCCTTACGAAGGTCTATCTTTGGCTTTAGATGGTTGGTGTGTAGATGTTTAGTGACAGAAGGAAGGAAAGGAGGGAGGGGGATGTACATGACCTTGTCATGCACCAAGGATTGTGGTTTATCCATTTGTGTATACTTGAGACACAACCCCCAAAGTAACAATAATCATTCTCCATTGCTACAATCAATATCACTTATGTTATATTACAACTAACTAAAAGAGAAAAGAGTCAAGGGTTTGTTTGCTTGCTGTTTGTGGATCTGATTTTGGTTGGGATATGAAGTGGTAAGATATATACAAACAGCCCATGTACTGAGAATTTTTCTAAAATGAATATTTGTATTAGTCTTCTCTTGGAAAAACAAAAATCACAAGTCACATTCATGTTTAGGGTTCAATAGTAAAAATGCTTTTGTTTAAAATGTATGATATAATTTGGTGATTTAGAATTGATTGATTAAATCAACGTGGCAAGCATAATATTTTCATGATACTGTTGGTATTCAGGAAACCTAAATAACTTCTTAAAATACACTTCAGACTCAAACAAAATCATCCTGCCAATTGCCAAAATATCAGCTCAATTATCTTTGCCATTTTCCAGGGATTTTCAGGAATGAGTGTGGATTTGTTAGCCTGACACCTCTAAATCATCTAGAGATTCCTCAAGTGACATATGCTGGAAGACAATGTAAACTGGTGTCTAGGGACACCATTACATTCAAGATGTCCAATAGCAACTCAGAAGAAAGGCCCTCAATAGACTAGAAGAGCCAAGGGGTGGACTGTAATGGCAAATGAGGGGAATCCTCAAGCCCCTTTGTCTAACTCTCCCTGACAAACCACTTCACGATGGGAGTCATTCCATCATGTCTGTAAATGAGGACATCTTCTTTCTATAAATATTCACTGGGTAAATAATATGTACCAGATATTGTTAGAGGCTGAGTGTATAGCAGTGAAAAAACGGAAAACCCCCATTCATGTTTGCATATAGAACATATCAATATTAAACTTTAAGGAATTTTTTTTTATTTTTGATTTTATATATATTTTTTGAGATGGAGTCTTGCTCTGTCGCCAGGCTGGAGTACAGTGGCGCGACCTTGGCTCACTGCAACTTCCACTTTCTCGGTTCAAGCGATTCTCCTGCCTCAGCCTCCCAAGTAGCTGGGACTACAGGTGCGCACCACCACACCCAGCTAATTTTTGTATTTTTAGTAGAGACGGGGTTTCACCATGTTGGCCAGGATGGTCTTGATCTCTAAGAAATTTTTTTAACGAACAGGTCCAGTGTTTACATAATCCATCTGAAAAAATGTACTCCTAAAATGTTTTTGATAAAACAAAGAGAGGATTGGAAAATAAAATCTGGACAAAAGTGATATTATGATTCCTTTGAGGCTTTAATATCGACCAACTTCTGGGTAGTCCTGTACTGAACTAGGAAGATAAAATCCACAAACTCGTGGCCTTTGAGACAACTGGGTGGGGAACACAACAGCATGTGTACGTGTGCCTGTGCATGGGCACATGTGTTTGTGTATGTGCACATGTGCATGCACACACTGCTTTTTCTCTCACGTTTATCTGCCATGCTGCCCCTACCTGTGTGACACTGGAACATCATCATCCATTTCGGATCCATTGCTGTTATGGGAAAGTGAAGCAACAGTATAACTCCTGCACCGCATGAGCTGGTCAGAGACTCCCATCTGCCCACTCTGTGTTAACCTGTGCCTAACCTATATCTGACCTGTGCAAAATCAAAAGGACTAGAAATGCTTATCTTTCATGCCCAAGTCTCTTGGGCAAATGAACTGTGGGACTGAGATAGAAGCATGCTGCCCTTCCCAGAGCTGAATGTTTCTTGTCTTATTTCTCAAAACATGGAGAGTTGAGGGAGAGGGAACATCCAGGGTAATTTGTGGAGTAGAATGGGCTCTCAAACTTTTTGATTAATGAATTGAATAATGAATGAATGGGCCAGGTGCGGTGGCTCACGCCTGTAATCCCAGCACTTTGGGAGGCCGAGGGGGGTGGATCACCTGAGGTCAGGAACTCGAGACTAGCCTAGCCAACATGGTGAAACCCCATCTCTACTAAAAGTGCAAAAATTAGCCAGGTGTGATGGTGCATGCCTGCGATCCCAGCTGCTCAGGAGGCTGAGGCAGGAGAAGAGCTTGAACCTGGGAGGCAGAGGTTGCAGTGAGCCGAGATCACGCCACTGCACTCCAGCCTGGGCGACAGAGTGAGACTCTGTTTCAAAAAAATAAATAAATAAAATTGTAAAAAATAATGAATGAATGATAGCATTCTCTGAGGTGAGGAATACTGGAAAAATGGGGTGAGGTTTGGGGAGAAGCGAATATCCTGACTCCAACATGAAATGGGAAATAAATATGAATTATGTCTGAATCGTAACTTAGACATACCAATTTAGAAATTGAGGTAATTCAGTGAGAGTCTAGGCTGTCTTTACTTTTGATAATATTAAAAGCTAGATTCTTAAGCAAAGTGCTAGCATACTTATACTACACAAAATAAACCTTTTTAGAAGCATTCATTCCATATGAATTGATGTTAGAAGTACAAATCATTCTTATGTATTCATTAAACTAGGACCCTGGAGGATTTATTTTAGGTGTTATTGCCTTGACCTAGAGTTAATCTGTATTTTTGAAGGAAAATACGTTGCCTTTTTTCACAAGCACTTTATAACTCACTTCTCCCTAATTCAGATTGCTTTTCTTAATCATTTGAAGTTAATGATACAATTATCACATAGTAGCCTTACAAATAGCCATAATATTAAATCATAATTTATGTAAAGTAAACATCCAAATTCCAAAACATCTGAACATGGGAACAGGCTGATTGAAGTTTTTGTGGGTCATAGGACCTTGGCAATTGTTTGTGAGCCTGATGCCGACATTTCTCAACAGTAATCAAAGCACAGAACAACAACCATCCACATGAAAAATAACTCAAATTGTCATTGTACTTCCCATGCTATTGTCATTTAGCAAGTTATGGCATGACTGATTCAGCCAGTAAGAAAAATGTGATGAGAATATTGGCTAGGAGTACAGTCTGCTTAGATCTTTTAGTTTTTTTTCCTTCAAAAGCCAATAGACTTTTACTCTTTAAAATAGGAGCTATGCAAAAACGTAATATTTGGAATGCCAAGCTGCCTCCATGATTGAGATACCTGTTTTGAAGTTCTCCTCTACTGTAAATTCTAACAGAATAAAAAAAGAATCAATGATTCTTGTTACCTCCAATGTACCTACCACACTACTCATGAAAAAAGCTTTAAAAATTAATGAAAATTGATGGACTGAAGTTCTGTCTGTTTCTTCTGGTGCAGATTTATAAAATGGATTCTATTTTAGGAACGATCAAATTCTAAAATTGAGAAGCTCAAGGGTAGGGCACTGGAGATAATATAGAAAGACATGTAATATATAAACAATTCTCTAGATCTTATATCTGGAGTTAAGTAAAGCAGACAACAAAGAGGGAGACAGCTTGGTTGTCAGGATGGTGGCTTGGACATGTGTTAATATGTACCCCATCTCATCATGATGCTATCAGAAGCACGGGTCTTTAACCATCTCCTTTTTCTGAATTTTAATATGTGAATGAGTCATTAAATATTGGCTTCCAGTTAGTTTCTGCTTGATATGTACAATCATGACAGTAGCATAGTGGTTTGCACATTAAAGGTCAACAAATGTTTGTTGGTTGAATATACCTTTCCTAGATTTAGCAAAATTTCAAACCATAAAAGTCCCTTATGTGCTTTTATATTTTAAATCAAGTCTTTCATGTTATAAACTTTAAAACTCAGGCTCATCGAAGTGAAGTGATTTGCCCAAGCATACCTTCCCACACAAGGCTTAACACCGACTCCCACTTTAGTACAATAAAAAAAAAAAAAGTCATGTAACATTAAGAGCACATACCTGGAAGTCCCCTAAAACATAGGTTGTTGAACTCTGACTCTGCCACTTCCTCGCTATTGATGTGTGCTATGGTCTGGATATTTGATTCCTCCAAATCTCATGTTGAAATTCGATCCCCAATTGGAGATGGGGCTTAATGGGAGGTGTTTGAGTCTTGGGACCAGATACTTCATGAATAGATTAGTGTCCTCCCTGGCAGAGGGAGAGTGAGTGAGTTCTTGCTCTATTCATTCCTGGGGGAGCTCCCTTGAGAGCTGATTGTTGAAAAGAGCCTGGCACCTTCCTGCTCTCTCTTGCTTCTGCTCTCGCCATGGGATCTCTGCACGCCGGCTCCCTTTAACCTTCTCCCCTCCACCAGGAGTGGAAGCATCATGAGGCCTCTCTAAAACCCAAGCAAATGTCAGTGCCATGCGTCCCGTGCAGGCTGCAGAACCGAGAGCCAAATAACCCTCTTTTCTGTATAGATTACCCAGCCTCAGGTATTCCTTTATAGCAACACATTGACTTAGACAAGGTATGTAGATATATACTTCTAAAGTGGCTTCTCCCACAAAAAAGAAATTTGCGGCCCAGCACAGTGGCTCACACCTGTAATCCTAGCACTTTGGGAGGCCGAGGTGGGTGGATCAGGAGGTCAGGAGATCTAGACCATCCTGGCCAACATGGTGAAACCCCGTCTCTACTAAAATACAAAAAATTAGCTGGGCGTGCTGGCACGTGCCTGTAGTCCCAGCTACTCAGGAGGCTGAGGCAGGGGAATCACTTGAACCTGGGAGACAGAGGTTGCAGTGAGCTGAGATCACGCCACTTGCACTCCAGCCTGGCAACAGAGCAAGACTCCGTCTAAAAAAAAAAAAAAGAAAGAAATTTGCTAACTTTTTGGCCCATCCATTATTGTTTGCCCTCTCCCAATATGAGTGACATTTTCTTACCCTCTGCTCTGTGTTAGGAATGGCAGACAGCCAACATCCCAATAATAATAGTTCATGTTAACATTTTCTATGTACTATAGAAAAGCGATCACTCCACTCAAACATAATTAACTAGAATCAATGTAAATGCATGTGGTCCCAGCGTGGGTTCTGGATTTCCTTTACCAAATGCTGCAGCACAGATGACAAAGTGCTTTTACGCTCCATTATAAAAGAAGAAATGGAAATGAAGTCAGTAGGTATCAGATCAGAAGTCAGTGGGTATCTCTGTCCATGAAGATGTCCACACAGACATTCTCTACCTGTGGACCTGAAGGAGAACAGGCTGAGTCCCAGGGTAGAGTCGATGCGAACAAGAGGCCCAGGTTGGATCTGTAAGGTGATCCATGGCCCTGAGCATCATGGCAGACTACCCTGGAGCTAAAACCAGGCTGCCCTGAAAGAGTTCGTGTAGTTGGGAAGTCAAAAGGAAATTTTTCTGCTTTTCCAAGAGTGGCAAAAGTCCAAGATAAAAGAAAGAGTGTTGAGAGTTTATTTCTGTAGATAAAAGGGGGAGAAATGGCTAATAAAGATCAGACTGAGTAGGATTTCACTACATATGTTAAAATATGCCAACTAACAATCTCAAAAAGTGTTCTGATCATTTCTACCTTTAGCCAGTACGTCAAATAAGTTAGAGTATTATGAAACAACAAAAACTTTGTTCAAATAAGCTTCACTGTTCTCCACTGTGTAACTGTGGAATATAAATTTGTATTTGTATGTTGTTTTTCTTGCCTATTTTTGGTGGATTGAGTGAAAGTTTTAGCTTTAAATAGTGGCAGAGCATGAAGGACTATATTAGGTATGAAAAATGAAGAATGCTGGGAACATATGTGGGGGGTAAGAACTAGAAGTGAGGTCATCTGAGTTGGCATTTTGCTGAACAAAAGGGCAATAGACACCACATCCCATTTTGTTGTACAGTTCTGAAGTCTTAAACCCCTTATTTCTAGGATGGACTTGTTTTCATTCTTTCTGATGACAATTGTGAACCAGATGGTTAAAAACCCAGCACTGAGAAACAGTCTTATTTAGATATTATGTTTCTTAAATTCAGGTACATCTTGAGGGAATATTGAAGCTTCTAGCTGCAACTGTTATTTATACATCTTCTTGTCAATTTAAAGCATAAATTTGGTATATTTAAGAGCATTAACCCTAAGGGCCACTGGGATGAGTTCCACGAGATGAAAGAAAAAAATAAACCTCAAGTACATGTCAGTAACTTTTCCTGTTGCTGCTGGTAGTCACCTGGAAACTCACCATAGTGTCTCTACCATATCGTTCTGTGACCCTCCCCCCACCCAGCACAGCCTCCAAAGCCTGCCTAGAGACTCAAGTTCATGCCAGCCTGACTCACGCACAGACTCATGTGGACACTTTAAAAGTGAGGCAGCTGGAGCCCAATCTTCCTTGATTCATGAAACCACTGTTCATTTAGACATTGATTTAATTATATTTTTCAACAATTGCATTAAAGCCCTTAGACTTATTCCATATAAATTTTTGAAAAGCCAGTCTCTTCAACCTAATCATGAAATTTAGTTTAGCCAAATTTAATTCAGCCTGTCAAGATCATCTTTCTACTTATTACCTATTCCCCTCTCGTGTGTATGCCTTCTGCAGAATCAATAAACACACCACTTTGTTTTTCCCTAAAATAAAAATGTTGCAGACACAGTCGGAACAGGGTACTCCTCAAATTGAGTACCTTTTATTCACCTATGATTCTGCTTAACACTTGTACATTTAGTACATAGAGAAATGTAAAGAATTTTTTCAAATGTCTGAATAACAATGGAGCAGCAGTATATAAATATTAATAATACATTTCTGAATAATACATTTCCATTAAAATGGAAGATATCTGTCTTTATTGTCTACTTTTATTAGATCCCAAAGAATAATGTAATAAACTATCCACTGTTCAACACAAATATCAAAAGTTTCCAACTTTTAATGCATTCAAAATTTCTTCAGATGATATTTTTCCTCCATTGGCTTATTATTTTCTCGTTCAAATTTTCTAAAATGAATCAAACTGCCTTAAGATGTACAATTTAAGATACATTCTGGCCAGGCATGGAGGCTCACACCCATAATCCCAGCACTTTGGGAGACCAAGGCGGGCAGATTACCTGAGGTCAAGAGTTCGAGACCAGTGTGGCCAACATGGTGAAACCCCATTTCTACTAAAAATACTACAATTAGCCTGGCATGATGGCACACACCGGTAACCCCAGCTACTCTGCAGGATGAGGCAGGAGAATTGCTCGAACCTGGGAGGTGGAGGCTGCGGTGAGCCGAGATTGCACCACTGCACTCCACCCTGGCCAACAGAGCGAGACTCTGTCTCAAAAAAAAAAAAAAAAAAAAGGTACATTTCATTCTGGATAAACTTTGTAAGTAATGTATTACTTAAATTTTAAGACTATAAGATCAAATTAGAGCAAATTTTCCCCTGCCCCAAAATTTAAATTCCACATAGCAAGTGGGATTTCACCATTGCATATCTGAGACACATATAAACATGAATTTGTAATAATTCTGACAGTATATTCTGTCAAAAATTCTGACAAACCTTGACATTGCTAAAGTATATAAATGTTATTTCAGGTGCTCAGGAAACAGGTGTATTCAATCAGAAGAAAAGTGTGGCTTTTTAAGAACAGTGAATTAACAATAAGCAGGCTTATTTCACTGTAATACTTTCACCACGTAACATTACCATGAAAATAATTTAAAATAGATATACTTACTAACTGAAAATTCTAAGGATTTCAGAAAAAAAAAATCAATGGCTATTGGTCTAGGCTTAGACCAAGGAGGTCTAATATGCTTTGGGTTTAGTAGACCTGATTAACACTTTCCATTTGGACTTGTGCTGTGATTGGGCAAAAGGAATCCTTGTCATAATCAACCACTGTTTTCCTATTAGTCTTAGAGGAAGAAACATATGGTTCTATGTTAACAGTTCTTATTTTATTTATCAAACAGTTTTGCCTTCTACCACACCGTCTTCTCATATTTTGTTCTTTTCCCTAACCCCTGCCTCATATGATTCAGTACTTAATTAAGCAGGGTACTGTAATATTTTAAAGGGAAAGAGCTTGATTTCCTATGTTGTTTTTCTGTTTTGTGTTTTGTTTTGTTTTGTTTCATTTTTTTGAGATGGAGTCTTGCTCTGTCACCCAGGCTGGAGTGCAATGGTGCGATCTCGGCTCACTGCAACCTTCGACTCACTGCAACCTCCACCTCCCAGCTTCAAGCCATTCTCCTGCCTCAGCCTCCCACGTAGCTGGGACTACAGGCATGTGCCACCATGCCCGGCTAATTTTTGAATTTTAGTAGAGGCAGGGGTTTCGTCATGTTGGCCAGGCTGGTCTCGAACTCCTGACCTCAAGTGACCCTCCTGCCTCGGCCTCCCAAAGTGCTGGGATTACAGGCGTGAGCCACTGCGCCTGGCCAAGATCTTGATTTCAAATGACGTTTTAAGATTCCTTAAAGGAGGATGCCTATTATTTGCTAGGAGTCAGGAGAGATGAACTACTTTTGAGTATCTGCTTGGGGCATCCATTTATCTTATCCTCAAATGTCTAACCCTAAAAATGAGTTGGTTGATCTCAATCCCTACCAGAGCCTTTGATGCTTGCTTCTACTTAAAGTCTAAGTATGAGACATGCAAAACTAGACTAGATTACATAATTCTTTTGATATCAGATGATTTTTATATTTCAATATATAAAAATTAAAACGGAAGATTTTAAAATTAAAAGCAGTGAGAAACTTAGCAAAGCATAAAATTTTAAAAAATGGTTCTTTAAAAAGATCAAGGCTTTTCTCCTCAAAATAGAAATGTGTGCTTCTCAGTACAAGGTGGGAAATCAGAGGCACTTTCCCTTATTGAATTAAGCAGGAGTAGGCTGCCATCAGGATGTTATCACTCTGCAATTTGTCACACAATTTGTTATGTGACATTTTATAGACATCTCTTTCCATTCAGCCATCGCTTTCGGCTATCAGCTGTCAAAGGGAAAGAGAATGATTTTTTTAAAAAAGCTAATCGTCAAAACCTTTATAGTGTCACTTTCCCTTAGATCCAGTAGCATTGTCTATAGCTGGGCTAGAAGGCAAGGGTTTGATTCAACTATTTTCTTAGGTTTTCTCTTGTTCATGGCAATGTGTGGGGGGGAAAATCTTAGCTAAATAAAGGATCTTTTTAAGGAAGAAAGAAAGCTGCCTGGAAAGTAGAATTCCTTTTCAATTCCAACATGTTGCTAAGCTGGGTGTGGGACAATTGGGAGACGGGAAAATCCATAGAAATCAGTCTAATAAACCATATGGCTTGCTTCAATCTAAAGCAATACAATAATGCCCCATGTATTTTCAGGAAAGTCTAGATTATCTTCTTAAGACTCAATCAAAGGTAAAGATCTGCTTCAAAATATTTGAAATATTAGTGAATGGGAATAATGCCAGTTTGCCAGATTGGGGATGCTTTGCTGTCTAGCGGGGGAGTCGATGATAATGACATTGGTATAAATTGTTCGGATGCATAGAAATGGGCAGAACTGGGATTTGAGTCAAGCTTTGCCTATTTCTTGACCCATTCTTCCAACGCTATTCAGTTTGCCTATACATGTGTTATAGGGATATTCTAATTAATTCCTCACATGTCTCTTTGATAAGGTGCCTGACTTATGAGATCCTCAGTCAGAATCTGAATTATTTTCATTAGAAATTTTTTTGGCTTTTGATTTGCACATTATAAGCCAATGGAATTCTCCTAATACTGTACTATCAAGTTGAACAAATGACTTAGTCTTAGAAAAAAGATGCACTTGAAAATACTTAGATGTTGTTCCGTAATGATCCCTAAGATTACAATATAAAACTAAGGAACTCCATGAAAGTAGGGTGGCTAGGCACAGTGACTCACACCTGTAATCCTAGCACTTTGGGAGGCCGAGGCGGGTGGATCACTTGAGGTCAGGAGTTCGAGACCAGCCTGGCCAACATGGTGAAACCCTGTCTCTACTAAAAATACGGCATGGTGGTGCATGCCTGTAATCCCAGCTACTCGGGAGGCTGAGGCAGGAGAATCACTTGACCCCGGGAGGCAGAGGTTGCAGTGGGCAAGATCGCATCATTGCACTCCAGCCTGGGCAACAGAGTGAGATTCCACCTAAAGAAAAAAAAGAAAGTAAGGTGCTGGACCAATGTTAAGTCACATGACCATTTAAAGCAAATAGTGAAATGAGTGATTCACCAACTTTGAGACCTTGGAATAACATCAGAAGGAATCATTTACCAGGTGATCAACTTCTAATCAGTAAAGTCTTTAGGGAAAATTGATAAGTATTTTGAACAGCTTACATTGTAAAGTCTCAAAAGGAAAATTGCTAGTTTCCTTGGAAGACATATAGTGCTCTTTTTTCAGGAAATTTTTCCAAATATCAGGACATTTGGTCTAATTAAAACTAACACTCCGCGTATTCTCATAAAAAATTATCAACGGCCTCATGTTCATTTATTTCTTTATTATTTGTGGTAATAATGTCTCCTTATTCCTAGAAATGATGTTGAATGTGTTCTGGCCTCAGCATAGATAAATAGATGCCGCGGGTAATTCGGCTCCTGAATAATAAGGAACATTTTCAGGCACTGTTAGCACAGGAGTTCTGGGAGGTACTTGGTGTTCTTATGAGCATGGACAGTCATGCCGCTACTGTTGACTTGTGTGCCACCCACTCAGGCAGAGGAGTCTCTGAGCCAATTTAGAGAAACTAGTCAGAAGAGAGTTTCTAAACTCACAAAACAAACTACTTGGAGTTTTCATGTGACTATTTCAAAGCAGCATGTTGACATATAGGAAAGATAGGTGAAGATAAATGTCAACCTGAATTAAGTCATTTGACTATAATAGAAAAGTGAAATCACTTGGCATTTATGAATACTTCTTATTTTACCACAGTCAGAGATAGAGAGAGATGCATTAATACATTGATCACTTAGGGCAGTTTATCCAAAGAGAGTGCTACAAATGATCCCATTTCAAAATAAATAAGTAAATTCAAGTTAAAATCTGGTGCATAACCTTAATATGATTGTATTTTTATGTTCATGTTTAAAATACATCTCTTTAAAAAAAAAAACTAACATCCTGCAATGTTTTCCTACTACTTAAACATCAATATGTCCTTTTTTGAATAATATATGAACTGTGAATATGTTAATTTCAAAATAACAGTAGCAATGTATTGGCTTAAGGTTCGTCTGTGGAAAATCTTTTGGGCAACTCCTCCCATTAACTGAGCTAAAATTCAGTCCTGTAGTTTCATACATGGTCTTGGTGCTTAAATTCAGGTCTACAAAAATAAAATGACCTACATAGAATTCTTAGCCAAAACTGGGGAAAGGATTTTGTCTCTGCTGCTCTTCAGAATGGGATGCCTGATAATCAAAACAATTCAAGCAGAATTATGAGACAACAGGCACAAAGGCATGTTCATGCCCATGCAGGATCAAACTCCTTAGGATCCTCTTTCAAAAGTTAAATTACCCATTCTATTCTCTTATACGTATTGAGAACACAGCCTGCTCTGATTCCGAGAAAAATGAGATGTCTGATAATCCAAAGAAATTCAAGCAGAATTGGCCAGGCGTGGTGGCTCACATCTGTAATCCCAGCACTTTGGGAGGCTGAGGCGGGAGGATCACAAGGTCAGGAGTTTGAGACCAGCCTGACCAACATGGTAAAACCCCGTCTCTACTAAAAATACAAAAATTAGCCAGGCGTGATGGTGCACGCCTGTAATTCCAGCTACTCAGAAGGCTGAGGCAGGAGAATCCTTTGAACCCAGGAGGTGGAGGTTGTAGTGAGCCGAGATCATGCCACTGCCCTCTAGCCTGGGCGGCAGAGTGAGACTCCGTCTCAAAAAAAAGAAAAGAAAAGAAAGAAAAGGAAAAAGAAAAAGAAAAAAAAGAAATTCAAGCAAAATTAAAAGACTATAGACCCGAAGTCATGCTGTTTACAGCCCTTCCATGAACAATCAACACAATCTATTGCCATATGTATTTTGACAGTGGAGGCTACTCTAATCCATAAGTAAAACCAATCCATTGTTGTCACAAATTAGGACACATATGAAGTTGCTTTTTATATGAAACTTTGACAAAAGTAAACACAATCCCCTAGCACCTATTGAAAATCATGCTGACACCTTCATGTTCGGAGACTTCTTTGCTCCGTGGATTGTCTGCTAAGGCTCAAGGTAGTCTCCATGTTATGGTCAGTTCTCATAGTCTCGTCCCTGGTTCAATTCCAAGTTAAGAGAATACTTGAGATGCTGTTGTCTAGCAGCATGCAAAGACTCTAGGAATTTGATGCTTTCCAGAATAATCTGTGCTTGTTATGTAAGTACAATCAAGGACACTTTTTCAGAGCAGAACAAAAGAGATTAGATTCGCTTTAGTTTGAACTGTCTAAAGAGAGTTCTCAGTCGTGGATTTGTTAATGGACTTAGCACAAATAAGGGAAATAGAATCGTGCATTTTTATTAGTCACCCAAGAAGCCTTTCGGTTTCAGGTTCTTCTTGAGAGCTCAATCACTGGGATTCTTCTTTTAACGACTTGGAAAATGTCTTGCTTGATTAGGAAGTTAGTCATTTCACATTTTGACATCTAAAACAATGGGAAGTTAAAAAGCCTCACAAATTACATTTATAAGTAACAGGATACATCACTTTAAAGATGAAAACCTCAAGGATTTGTGGCGCCTTTCTTTGTTCTCGTTAATCCTATTTTACTTTTTGAGTGTTAGATATTCTGTAAATATCGGCATTTGAATTCAAACAATAGGTGTTGATAACTAGTTCTCTAACTTGGTACAAAAACATTATTATTGTCTGTCAGCAGATTTTGTATTCTGAGAGTTAACCTTCTGTATTTGATGTTTTCTTTGTCAATCACTATTATTCTAGCCCGAATACTGTCTTCCTCATTCCGTTTTAAAACCTTAAGCAGTTGTAAGCACAGCGTTGCCTGGTTTCAAAAGGAATGAAGAAGTCGAATTTGGGAAAGGTCCTCATAATCCTCATTTTCTGGAGGTTGTTTATCCCTTCTTGTTTTAGAAGTTGCCTCAGTCTCAGTCACAGACATCCCCTGAGGCTTTTCTTTTCCATTTATTTTGTCCATTTAAGGTTAACATATTAGGAGTTTTGCTACCAAGAGCTACCGAGAGATTAAACTAAATACGTTTGAAGGAGCTTTCCCAAAGCTCCTGTGCTGGCCGCTGCCCTCTTCCCTGACTTCATCGGTATCCCTCAATACAGGCGGTCTTAAGGCTACCAAGCTGAGTTTTTAGAAATACGCCACATTTTTTCTGTGTAATTCTGGAGAAGAACAAAACAAAAAAGTAAAACAGAAATGTGCCTGTTTAGTTGCATACACTGAAAAATAGGAGATAAAATTCACCATCATAAAATTTCCCTCAATCATTTTTCAGAGTCTGTTGGCCTATGAAATGCCCCAGTGAAGTTCCCCATAACCCTGTGGAAACTCAGTTCTAGCCTGGCCACGCTAAGCATGGCTCCTGCCCTGCTCCCTACACTGCAATGATGCCCAGGGCAGACGGACAACGATATGACACTGAACACAGACCACACAAAAATTAAACACCATATAGTAAGGATATCGTCTATATTGTTTTCAGCGTAGAGCTCTAAAAACATATACTGAGGTGATTATCAGTACTGTGATTTTACCTATTTTAAATGTTCATTAATTTAGCATTTATTGAGTCCTAAGGTATTAGTAATTCAATCTAGGCAAATATACGTGTGTGTGTGTATGTGTGCACATATACATGTGTATATAGCAAAACGAGGATTACACTATACATATATATCTATATATAAAATCTTGCTTTATAATTATATTTCATAGGACTTAAGTGTATTTTTAATGTTATTTTCTTTCATCATTTTCCCCCCACTGGGAGAGAAGTACCATTATATTTAGCTAATATTCACATTTTGATTTTATTATTATAATTTTTCATCAGTAATGAACAAAGCCAGGCTTTCCAAAAGAGGTGAACTCCAATAGCCACATTGAAAGAAAATAATAGTTGTGAGTTGAGCAGAGGAAATGGTCAGAAGGGAGAAGAGGGTGAGAACCTTGGCAGACAAAGGCAAGAAAGCCAGGAAGCTCATTTGCTGCTCTTTTTAGAGACTAAAAAATCTTTATTTATCAAAAGTCTTTCTTGACAGGTGATCATGCCAATGATTTCATTTCAAATTTATCCTCATTCATCCAAAAGGAATAAATAAAATTCTTGAAAATGTTCGGATGTTGCAGTACTGATGCGCCTGGAAGCTGTGAGTGTGTTGTGCTGTGCGGGGGGGTTCTTGTGGATACTCAACAACAGGCCCACTCAGGAGCAAAGGCCAAGTGGCCGGGGTCAGACAGCTCTTGCAGGGAGCTCTTGGACTTAGGAGATTTGCTACCTTATCAGCGTGTCTTTCCTCTTTGGTTTCAGGGTATGGGTAAATAAGAAACTCCATAAATGGGCTAAGAGAATATGCCAGAGAAAGAACTAAGTCATCTCACATGTCATAAAACGATACACAATATTTAAAACCTTTTTCTTTGGGAGGCCGAGGCGGGCGGATCACAAGGTCAGGAGATCGTAGCCATCCTGGCTAACATGGTGAAACCCTGTCTCTACTAAAAATGCAAAAAGAAATTATCCGAGCGTGGTGGCGGGTGCCTGTAGTCCCAGCTACTTGGGAGGCTGAGGCAGAAGAATGGCGTGAGCCCGGGAGGCAGAGCTTGCAGTGAGCCGAGATCGCACCACTGCACTCCAGCCTGGGCGACAGAGCGAGACTCATCTCAAAAAAAAAAACTTTTTTCTGAGACAACCCCTTTCTGCCAACCGTTTCTAGCGAATTAATCTCAATTGCTTTGCATCCAACATTTCACTGGGAAAAATCAGCATTCAATACTAATGCAGAGATGGATTTTGTAGTGACCATCTATTTCCTGTGTCTTTAAAAAAGAGAAAGATGAATCTCATCTTTCTTGACAGTGTCCTGAAAATATGCGTTACATTCATTACATATTCCCCGGTAGTCAACTGACCTGCACATGTAAGGCAATGATTTTAAAGTGCCAGGGTCACTTTTAAAACTCTGGAAGAGGACACTTAACAGGCAATCATTTCAGGCTTAGAGAACAAAAACCATTTGTATAAATATTTGTAAAAGAAATTTAATTTTTTAAAAGGAAAACTCAACCAGGCACGGTAGTTCACACCTGTAATCCCAGCACCTTGAGAGGCTGAGGTGGGAGGATGGCTTGAGCCCGGGAAATTAAGGCCACAGTGAACTACAATCACACCAACTGCACTCCAGCCTGGGTAACAGAGCACAACCCTCTCTCTAAAAAAGAAACAAACAGGCCGGGCACGGTGGCTCACGCCTGTAATCCCAGCACTCTGGGAGGCCGAATCAGGTGGATCACGACGTCAGGAGTTCAAGAGTAGCCTGACCAACATAGTGAAACCCCGTCTCTATTAAAAATAGAAAAAAATTAGCTGGGTGTGGTGGCATGTGCCTGTAATCCCAGCTACTTGGGAGGCTGAGGCAGGGGAATCGCTTGAACCCAGGAGGCAGAGATTGCAGTGAGCCAAGATCGCACCACTACACTGTGGCCTGGGCGACAGTGGCGGACTCTGTCTCAAAAAAAAAAAGAAAGAAAAAAAGAAAAACAAGCACAAAACGTCTCCATTTTCATCCATTAATGCTCACCATTAAACAAAAGCATAAAAACAGAATATGTCTGTTTTATGAGCATGGGACCAATAATTAAAGTTTAACATGAACAGAATTATAAATTCTTCCTACCTTATTAAACACTGATTTAAATAAGACTAATGATAATGTGATATTAACTTACAGGTACATCAAAAACAAAAATGCGACACACTTTCATGATATTTTCTTCCACATGCTAGTGAACAATTATGCACCATTTTTTTCCTACAGGAAAACTGAAGACTTTAATAACAAACTCTCCAAGGTGAAAATGAACACAGGTATGCTGTCTGTTAGTTTTAAACTCTTTTAGCCTTGCTCTCTAAAAATCATGTTGGCCCTAAATCATTAGTTTAGCACTCTTCTGATCCTAAATGTGATTCTGAGTTTCTGATTAGATACATAGCATAGATTCATTACTTTCTTTCTTTGTATTTGTGCCCCACTCTTATAGCCACCAAACATAGAATTTTCTCTTCTATTACTTGCTCCTACTCCCTTTTTCTCTAATCACATGTTAAAACTAACTCCTATAAACAATAGGAAGAGGTAGTATGTCGTTTGTTTGTGTACTTTTGAAATCTCTCACTTAAAAATAGGCTAAATTCAAAGGCAAGTTGCTCTAGAAGAAAATATTCAAACTTACCTGTTCTATAAACTCTTTATGTTGAAGAAGTCAGCAGATAGAGTGCCAAAGTTTTATACAAAATCAGCTTAATTAACCTATAGTCACAATTCCCATAGTGTTATAAGCATTATATGTGTAGATGTGAGAGTAGTATCTCCAAATAACTTAACAACTGTGTCTCTAAACTGTATTGTCTACATTTTAACTGTAAAAGTGTTCATGATACATGCTTTGTACATATGAACTTTTTTCCACAGTAGAAATAATTTGGCTTATAATTTTGCCTTCCCCCCACCTTGAAATATACAATACAAAGTAATTCAAGAAACAACTTTCTCGTTGAAATTTTGTAACTTGTGTTTAAACGATACCATTTCCTATCCACAAGTGATCACTGGAAAGTTGTTTGAGCCGTCGCGCCATGGCAGAGTAGAAAGGATGGCCCAAGATATTCTCTCATGTCCAGCTGGTTGCCTTTTTGAGGTCTCTTGTTGCATCAAGTGCTACAAGGAGGATTACCCAGCCACTGGCGAGGACCAATACCTAATCCCCAGGTCGAGTGCAGAGCCTTGCGTCATGTGCCATGTGCCGTAGTGGCCTCAGAGAAGGCTGTGCGGGCGGGCTCCTGGGGATGCAGTCACCTTGCAGACATGTGGACAACAGGCAAGATGAGGATACTGGAGACAGTCAAAACACACAAGGAAGGCTCAGCAATCAAGAGAAGTTATAACCCTGCATATGCACCACACAAAGGCAACTTGATGATTGGAGATGTCAGAAGTAGACATGGGGAATGAAGTAGAAAATATTAGCAGGTAAAGGAGACAGAAGAAAGCAAATAGAATGTAGAGCCCACAGCTGGACTAGCATCAGCCATGTTTTGGAGCTACAAAGTCACTCCAGCAGAAGTTCCACATGAGGAAGTGATATTTCCTGATCCTTCCAAGACATTTCCCTGTAGACTTAAGTGGATCATAACTCCCAGTATTCCTCATTTTACTGAGTGCTGATTTTCCTATTTATTATAACACTATTATGACAGGGATATGCATACATGATATACTGAATATGCTGTGTTGATGGGCAGTACACTCAATAATTAACCTTCCTATTCATATAATTCAATCCCTCATAGCAAAATAAGCACATACAAATTTGTAAATTTGTTTAAGTCACTAAGGTACTTGACCCAAGTTACTGCTTAGCAGCATAAATGTAACCTTCTAAAGCATCTTCTCATTTCTAAGGAGTAAGCTTGACTCTGGATGGGATGCAATTTGTATAGGATTATTTTGCTTATTTGGATGAACTTCCACTTAATGTATAATGATTGGAAAATATGGTATTCAAACATATGCATAAAATTGATCAAAAGTGACTGAAAACTTTTGCTCAAAATTCCAAAATAATAATTATAATGTTTTTATAAAAACATACCACTTTTAAATATATATGTATATATATACACACATATATTGCCTTAGGAATTTGAAAGCATTGTTACTGTGTTTACAAAATGAAGTAGGAATTTGTTCCTAAAGAGCTAGTCAATAAAACTGGCCTGCATTATCTATCTACAGATAGACAGATGATGATAGATAGATAGATAGATGAATAAAGTGGCCCCACAAGTTATTTTTCTCATCCCCAAAATAGCTTCTAGCTCTTCTGACTTTTTTGTCTATCTATCTATCTATCTATCTATCTATTTATCTATCTATCAATAGACAGATAGATAATGCAGATAATATATGGATAGACAATGCAGATAATCTATATAGATAAATAATACAGGCCAGTTTTATTGATATATATATCAATATTCATTTAAACAGGAATATATCTCTTTATTGATAGATATATCTATCCAATATATCAATCATTAAAAATATATATTCCTATTTAAATCTTCATGTGTTGGTCACCACGGCTAAAAAGCATTCTTTTAAGTTAAGTATTTGCTTTTAATCAGTGCATAATAAACTAGCCATGGGGAATGTGGTTAATTTTTCATACTAAAGTGTCTAAACAATGTAGAAAATATATACAAAACATGTTATATGTCCACTTTTAGAATGTTTAACACATTACTTTCTTAGGCATATCTTAGCTATTGAAGAAAGGAGAGAAGGAAAGACATCAAATAATTATCCATCTATAATTTACCCATATGAGGGGTTTCCAGCAGTAGGAACAGCTTCCAGGAATCTTGCAGCTCAGGGGAAGAGTAGCCTAGCAAGGCTGCAGGTCATTAATGAGGACAAAAGGCAAGACCAGCGTTAGGATTCTTTAGGATAAACTGACACATGAAAGGTAGCATCCTTGTTTTAAGATCTTAAAAATATCTTCAAGGAGTATCAGAAAGTATCAATACAAAAGGAAGTAGAAACACAATATAATAGATCATTCTGTTCCAGCAATTTTACAAATGCCTCAAGTTTTAGAATTCAGCCCTTTATTAAACTTTATTAAAGACAGAGCCTCCATTTATTTCATCTAAGACTTAGAGCTTCCTAAAATACATAAATTGTCTAACCCAAGGATTCCCAAACTTTCTTGTTTTACAGTGACCTTTAATGTCTCAGTAATTTCTTCACTGTGCTCCTAGGTCAAAAATATGTAACACTTCTATTTATTAAGTAGTTAGGTGCTAACAACTTAATAACTTAATAATTACTTTATAAATACTTTGTTCTAACAACTTAGAAGCCATTTGACAGAACAGTACACATAAATTGAAAGAAAATAGTTTTATTTCTTTCTTTATAACAAGAATTACTTACTAATATTATGTGTGTGCCTGTTGCACACTGAAAAATTTCTCAGACCTTAGAATTCGATTGTACATGACCACTCTCATTTACTGATCTAAAATGATTTACAGGCCAGACAGTCACGGTGGCTCACGCCTGTAATTCCAGCATTTTGGGAGGCTGAGCCAGGAGGATCGCTTGACCCCAGGTGTTGGAGACAAGCCTGGGCAACATAGTGAGACCCTATCCCTGTAAAAATTTTAAAAATTAGCTGGGCGTGGTGGCATGTGCCTGTAATCCCAGCTATGAGGGAAGCTGAGGTAGGAGGATCAGTTTGAGCCCAGTAAGGTCCAAATGCATCACTACACTCCAGCCTGGGCAACAGAGCAAGACCCTGTCTCTAAACATAAATAAATAAAATGTTCTTCAGATGGTACTTGCTTTTTATCATAGCAAGTATCAAAATCCCAGTTTTTCCAAAATATGATGTCATCAAAAGGAATATAGCGCGTCTATTATGTTGAAACCAGGCACTGCCCCAAGCAAGTAGTTCATTGAGTGTCCAACAGTTAGCACTGTGTTTTCCTTAAAAACAGGAACTACCCCCCAACACCCTCATGAATGCACCAGTGCAGCCCAGGGCATCGCAGCCCACAGTTTGAACACCAGAGATTTAACCTGTGACCCTGGATCTTCTCATTCTGGAATTTTCTCTTTTCACCTATGTGCTTGTGAGATGTTCAGAATTAACAGAACTAGGAAATAAAATCACTCTTAGAGTGATGTCAGTTTTTACTTTCAACACCTTTGACTACACAACCATTTCAACCAGTTTCCAGCTCCTGGAAGCAATAACATCACCTCCATCTTATCAGACGCACTTGTCTCTAAGCACTTTCAGTTTGCTGAGTTCGCTAAAATCCTTTTGGAGCCTTTCCTGAAGGAATCTTCAGTTGTTTCTCCCATTTGTGTCACTTTCTTTGGGTTCTTAATTATAACCTTTGATTTATTTGGTTCATTTTCTTTTAATATTCTTTCAAGTTGGTTTTCTGGTTTAATGATTTTCTACATTAAGAAATTGTTACTTTAAACATATACTTTAAAAAAGTGAAGTAAGAATCACTCCACTGCTTTTAAGTTCTATTAATCTTACTATTTATAAATTTTATGAAAAATTCCTTCAAATTATACTTCCGAGCATCTTTACCAATCTAAATTCTGTCATGTCCAATAAACAAACTTGATACTTTCCTTATGAAAATAAAGAAAAAGGAAAAATGGAAATGTGACAATATATAATGATTATATTATTATATCGGTGGTTATATTGTCTTTTTTTATAACTTTCAAAAAGATTTAATTTAATTTGGTTTTACTCAATAAGCAGAATGAGGAGAATGAGCAAAACTATTTATTGCCATGCCATATTACAGAGGAATGTAAGAATGGAATTTGAATCTGGTCATAAATAGAACATTGGCCTTCCAATTTTAAAAGACTTCTCTTCCAAATTTAGAAGTCTAAACTTCTCATAGCACATTAAAATGGCTGATGAACTTACACTGATTTTATTTCACATTATGACTTGCATAAGTTTAAAGATATGAATCATAGTACACATATTGTTAAAAGTATAAAAGCAATAAATGAGGCCAGGTGCGGTGGCTCATGCTTGTAATGGGAGGCCGAGGCGGAAAGAGCCCTTGAGCCAGGGAGTTTGAGACCAGCCTGGGGAACACAGCAAGACCACATCTCTACAAAAAGTTAAAACGTTAGCCGGTGTGTGCCTGTGGTCCTAGCTACTCAGGAGACTGAGGCAGGAGGATTGCTTGAGCGCAGGAGGTTGAGATGGCAATGAGCTGTGATGGTACCACTGCACTCCAGCCTGGGTGATGGAGCAAGACTCCGGCCCTAAAAATAAAAATTTAAAAAGTAAAAGCAATATACTCCTTTCTTTAAACATGGTCATTTCGATACCATATATATCAATACTTTTATTTTAATAAGGCTAGTTATTTGCATAACTAACACTAACTACAGGAAGAGTGGACTTTCCATGATGCCATGTGTTCCTCTATGAATCCTAAAAAAATGTATCATACCTGTGTCACTAATAATTTTTACTGCAAGAATTATTCAAGCTCTCTTTGGGAATTATAACAGCTAGAAGATGGTAAAACTTAAATGATATTAACTTAAAAGTATGTTGTACCATAGCCTTTAATCCTGACATGGAGCTAATCCTTGACTCTAAAAGCCAGATCCAGTGCTTATAGATTTAGTATAAATTGAATTTAAATGGTATAAACAAAGTTGAGTTCTGTGCCTGAGTTTTCACAAAGAAAACCATAAAATGTTAAGTATTAAGTCTTCCATGCTTTCACTAAAACAGTGATACCTATTTCTAAGACAGATCCCTGGTCTTCTTTTGTTTTGTTTCGTTTTGTTTGTTTTAGTTTGAGGGTGGTGTGAAATTGGCAGGTGCATTCCATGATTACTAATTCTAACTGTTCATCTTTCTCATGGATGTCTGGCACATTTCTCTTAAAACGCATGATATTGCACGTGCTTTTCCCGTTGCCTTGGCCTCTGCTATATCATTTTTTTGCTTCCAGATAGCGGTGGGTGTGCTCGCAAACGTGCCGCCATGTCTGTTACGCTAACATCTGTGAAGAGAGTGCAAAGTTCTCCAAACCTATTGGCTGCAGGTATAATATCACTAACTCACACAATGTCGCACTTGAATGGCTTCTAGCTCTTCTGACTGTTTTTGTTCTAAACGTAAAAAGCAAAGGAAAATGAGATCTTGTAGGAAACATTTTAAATGTGTAATTAAAAACAGCAGTCACTTGCCAAAAATAGGTTGAGTAACTGCGAGTGTTAATAACTATTCACGTTTTTGTTATCTCATGAACTTAAGTAGCATAATATTTCATTAAGATAACTCAGAGGTTTTGGGGTTTTTTTTTTTAACCTAAAAACTTTTGGGGTAGGGGTACAGGGGTACAGGATGAAAAAAGGGATTTGTAGGAAACTGAATCTTCATTAACTGGATTCTTTGTCAAAGGTTGTGAACAGAATGATAGAACATTAGTTTTGAAAGAGACCTTTGCTTTCCTTTAATCCAATCAGCAAATACCCTTCTACTATATATATTTAAACATACCAAAATCTTGACCAATTAAGATTCACATGTACCCACAGATAGGAAGTCACTGGGGGTGCGAGATTTCAGCATCCACTCAGGTGGTCTCTTTTTAATAAATCTCTGTTGTGACTACCTAAGCCACAGTACCGAAGTTAGGCACAGTACCTAAGGCACAGTCTGCACTGGGAGGGGGTGCAGCTGTTAGAAGGTCAAAGGGAGGCCAGCAAGCCCAGTGCCTCCAGACCCTGAAATAGACCCACACCTGTTGGTGATGGGTTGGTTGGTGGGTTGGTTGGTTGGTTGGCTGGTTGGTTAGCTGCAGTTTGGGGACTGCTTGTTTTTTATTTATAAGATTAATGGGTCTTACAGCAGAAGTGAGAAAGGGATGGGGCATCTTTAAATAATTTTAATTCTCATTATGCATATCACAGTCTTCTACACACATACATCTAGAAGTTGATTAAATACTCAGGGTGTTCTTCGCTTTACAGCCACTTAATTCTAAACTACTGAGTTTTTCTTGAGAAAAAAAAATGAACTTCCATATGCAGAATCCCACTTCCGTTCACCACCTCTAATCCACAAATGGATTTCAACGTCCAAGTTTAAATGCCAGGCTAGTGAGTTCAGTTATATATTAAGTTAAAAGAAAATGCAAGATGCATTGCAAGGTTTATAGTATGACCTCATTTTGGTTAAAAAAAAATCTCTATACAAATCTCTATTTGTATGTAGTGGCTCATGCACGTATGAACATAAAAAGGTGTTAGAAAAACTACAGATGTATTTACCTTGGATACCATGAGAAACAGGAATGAAGGCAAGTAAGACAATAACCGTAAGAGTTCAGGGCCATCGTGTAATTGGAATGCCAATACCCTGAATGTCATTGACATTTCAACCAAATAGGATCTCAGTCCAACCTACTCAGACGTGAACCTTGACGCACGTACCAGGGAACGCCACACTGCTTCCACAGTGCCCATGTGGAGAGTCGAAACTGAACTACATGCAATTTCATATAACTCGACTTCATAGAAAAGATTTAATGCTTCGGAATTACAACAGCAAAAAAGAAAAAAAAAACATTTCACACTTTAGGAATATGAAATAATCTTCAGTAATAACAATGTAGCTTTGGGCTATTTTAAGTTTTCTATCACTAGGCATATGATTTCTAGAGAATGAAGTCCACTGAATTTTGGACATAATTGTTTAAAAACAGCCCTCTTTTGTGTCAATTAGACGTAAAGTAAGATCCCTTTTTCTTTTTCTTTTCTTTTCTTTTTTTTTTTTTTTGAGACGGGTGGGTCTTGCTCTGTGCCCAGGCTGCAGTGCTGTGGCACGATCTTGGCTCACTGCAACCTCTGCCTCCCAGGTTCAAGCATTCTCCTGCCTTAGGCTCCTGAGTAGCTGCGATTACAGGTGCCTGCCACCATGCCTGGCTAATTTTTGTATTTTTTTTAGTAGAGACCTGGTTTCACCATGTTGGCCAGGCTGGTCTCAAACTCCTGACCTCAAGTGATCCGCCCGCCTCAGCCTCCGAAAGTGCTGGGATTACAGGCCTGAGCCACTACACCTGGCCCCCTTTTTCAAAGAAGCTTCCATTATATTTTTGAATAAAGAAGTTAGCATTAATATGCACAACTGCATTCTATGTAGCTTTCATAAGAACTTATATGATACAGTGTCTATATGTGAATCAAAAGGGAATTGATAAATATTTATTGCCTTCGATATTGTTAAAATACAACAGCCTTTATGTAAAACCTCCAGAAAAGGTCCCAAGCCATTTTCACTCCCTTCTCTGATCAGACAGTCAATCTGAGTCACCACCTATTTGTCCCCTGAGTCAGTCTGTCTTTCTCTTTTCCTTTTATAAGAAGTAAATTCCCACTGGACAATCCATCAGAGCACACACGGATATTTTAAACCTATGCCAAAACCAAGACAATGACTATTGAGAAACAATTGAAAACATTTTATTTCACCAAAACCCCTTGTCAGCCTAAAGGAATGCCGCAGTATGGGGACCACTCCGCCAAGAGACAGGGTCTTGTCGATACCACCTGCATGTTTCATGCCCTTAAGAAAATTAGTCTGTCTAGATCTCATTTCCTTTCTTTCCAATGAAAAATTGTTTGTCATTTCTTACCTCTCTGAAAGCTTAATCGTTTCCCAGACTCACAAGGATTTGTCAGAATAAATGAGAATAAATGAAGAAAATAAATGAAAAGGGTTATAATTGTACATAGAAACACAGTAGGCACTCAATTAGTTGACCTGAATTTAATCAACATTTTAAAATAATTCTTAAAAAGCACTTGAGTCTTCTAAAGAAATGAGTTATAGGCATCAAAATAATAATTTTCAAGAAAAATATAGTGATAGTGTCAATAGAGCATATCAGTTAAAAGGGATTTAAATAAAACCTGAGAGTAGAGATTACGATGTGACACGTATCACAAACACAGCTACACGAAAGCTGTCATGTTAGAATGATAACAGTGGAAAGGGCCATGGAGGGCATCCAGTTCCACCCCTGACATGGAACCGGGAATGTCTTGCACAAAATCTCAGACAGAGACTCACCAGTTTGTGCCTCGACACAAGGAAAAGGGCTGGTAAGAGCACGTGGAGCTCTTCATTCTTCAAGACCCTATTTGTTAAAATATTCACATGCAAAACAGCCAGGAAAGGGGAAAACTTACACCATTTAGTCATTCGTGGATTTTCAGTGAAGCAGTGACTGTCTACTAAAGAACACTAGAAATTAAGGACTCTGGCCCCTAGTCCTAGCTTTGTGTTTTTTTCACAAGTGAATGTGCACCAATAATGCTGCAGATCTGGGGAAATCCATTTTCCCCACACATCTGCCAAGCCATTTACCTGGGCGACTTTTTTTTTTTTTTCTAACCTATATTCTCTTTACTTGATGTGGATCCATGATACTTTCTATTACCTGCTCCAAAGAACAGGTGTCCTCCCTCTCCTAGTCTTTCCTGCAGGGATAAAATAAAAGCAGGGCTATGCTAAAAAGTGTCCACATAGAAGACTATAATAAAAGAGCAAATCAGGACTGGGTGTTCCAAGTATCTGTAATTGGATTTATTTTAAAGAAAGAGAAATGAATGTACTTTAGTCTCCTTGAGAGACCAGCCACTTCAAGGCAGACTTTAATCATCAACATAAGCTTTATTAAAATACTGGTTCATCCTGAAGTTCGACTCAATGGCCATTTTCTCCTTTCTCTTAATTCTGCACACTCGTGTCCACTGTGCGATGCAAGACCCTTCAGAACAGCCCACCCCTCTTACTGTCTAATGTTTCCAGTGGCACAGGGACAGATTCATTTGGAAATCCCTGGGCCCAGTGTCCCAGGAAGAAACCCACAGTTGAGCCTGGAGTGACTGTCCTCTGATTCTCACACTTACCGTCTCCTGGGGCTCCTCATCTTCAACACGGTGACCAGCGTGAAGAAACAGAGCCTGCCCCCTACAGACTATCATTTAGAGGGAGTTTATTTCTAGTGTCCTTCAGACCCGCCCAGTACACCTTCTTCTTTCTCACCGCACCTGCACCCTTGCACCTCCAAGCCTCTGGGTCCCATTACCTCGTCCCCAGCGCTAACACACAGCCTTCTTTTTTATCTCAGTTTTACCAAACCAAGCATAAAAGAAACTCCCTATCCTCAAGAAAAAAATCAGAATATAATCATTGTTATTAATGCTGCTTCTCTTTTCATAAAGTAGCATTGGGCTATTTTATTGCTTTTTCCCAAATTCCAAAATTTGCTTTTCGTTGTCCTTTCCCAAATCCCAAAATTTGTTCATTGTCCACAGTGGATGGCAGCCTCATGGTTATTAAATCTCTCTCCTGAGTGCCCTAAAGCAGCATTCTGATGATTGCTCTGTATTTTTTGTCAAACTGTATTTTTCTTTATCTTCATCATATAGCTGATTAAGAATTTCAATCATTTCTGCTTCCATCAAATCCTAGAAGAAGGGCCAGGCCCAGTGGCACATACCTGTAGTCCCAGCTAACCAACAGACTGAGGCTGTAGGATCTCTTGAGCCCACTATTTCAAGGACAGCCTGGACAAAATAGCAAGACCCCATCTTTAAAAAATAAAATAAAAATCAAAAAATTGTACAAATTCTAGAAGTAGGGTCCAATAAACATTTCATGCATAATTCTTCAAAGTAATTTTTCTCTATGGTACCCATTTTATTACTCCAATTTTAAATTCATTGGAGATAAAATCCATACCAAGTTATCAATGATCATAAAGAATGGGAATTCATTAGTCTTCTCTAGCTCACCTGAGCTGGAATCATTCTAATGTACTCTGTGCTGACTCACATTTGTGTTCCTTCCTTTGATTTGGAAAGAACCCATATCAAATATTTTATCTAAAAATCAGATGCTCGCATTTCTCAGCCCATTTTTATCATTCTAAGTTCATGTGTTTAAACTTGAAAATAACTGTGCTGAAGCACTAAAAGAAAAACAAAGACTTTTCCAGCATGTAAAATTCCTGTTTTATGAATTGAAATGGGAATCTAATAATGGTCCTGGGGAACACGTAGAAGGAATCCAGGACTGGACAGCAGGTTGGGCTAATGATCCAACCCCTAGGATCACCTCCAAAGTTAAAGCTTAATGAATCTAAGTAAAGTTGACCATGTGCTTTAATAAACCAGGCAACACAAGCTGATGACTTAAAATACACATGAGTTAAACGTGCAAACTGATTACCTCAAATGTGCATATAGAAGATTTTGGAATATATAACTTCAATAAAATTGATAACAAATATATCACTGATAACTTGCCAACTGCCTTACCAAAAGCAATTTATTAGTCCTGAAATTTATTTTCCACAGCTTACTAGCTGAAAGACAGTGGAACATGTTGTAACAGTTTTTTCATATTTGAGTATAAAATGACTTTTATATTGCAATAGGAAAAAAACTCAGTCTCGAGAATAATTTGAAAATGTCACATGATATGGTAGACAGGTCTACAGTTTCTTAAGGTAAAAAAAAATGCGAACTACAGAATACAGTTCTGTAACACAGGAGTTAAATATGCTTATCAACAGCAGGGCATTGGAAGCTAAGGATCTGGCAGTTTGAGTTAGTGCTGTTTATAAACCAGATCTCTTTTGATCCTTTAATTTGATATTTAGAAATTCATATATTCATCTTTGCCATAATAAGATTAAAATTGCATGTTGCAACATTATTGAGGGGAAAAATGAGTGTTTACTATATAGATATTTATATATTATAGATATTTAATGAATGACATTCTAATTGAAGTAAAAATAAATGTACAAGCCTCCCTTTGGCATGTTTGACATACCCAGATTTTAAAACTGAAATAATGTTTGCAAAAACAATGCATATAGTTCTTTGCCATGTTATTTTTACTGGGTTGTTCATTTATTTCACCTTAGTCTTAATTTCAACATTTTTTTTTCTTTCAGGGCGTGATTCTCAGTCACCAGACTCAGGTACAGAAAAAATATTCTGAATAATTATTATATTATTTGTGACTTTTAGAAAACATATTCATAGCCACATCGCTGACTTCATGTTAAATTTAAATTTCATGTACTGTTATGCATATTAAATTAAACCTCTAGTAAGAACACTACAATTTTGGAAATAAAAATGATTTTGGAAATAAAAATAAATTTTATAAAAAATGTTTAAGTGAACGTAGATATTTTTGTATCCAATTGTTTTCCCTTAATGAAAGCTTGGAGATCTTACAATGATGGCAATCAGGAGACACTGAACGGAGATGCTACATATTCCTCTCTTGCAGCAAAAGGTTTTAGAAGCGTTCGACCAAACCTACAAGATAAAAGATCACCAACTCAGGTAACCCTGCACACTCTTGGCTACTGCATTATTTTAAGGCATGATTATTAGACCACTGCTTACAGCCTCTTTCCTAATGTGCGTATTTCAATACGTTTTATTTTTAATATGTTTTTGCTTTTGTATTTAGTTTGCTTGCCAGGTTTGTATTTACAACATGGAGAACAAATTTTAACAAACAAGGGTTTGGTTTGGTTTTGTTTCTGATTAAGCTTATCAAAGTATGTCGGTTTTTAACATAATCTCTAGGATATATTCTAATTCTTTAAAAGCTGACAGCTGATGCTTTGGATTTAAACTGATGAGGTCAGCAATACATTATGTATTCAATAACTATGAGTATGCAACTATTATATTAACTAAAAGGGCTCTGTGTTGGAGATATTAGTAAAATTGTGCCACAAGCATGAAAATTGTTATAAAACAATGCTATTAAATAAACTATATATATATATGTCAAAGTCTAATAAAATATGCCAAGAGAACATATGTTCACTTTTAACATAATTTCCCTGAATGTAGATGGAGCAAATGTTATAATGTATTCTCTGGCAACACTTTTTTCCCCAAGGGCAAACATTGATAATAAACATAAGTGCATTCTAAATGGAATGAAAATGATCACTCAATCTAGCTAACAAAATGGATAGCATAATCAGAAGGTGTGGCATTGCTTTACTTCTGTAAAGGCAAGGTTGACACTGGTTTCTTTCATGACTAACTTGGACTTTCTCTGTTTTTCTTTCAACTTTATTTCTTTCTCTGGATCCCATTGTCAATCCAGGCACCCCCTCCACCAGAAAGAAAAGAGAGCTTTCATAGCTCTTTGATAACCAGTCACACAAAGGGTGTCATTTTAGACCAGTTAGTAACTAACACACAAATTCCCTCCAGTACAGAGTACTTTGCTAACAAAAAACCTCTTCAGGGAACTATGTATTCCAATGAAGATTCGAGACAGACAATTGTATATTCTGAAGAATCTAACACAACCATGTCATATACACAAAAAATCACTAATCCACTACCAGCAGCTTCCAGCACGGATCCTGCACCATTCGCTAACATCAACACCCCAGTTCTACAAGAGGACTACAGGCAAGATTCTCAAACTCGGAGGATTTCTACCTTGAAACTAACCCATAACCAGGATCTAGGAAGTAGCAGCCCCATTAGTACTCCACAGTTCTCCAAATCTGTCGAAGTACCGTCATTTCTCAAAAGGCCCCGCTCACTGACCCCTAATCCAGTGCCTGAGACACACACAGCATCTCTTTCCATTCAGATAGCTCCCCTTTCAGGACAGGATCTTGAAAGCCACAAACAGCTACCTGAGCTTTCTCCAGAGACTGCAAAGATACCTCTTCAGCAAGAGAGACAAAAATCTGCAGTTGCAGCGGCCTCTCAGTCCTCAGACTGCAGAGTGGTACCTTAAGCTTCTCAGTCTCTTCGTATTAATACATGCGTATCGTAGAGACCCTAACTCCTTTGGTTTGGGCTTCTTATATGACCTAATGCTTTCTTAGTTTCCAAGCAGGAAGGGAAAGGAGAAAGAAACCATTTTCCAATTTAAAACCCTACTAAATTCATCAGCAAATGTCTAGGTATTTTTAAATGTAAATATGCATATACAGATCTTTCATCCAGAAATCATGTTCTAAATTTTTTTTTTTCTTCTAGATGTTTATGGGAAATCATTGAGGGGTCAGTTATCATTTAAGACATTGCAGACTACTTCAGGACTTAAAGCATGTTTAGGTTTCAAAGAAATATTTTTCATATTAGATCTTTTTGCACTTAGATTTACTTTATTTACATGTGTAAAACCTCTTCAGATAATTGTCAATTATAATTTGCTTTGGCAGGGAATAGTTATCTTAATTTTAAGCAATGTCTATTTCTTTGCAACTCAATATTCATTTTCACTAAAACTTAATTTATCATTTCAGAAAGTGTATTAGCCAACTTTTATTATCCAGACTTTCAGGAAGTAAAACTTTCCATGTGTGTAGAATTCTCTCATAGCATCCTTCTGTTTACATGTATTAGTCTGTTAACAGGAGAAATGTGCTTCTCTTTTTGACTTCTCCATAGAACAATGTAGTGCTAAAAGCACAAACTTTAAGGATAAGCTGTAGATTTTAATCCAGGCATCATTTACTATGTGATGAGACATTCATCTAAACTTTTCTGTGAGTCCGAACAAAGAAATGAGAATACTAATTAACCCTTAATTTATAGGTTATGGTAAGACTAGGGAATTACCATAGACTAGGCTAGAGCAAGCACTCAATGACAGCTGTTAATAAAAGATATAATAGTAGCAGCAACAGCGCTAGTGTTAATATTGAAAACAGTGGTGCCTAAGTAAATAATTTGTATAATACTCCTTTTTGTATCTGTGTTAATAAAGATCATCCAAAACATATCCTCGAGGAGATATACTTTTAAACTGTACAGAAAATCTCCAAAAGATAACTAATTGACACCAAGATCCCCCCACCCACTCATAAAGCAGACGAGCCTTAAACAGAAATGATTAAAGGACAAGCTGGTATTATCATACCTCTACTAAAATATCTTCTCCATCAGCCAATCAAGATGTGCAAAATTCGTTCAGTAGAGCAATTTCTTCTAATTAAGGTAATATCTTCTGAAAGCACCTATGAAATCAGATGATAATAATAATAATAACATTAATAGGAGCTAACAAATATTAAGGCCTTACTCTATGCAGGCACTGTTGCAGCTTGTTTATGTTTATTAATAATTGCCACAATCTCATGGAGTAGGTATTACTACTGTCCTTATTTTATGGCTAAGGAAACTGAGGCACAGAAGTAAGTTGCTCCCCCAGGGTCATGCAGCTGGCAAAAGGCAGAAACAGAATACACACCCTGGCAGGCTGGCTGCAGGGCCACCACTCTGAAAGAGTGCTACTTCTCGTTGTGAAGTCGTTACTCAGCAGTGACGAGACACGGTGCCATGATGGTGGGAGCTGAGGCAGATGCATCTTGATCGGGTTCAGGAGTCCAGGAAGGTCGGAGGGAGCAAAATCCGTCTGTGACTGTACAGACAGGCCCGTGCCAGTGTCAGTGAGCAGACTCGCCAGTGTCCCAGGATGGGCACGCCAGGAAGCAGGTGTAGGAGAAGTCATAGGAACACATATCAGTCATTGGACTCATCCAACCTGGTTTGCTTCTTCAGAATGGTTTTGTGATGTTTGAAAACAAGCTGATACCTTTCGTTTTGCATGGTTTTATCCAGGCTGCGCAGAGACGGTTAGTTTGATTATATTATCCCCAGGGTATCGGCACCATCTAAAAGTTAAGATTTGAGATCCTGTCACTGCTATTTATTCAAGAAATATTTATTGGGTGCCTAACCTATGTCAAGTCTGTTCTAGTAACAGAGTTGGATTTGAAACCATTCCTGCTTAAAATTTGTCTGTGTGTGGCAGGAGGAGCAAGCATTAATAAGAACTGGAGTAAATTACATATATTAGAAGATTATGGAAATTGAGTTATGCCATGCAAAGTAGAGATGTGGAGACCAGATATCATGTCAAGTATGGTAACTCAATATCAATAGACCTCACTGAAAAGAGAACAGCTTTGAAGGAGGAAGAATATTCTAGGCAGAGGGAATGTCTTATGTAAAGGCTTTGAGGTTGATCATGCTGGGGCTGTGGGAGGACCAGAAGGAAGCCTGAGGGAGGGAGAGGAAGTAAGTGAGGTGAGAGTGATAGGAAGTGAAGTCAGAGGTAACAAAGACCAGATGACAGGAGGCCTTATAAGCCATTGCAAGGATTTTGACATTTACTCTCAATAAAAATGGAGGTCACTGGAGGATGTTGAGGCTACCACCATTATTATTTCCCTTATATTTTAACAAAATCATTCTGGCAGCTCAGTGAAAAACGTACCATAGTGGGGCAAGGAGGAGATCAGGCAAACCAGTTAGGTAACTACTGCAGTCCTTTAGGTAAGAAATGATGGGGCTCAAAGCAGGGGGCAGCAGAGGAGGTGGTGAGAAATCAGACTGTGAGAATGTATTTTGAAAGTCAAGCAAACAGGACTTCCTGGCAGATTGCATGTGGGATGTGAGGAAGAGAAAAGTCAAGGTTGACTCCAACTGGAAGATAGCATCGCCATCAGCTGAGACTGGACAGCTGTGGGTGGAACAGGTTGGTGGAAACTTCAGAGGTTCCATTTGGGAAACAGGAAGTTTGAGGCATTTCTTAGACACCCACATTAAGTGGTCAAGTGAGCATTTGGATGTAAGAGCCTGTACTTCAGGGGAAAGGTCCTGGTTGGAGGTATCAGCCATTGGCTAGTCGATGGGTTTTGTGGCCATGAGACAGAGTGAGATCAGCAGGGGAAGGACAGAGAAAAGGGGAGGACCAAGAGTTGAGCCTGAGTGAATCTCAACATTAAGAGGAAGAAGCAGTGGAGGAGACTGAAAGCAGTGTCCTCTAAGGGAGGAGGAAATCTGGGAAAATGTGGCATCCTAAAAGCCATGTGAGGAAAATGTGTGGAAAGAAAGGGATGGTTCACCGCACAAATGCTGTTGATGAGACAGGTTTGAAATGAAATCTGAAAACTTACCATTGATTCCATAGTGGGGAAGGAGGCTTTCTTGGAGTGGGTATGAGAGAGACTGGGAAGAAAGTGGTTGGGCAGTCAGCTGTTTCAAGATCTTATTAACATAAAACCATTCATCTAGTTATTCACCCTCCCCGAGCAGCAGTTTTCTCATCTATAAAACAGGGACAATGATAGCAACCATTCATAGAACTGCTGGGAGGTTTGAGTAAGGCATATAAGGATCTTGGCATGGTGCCTGCTTCATGGTAATTCTTCAACATACAGTAGCTGTCATCATCATTAAATAATATTTTTCCAAATTATGCATCTGATTGGGAAAAAGAAATATATTATTTTCAACAATACTTCATTTTTTTTACTGGTAGGTAAAAGTTTATTTCAACAGACTTTCAGTTTGTTCCAAGATAGCGTGTCCTCTTTTCTAAGGCTTTTTAAAAAAGGTAGCATGAAGCTGTTGCAGTTTTTATTCTCTGTTTAAAATTTTGGTAAGAACATTTAACATGAGATCTGCCTTCTTAACAAATTTGTAAGTGTGCAATGCAGTATTGTTAACTGTAGGCACCATGCAGTGCAGCAGATCTCTAGGATTTATTCATCTTGCATAACTAAAACTTTATGCCCACCGAATAGCAACTCATATCCCCCTTCCCCAAGCGCCTGGCAACCACCAGTCTACTCTCTGCTCAGATATTTGTCCTTCTGAGACAGGCCTTCACTTGGTATAAGGTCCTCCAGATTGCTCCATGTTACAGCATGTGGCAGGACATCCATCTTTTTTAAGGCTGAATAGTATCCTAGTATGCGTATACACCACGTTGTCTTTATCTATTTGTCCATCAATGGACATTTGGTTTGTTTCTACATCTTGATGATTGTGATATGCTTCATTTTTAAGTCTCATTTTCCATGTAATGACCTTTCACAATGGTGACCTTTCCATTTTAAACACTTGCACTCCGCATTCTGGCAAGTCTCAGCCAATGCCAAGCACTGTAAGCTATACCCTGTGAGTCAGCCAAATATGTGCTCCATTATAAAGAATTAGGCTCCCAGGAATTAGCAGGTCCAAGCGATAAAAGTACACCAAGATGTGAAAAGTACATTTCAGTGTTTCAGAAGTTTTATTTACATAGTTTTGTTATTATTAATGTCTGCTCATTAATTTAAGAAGAAAACTACAGGTCACTGTTAGAAATTCTCTTCATATTTGACAATTTTTCATAGTGTTTTCTAAACGGCATGTGCTTTAATTGACCTCCTACAAACAGACCAGAAATGAGGCATGTTATCCTTATGGCACTGTGTGATCAGATATCCTGTTGCTAAAAATGTCACATTGTTCTCAATGTCAAGTAAGTGAAGGTATAAGCCAGACACTTTGGAAAGCCAGCAAAAAGCTACACCCCCAAACAGTTTCTATGGCATCTGTGCTATGTTCCTTGCTTCAGGAAGATAAGCTTGTCCTGTCCGTTATGAAATAACATAATCAATCATTTGCCAAAGCCTCACCTTCACAGCTGCCACTGCACATATGCTGGGGACTCACAGGGGAACTTGCCCGACTGTCATGTAGAAGGGAGAGGAAACTCATTTCTTTTGCTCCATGGGATCAGTATGTAGATACTAAGGAGGACAGAGTAATGCAGACATGTCAGCAGTGTGGGATAATAGGTGCAGAACTGCAGAACGCACTTTCTGGAACATTGCTATCAAGACCGGCCCCAATCATTGATGTCTTCCATTAGTATGGCTTCCTTTCTGTGGGCTCGTAATGCTATTAGTTGATCAGGTCTTTGGCAATTTCTCCATTTGATGTCTGTGCATGCGCATGCATATGCATGTATTTAAATAATTGAACATTAGAGAATACTTGGGAGTCCAACATGAGTTTACAAATAAAACGTCCTCTTCAACATCTCCCAATAGATGGGCATCCAGCCTTTTCTGAATACACTTAATGAAGAGCTCAGTTACATTCCAAGGCAGCAGTCCAGTGCTTGGCCATTTCTGAGATCGAATTATTGGAAAGAATTTCTAATACCACGTCATGATCTGCCTTCCTTAACTTCTGCATGGTTATCCACAGAGCAAAAGAGACAGAATGTTCTTCCGCCTCTATCTGACAGTGTTCACGTGATCCTTCTCTTCCCTACCCTGCTACTGGCTTTGTGCAGAGCATTCCTGTTCCTTCCCAGCATTTTAATTTTGTAAAACATGATTCTCCTTTTTTTGAGAGCTATTACAGCACACCAGGCACTGTGCTAAGCACTTTACATTGCCCTACTTAATTTTTACAGGCTTTAAGAGATGGGTTTTATCCATGCCTATATTTTACACATGAAGGAACTGAGGCCAAGGAAATTAAACAAGTTGCCCAAGTCTGTCTGACTCAAGATCCACAGCTCAGCCACTAGCCTCTGCTACCTCTATGCTCTCACACAAGCTGATTTTTAAATCCCATATTTTGATAATGTTCTTAAAATATGACACTTTCCCAGATGCAAAACCATATTCCCGATCTGAATACCACAGAGTACAGTAGAAATATTTACTCCCCTGATTCAGATGCCACATGCTGTCAGTGTGCCCAATCTGTGTGACAATTTTAGATCACTTGTCACCCAGCTCTTGGGTGGGGAGTATATGGTTAAAATAATTTTTATTATGAGGCTGTCAGACAATCTCACATCATTACAATGCAGGCAATACAGCCAGGCCTTAGGGAAACGGGGCAATGGCCAGGCAGCTACCCTCCATCCTTCTCAGTCGTAGGAACTGCATAGTTCCCTGTCTGTCTCTTAGTTTCTGCTCTGTCGTTACTTCAAGTTGCCCATGGGTTTCCATGATACTCTCTGACTCCTTGCATTTGGGTACCCGACAGCTACCTGAGGGGCATTCAGTGTCACGTAATTCAAATTCCCAGGAGGGAGGCAGGGCCCCACTGGCCCAGCATAGTCCAGTTACTCCCCCTTCCTAATCAGCTGTGGCCAGCAAAATGATGATCCGGCAACAGACACAGCTGCCAGGCAGGTCTCCTCATACCACCAGGACAGGCCATGAAAAGAGGGGGCACATTTTCCCTAAAGGATGTGTGGATGGGAGGTAAAGATTGGTTTTTTTAAAACCCCTTCCAGCCGGGCACAGTGGCTCATGCCTGTAATCCCAGCACTTTTGGAGGTCGAGAGCAAGACTCCAAAAAAAAAAAAACCCCTTCCTAGATATTTTCTTTTCAAGTAAATTACTATCATTGGAAAAAAGAGAACAAAAGCCTGTCAGATTTCTTTGCTTGACATTTAATATATATTCCTTATGTTCCTTGAGAAATGAGGCCTAGAAGCTCAATGACTAAAGGTGTTAAGAGAGAGATGTTAGGATCCTTGACCTCAGGGCCATGTCAAGCCAACTGGAACCTGAGGTGGAAGGAAATTCTGTGCTTCCTTATACCTGTTTTCATATATTGGGAATGAGCTTTTTCCTAGAATGTTTAAGTCATTAGAATTTTTTTGAAAAGTTGAAACGCACGTTATTAACACTCACACATTATTTTAAGCTTAAATATTTTATTTAAAGCAAAATAAACCTTTTTTTTTTAAATTTGAGACAGAGTCTTGCTCTGTCACCCAGGCTGGAGTGCAGTGGTGTGATCTCGGCCCACTGCAACCTCCACCTCCCAGGTTCAAGCAATTCTCCTGCCTCAGCCTCCAGAGTAGCTGGGATTACAGGCACCTGCCATCACGCCTGGCTAATTTTTGTATTTTTAGTAGAGACGGGGTTTCACCATGTTGTCCAGGCTGGTCTAGAACTCCTGACCTCAGGTGATCTGCCCGCCTCAGCCTCCCAAAGTGCTGGGATTACAGGTGTGAGCCACTGCGCTTGCCCTATTACATGTTTACTTCACCTTAAATTAATTACAAATTATTTAAGATGGCCATCAGTTAATTGGAAATTGTCAAACATGTCTATTCTCTCAACTAAAACTGAAATAAGCAAAAATGTAGATTTTGAAAATATTATTGATGAGTTTTCTTGCATTAAAAACGCCAGACCCAGACTCTCTTTTCCTATGGCTTGGCATGCGCTGGTCTTCATTTATATTTTCGACATTTTTGTTCAGTATGGGGTATTTTTGCTTTTTTGCATTGATGTTGATTTTCTTTCAAAGATTGCATTGAAACAGAATTTATCTCAATTACTGAGTTTTTTGTCACTCTTTAAGTTTTGCACCCCAACGAGCACTTTCCCCTCCTCTCCTGAGGCCTGGCCATGCACTCCTTCTTCACATCCCCGCTCCACAGCTACCCTCTTCCACCTCCAGCTTCCACATCTGCTGTGTCAGCAAGTGACAGCTTAGGGGCTTATGACTATAGATGTGTTGTCACTGAGCTTATGAGCGAACTAAAGGTCATATTACCCATGACTATGGTGGTCTTAGAGACAGTAAGCTTTAATTTTCATCGTGTTTCAAGGCAAAGGATATGGGTCAATGACGCCCGCCTTGAGGGGGAACATGACTTCCGCATTCTGCCATCGGTCCCATCATTCCCTGTCATCCAACACGGGCTTGATTTGCACATCCTGGATACTTTCCTGACCCATGATGGGCACTTGAGTTTGCAATGCCTTCATCCAACTCAATACACTTTTTCCACTGCTGAAGCTCACCCTCCCTTGAATCTCTGTGCCCCTTCATTCCTCAGGAGCTCCAGTGTTGATTGGTGAGCACTCTCATCCACAGGCTCTCTTTAGCATTCTGGGTTGGAGTCATTTGGACGAAGAAGCTCAGTGCTAGTTTGAGTAAGCAGGTGCTCTCTCTTGGTATATGAAGCATATTAAGGTTTAAGCACCGTCCCTGTCCTTTGCAGAAGACCAGGCAGCCCCTGGCTGCTAGCTGGTGTTTCTCATTACCCTCTTCCTGCTAGCTCAAGGGTTGGGGAAAGAAAAAACAATTTATACTCACAAAAAGTTGGTGACCCTTGATCCCTATTCAAACACCTTAGCCTTCCATGGTCTTGAAAAGAAGGAGACCTAAAACAATTAGGATGATTACCTGCAGTCATCTACTTGCCACTCATGAAGTAAGAAAAAAATACACTTGTTTAAAGCCAGTTTTCCCTATTTTTGAGGTAGTCCAGATTGGGAAAATACTGCCTTCTTCCCCTTTCATACCTTTCCTGCTGCTCTTCTGATTTTCCTCAGGAGAAACACGTGTAACATGGTCTTTCTTTCCCCTTGGGTCTACAGGGTATATTCCATTCATGTGAAGATTGGGGTCTTGTCAAAGCTTTTTTGTGGGTGACCAGTATAACTGTTGAATTATTGAGTTTTATCTGTAGAAATTTAAGTGTGATGTGACTCACCACGAGGCATTTCATGCCTTACACTCACAAACACACACACGCACATACACACCCATACACACACGTGCATTAAAAGACTCAAAACCAGGAGCATGTCAGGAGGTGGTGAAAGAAATTCGAAAGGTGGAATAATTTTGTTTTCTGTGGACATTCTATTTGGAAGAACAATTGAATGGGTAAGGACCATCCCCAGACACAGTGCTATGCAAACTAATGATCATATTACCCGTGACAATGGTGATTTTAGAATACGCTTTAGCTTTTGACATGTTTCAAGTCATAGGATATGGACAAGTCAGTCCAATGGGGGTTAAAGTCATTAGATTTTTTTCTTTTAATTTGAAAGGGAAAAGTCTCATGAGCAGATAACTCAAATCCTTTTGTATGATTTGTATTATTTCATAGTTTTCATTTAGCATAAATAAAACTAAAAAGAGATTCGTATTACATGGAAACATCCTTAGTAAAGCTGAATTATTAGGGGAAATTTCATTGACGCTATCCAAAGACTGCTTTATACTGAATTACATTCAGACTTATAGCAACATTTTAATACATTAAGTTAGAATTATGATAATTTCATAATATTAAAGTTTCACCTCCAATAAGATTGCAATTATTGTAAACACTCAGTAATAATAAGGATGCATCCCCACCAAAACATTTTAAGTTCTGGGTAACTAAGATTTCTGTCAGTTATTTCTAGAGATTTAAACAACCATGAACAGTAAAATATATATTATATATATACGTATATATATATATATATATCACATTTAAAATGACTATGTTTAAACAAGAAAAAAAATCATATTAAGTAAGATTAGGACAAGAAAATCTGTCTTTTTATCCAAGGTTGGGGTTTCTTAACCCATTAGATTAAGGTTATGCTTTAGAGTGTCTCTGTCCCCCTGAAGTTTATGCAGAACTTTCTGTATGTATGAATTTGTGCATTTCCCCAAAAGAAGGATCAGTCACATTTATCAGATTTCTAAGGGATCTATGATTCAGAGAGACCTTTTTATATGATGGATTTTTTAAAAGTATTCAAGTAAAAGTCTGAGAAAAAAATTATTGCAACCTTTTTATTATGCTAACAACGTGCATGACATCAGTCATTATGAAAATTATGGCTGCCAAAGAACACCAAATTGTTTAACTTAAACATTTACTAGGCAGTATTTCTAAGTGTAAACAGTTCTCCTTCATTCATTCCCATCTTTGTACTAATATCTCACAATACCTCTGGCCATCTATCTTAAAACCATTTCCTCTCCCAAACATCCCCTCCAAAAAGTGTCTGTTCTGAAAGGTAGAAAAAATAAGTAAGAAAAGTTGCTTCGGAGTTTTATTCACTTACGTTGAATTGAGTACTTATCATCCTATTTGTCACGTGTGGTCAAACGTCATCCAGGCTACCACAGGTGGTTGTAAAATTTCAAATGGTCATCTTCTCTCTTCCTCCTACAGAGCATCCCTTCGCTATGTTTAGCCTCTTGGGCTATATATAGCCTTGGAGCTGTTAAATCTTTTATTTTTCCTTCAGTTTCTTTCTCCTTTACCTAAGATTTAGTGCCAACCATAGTTCTAACTAACTAGGGTACATTCTAACTATTATCAGTGGCTGGTTTTCATTTTCACACATGGTACCTCTATTTGCATTGCTAGGATATTTTAAAGTCCAATTCTTTTCGTATTTTGTAGTGAAATCAAAGAACAGATTTAATTAGTGGAAAGGAAATAAAACATCTTTTCCATTTATCTTTTCTGCTTAGTTGTGTTTAGTATTATCAGTGTTTAGATTCATAAACCAGGAAAAAATAAGACAAACAGATTTATGTTTTGGGGACATTTTGGCAAGGGGGAGGCAATTATGCTATTAGATTTTTCTAGTGAAGGACAAACCAATTCTGCTGACCGATAGTCTGATATCTTATCATTGTCACAAATACAAAAACTAAAACTCCTGAGGAAACAGTTTCGTTATGCCAACACTCTCAAGCCCCTAACCAGAATTACATTGCAGTGCTGTGTGAAAACCGGCCTTGTTTCAAAACACACCGACTGGATTCACTTTCTTCCTGTTTTCACACTTTTTCTGCACTGTGTGGTTGGCACCTAACCCATCTGAATGTAACTCCTTAAAGTGCTTGCAAATAAAACCGATGCTTTGCCTTCTCTGCCACATCGCAAAAAGAGGTACTTTTGTTAATTGGATAATTTATCTCTTATTATTTTTTCCTCATACTCAGCTTGGAAATCAGAACTTACCTGCCAGTGTGTTGGAGGTAAATGCTTCACAGACACACAGACAAACCACACCAGAAGCTTCTCCTCCGTGCCCTCCTTCCGTGGTACCTTTGAACCGAGCCACTTTCTCACCAGGCAGTGGCACCAGCTCAGCATCACTCAGCCTTCCGCCCCCCGATGGTGTGGGGTCTTCACGCCTGCATAATCCCCAGAGCCTTTCCCATTGCTTATACAAACACCTGCTCCCAGCTCCAGAAAGCCTCATCCACAGCCACGACACAGGCTCTCTGACAACAGACTCCTCCCTGGCCGAGCACTCCTCCCGCTCGGAGAGTGAGTCCTCCACAGCCATGCTGGAGGAGCTGCAGATTGGTGACTCTGACACCACTGGCCGTTCTGAGACACCCTCCCCCACCTGGGGTCAGAGGTCTGCTGTGACAGATGGCACCACCTTAACCACCCCTGCGGCCACTCATGTAATTATTCTGCCTTTCTTTGCCTCCACCGTTTCCTTGAAAGGACTGATTTGTTGTGCCATCTCATTTTTCGGCTGACATTTTTATTTACATAGGTGTTGATTCCCAAACCAATTCTATGCCATCTGTCAGGGAAATCATTAGTCATCCTATAAGCTTGCTTAAGGCTGAAAAAGTCACTTCATTCTCTTCATTCATTTTAGAATTACTTATAGTTACTCTAAAATAGTTACTTACGGTTTCCCGTGTTACTGTAGCTGGTAAGTTCTACAGTGATTTGCCTTATTAGCTAAGTATACATCACAATATGTTGTGATCATAAAGTCTAAAATTTTTCAAAAAATTTTAACCCAGTATTAATACATGTTAGCAGTTTTTCTCACAGACTCACATTAATGTGTCCTGTGTGACTCTTTTCTATATCCTTTTTCTCACATAAATGATTACTGACTGCATGAGGCTAATTTTTCTTGTTCCTCCTTCTCTAACAGCTACAACTTTTGAACTCATCTATTGTCCAGGAGTGAATGATGTCGATAATCCTATCTACCTTTCAGAAATTTAGCTGTACGATTTTTAAAAATTATTCTTCCTGAGCCATTTCAGGACAGAAATTTATGAATACATTTTTTATTTTGTTTATCAATAATTTGTCTTTCATTTATAGCAATATATACATCTTTTCCATACATATATTATTTAAATATATCTATGTGATAAGCAATCCCTAATAAATGATCTGTGAATGGCTAAAATGTTTCAAAATTTTATGGCACAGATTCTATATTGCATATAATGTCTAAGTAATGGCTTCCATTTAAGAGACACATAGCTTCAGGCAAAAAAATCAGATTTTTTTTTTAAATTGATATTATAATGAAGTTCCGAATAAGCACTGTCATAGACAAAATTTTATTTGTGCTACATTGTTTTATGTTCTATCAAGCTGATAAGTCTGCAAATTTTATGCGCAGAGAAATGTTATAATAAGCCATATGTTTTTTAAGACACTACAATTTACATAAAGTAAAAGATGCTTTTTTTGGTAATGGGATTTGGTATTCCCCCAATGGCTGTGTCTAACACTTTGCATTCAAATGCTCCATTCAGAGACTGGCTACAGAAGGAGCCTCATTTTCCAGGCCTAACCCCATAGCGAGTCCCTCCCTGCCACAGAGGACCAGCCCAACTACGGGCACCAGGAGCACAGCAGGTGTGGGTTCCTCCCATGCCCTACTGTGCTTCAATGGTTCTTAGCTTTTAAAACTTTACCAGGACCTTTAACCAAAAAAAGAAGGCAGTGAGAGGGTATCAATCTACCAACTAACCTGTTCAATTTTCTGTTTTTAAGACTTTACAGGAGACTAACTGTCTTATATACAGTCTTGTGGGCACGAGCAGAGCTACTTGTAAGGGAAATTAATTGCAATTATCAGTTTAAAATTGCAAATAGATTATTCATGACATGTTTTTCCTAATAATGAATTCACTATAACAATACAGTATTTTCTAAAATGCTAATGATAGTATTTTAGTCATAAAATCCTGATTGGTTGAACACAATAAAAGAATAAATCTAGGCCGGGCGCGGTGGCTCACGCCTGTAATCCCAGCACTTTGGGAGGCCGAGGTGGGTGGATCACGAGGTCAGGAGATCGAGACCATCCTGGCTAACATGGTGAAACCCCGTCTCTACTAAAAATACAAAAAATTAGCCGGGCGTGGTGGTGGGCGCCTGTAGTCCCAACTACTCGGGAGGCTGAGGCAGGAGAATGACATGAACCCGGGAGGCGGAGCTTGCAGTGAGCCGAGACTGCGCCACTGCACTCCAGCCTGGGCGACAGAGCGAGACTCCATCTCAAAAAAAAAAAAAAAAAAAAAAAAGAATAAATCTACTCTCAGTGTTTACTTTTTTAACCCCTAGTCAATATTATTGAAACCATCAAAATAGGATTCAGAGCAAGTTTGTAGGTTTAGCAATATAGTTAACCTGATGGTTTTTAATAAGAAGGATTCTTCAGCTTTTAACATTAATTATAACATGTTATAATAGTATTACAATGATATTGACAAAGATCCACCAAACTTAACTTGGGCAAGGAGGTGAAAGTGTTCTCAAATCATCCATCAGAGGTACATAAAAGCTCTGAAGATTTGGGCAGGCCTGTGCCTCACAGTTATTTGAACGTCCAGCTCTCTCCAGGGAGCAGGTCCTCAAGATGTGGCTGGTTATGATATGAGTGTAATTTTTCTAACAGCTTAGAGAATTATTTAATCAATAAGCACAAGGCTTGTAATGAAATGTTTATTGATTTGGGGACATAAGTGGTATGGTTATACAGTAATGAAATTAGACTTATTCTAGGTCATTTGAAAACCCATTTGCTTTAAAGTGAAATCATAGAAATACACAGTTACTATATCTATGTTTCAAGCCTGTGGAATAGAAGTTTGTTTTGTTTTAAAATAAGTAGAAAAGTTTCACAAATTATGCTTCTTTATCTGTGTGCCTATGTGTGTTGTGTGTATTTAGCTATAATTTTAACTAAACGTTCTTACTAATGTTTGATCTTATTTGCATGCATTGTGTGCGCCCTGTAATGATCAGTACTGTGCTGTGGGTAGACAGGCATGCTTAATAGTCCTGAGCTCGATATCTGTGAACTAAGCCGATTCAGTTCCATCAGAATAGATACCTATTGAACATCTACTCTGTCATCAGCACTAGGCTGCATGTTATACAAAATATTAAAGAAGCATATATATGACCATCTTCAACAAGAAGCTTGAGATACCATTGGGGATATAAAATAGTCAGATACGGAACAATCGAAACAATGAATAATTAAGAAATCAAACAGAGATTCATGAAGTGCTCAATGAGGCTGAAGTAGGGAGAAGCCAGTGGTTGAACATGTCTCTCTGATCCTTTACCAGGTATTTGATCCTTCTAGAATAGGTTGCTTCATGATATATACATCCAAACAACTAGGTTCCTTATGTTATTCACCAGCTCTGGAAACATTCATTCACTAGAAGATATCCCTGACTAAGTCTGAGAACCAATCCCTTGCCTCATGTCAAAGGACATCCACGTCAATGCTGCATGCGGAACAGCACCACCGTGTTCTGATTGCTGATGTTACGACTGTCAGAGCAAAGTCGTCCTCCACATTTACTTGGTACTGACTCCTACTGATACCATTTGGCACCTCTGTTGGCAGAGTGGCATGCCCACTAGTCAGCCACTTTCATTCTTCCTAACCACTCCCTGGACCCTCAGATACACAAGAGAGTGATTTTCAGAAATAAGGGAATAGAGAGAAGGCAAAGAATGTAGCATGCCCTCTGACATCAGTTTTCAAAATAAATAAGAGCTTGGCAGCTGATTACTCTCATGTGATTGGAAGTCTTTTATTATCACCTAATGGAATGATGTTTACAGGGAACTATGTGCTAATTTAACTCGATGCCTTTGCGCTTTTCTCAGAGCCAGATAACAGTGAATGGAAACTCAGGAGGTGCCGTGAGTCCCATGAGTTACTATCAGAGGCCGTTTTCCCCCTCGGCATATTCTCTCCCAGCCTCACTCAACTCCAGCATTGTCATGCAGCACGGCACATCCCTCGGTAAGTAATTTACTCACCGTGATTTCCATGGCAACCTCAATGCGGCAAGTACAACCACAGGAGAAAGATATGCGGCATCAAGGTGAGGCGGGAGCGCTCAGCACTCATGACCCTATCCCCAGGGAGAAACTGGGGCAGAGGACCCAACATGGGAGGAAATGGGCACCATGCTATTCCAAGACCATGTCTCCACCTGTGTCTGAGCCTGGTGTGGGCACTTAGATGTCTGAGGTGGTGGAGTAGAAAGAAAAAGAAAATGGCTACTTAGGGCAAGGGGGTTTGTGCCACTGGAGGACATGAATGCAGGTTTTCCACTAGGGCAGCTTGTTCGGACTTGGAAGAGCTTCCACCATGGACTATTTCCTGGGGTCTATATAAGGGAGAATCGTTTGACAGTTAAAACAGTGTAACAGGAGGACAGGCTGTCCCACATAGCAGGGACGCAGTCATCTACTGGCTCACACAAGGAGAAAACCACCATTCAAACCAAGGCTGGAAGACCTGCAGTCAGGGATATGGTAGCAGGAAGCCACACAAGAGAAACTTAAGTGTTCCCTTAAATGAAGGTTCTGTCATTGTATAGAGCAATCGTTCTCAACCCTCTGAGGACTAGGAATTCAGTGAAAGATAGAGCTCTCCTCCAGAAAACAAATGGACATACGGACGTTCATAAAAAATTGTAAGCAGATAATTTCCTGGGGCTCATGGACTTTTTGTGGCCTCCTGTGAAAGAAGCTTTGCTGTACAGTGATAGAAATGCTCTTACATGGTCAAGTATGTTCAGATAGTTCAGAAAATAATGTGATAAATACTTTTTTTTTTTTTTTCAAGATGGAGTCTCACTCTGTCGCCCAGGCTGGAGTGCAATGGGGCGATCTCGGCTCACTGCAACCTCTGCCTCCTGGGTTCCAGTGATGCTCCTGCCTCAGCCTCCTGAGTAGCTGGGATTACAGGTGCCCGCCACCGCACCCAGCTAATTTTGTATTTTTAGTACAGACAGGGGGTTTCACCATGTTGGCCAGGTTGGTCTCGAACTCCTGACCTCAGGTGATCCACCTGCCTCGACCTCCCTAAGTGCTGGGATTACAGGCATGAGCCACCGTGCCCGGCCCATAAATATTTCTTAGTTTGTAAAAATGTAACTTAAAAACCTAAAATATCAAAAAAAATACGAAATTGAACTATCATAGGAATTCAGGCTGTACAAGTTTCCATGATGTCGACTCACTAGGAAGCTTCTAGGACAGCAGGGAGCAGAGGGGAATTCTCAGGACAGCAGCACCATCCTGCACCTCCCAGAAAAGGAGAGGCCTGGTCCTCTGGCCACAGGGGCCAGCAACAGGGGGAAAGAAACTAAAACCCAGGACTTGAACCACCATGTCTTCTTTGACACAGACAGTGCACCTCCTTCCCCAGCACTGATTCAGTATTGAGAGGCTATGATGCTGTTCGTTTATTCAGGGATGTTTTATGTCACCATCCAGCATGTGCATGGTGGAACTCAGCTTCTGAGGTCAACCAAAGCTCTATAACTATAAAACTTTAAAGGTAGCCGCGGGACTTATTAAAGTCTAAATATATCTGTGCCTTCGCTGATGCTATGCCTGAGGATCATCTGTGAATCCTACAATGATGTCCTTTTAGAGTTAAGAAAGTAAAACTGGTTTATGCCGAAATTTTGCCCTTTAACAATCAGCCCATAGTGTGGTGTTATAATGGAAGTCCATTATATCTAGATTGTTTAAAATGGAACTATGCATTTACACACATATAAAGTAAAACTCGACAAATTATTCTAGCCACAGCTTTTTCCCAAATAATTATTAACAAAGCCTGACTCTGTCTCATTGCCTGTCTTAGTGAATGCAGTTTTGTCCCTATCCCCACCCAACAACAACAACAAAAATACTTGAATGTAGATAGGCTTTGATTTTAGAATATATTGATAAGTAGATTTTACATATAAAATATTCTGCATGGGAAGAAATTCCCAATGTAAACACTGAACAAATTCCAGCTGGCCAGTGCTGTGATAAGGTTTCGGAGGAATATGTACATCTACCTTGCCCTAGATGAATTTTACACTTAGTTTAGGACAAAAGATTGCTAAGATGACAGCTAGTGGACCATATATGAGAATAATAAAATAAAGGGTTAACTTATATTGCATAAGGTATGGGTTCATAGAATGTAATGGATCAGATGTGAAGGCAGAGTTGATTCTCCTTGCTTAGAGTAGGACTTTGCACATGCTGGTGTTCAAAAAACATTCGTCGCTAATAAAAATACTAGTATCATGGAGGCCCACTCAAGTCCTTTTTGGAATTAAATAGAAAGTCAATTAGTGTCAAATATCTCACCGTGTCTTAATAAGGACTAGCTTAGCCGGGCGCGGTGGCTCACGCCTGTAATCCCAGCACTTTGGAAGGCCGAGGCGGGTGGATCACGAGGTCAGGAGATCGAGGCCAGTCTGGCCAACATGGTGAAACCCCGTCTCTACTAAAAATACAAAAAAAAAAATTAGCTGGGCGTGATGGCGGGCACCTGTAGTCCCAGCTACTCGGGAGGCTGAGGCAGGAGAACGGCGTGAACCCAGGAGGTGGAGCTTGCAGTGAGCCGAGATCGCGCCACTGCACTCCAGCCTGGGTGACTGAGCAAGACTCCGTCTCAAAAAAAATAAAGAAGTAAAAATAAGGACTAGCTTGAATGTTATTTTCACATTCAAGGGGCCAGTAGCAGGGGGAAAGAAACTACAACCCGGGACTTCAACCACCATGTCTTCTTTGACAGCAGCCAGCACACCTCCTTCCCCAGCACTGATTCAGTGTTGAAAGGCTATGATGCTGTTCGTTTATTCAGGGACATTTTATGTCACCATCCAGCACATAAACTGCACATAAAGCAGTTTTATAACTAGCCTTATCCATTCTTCATCAAAAAATGTATTAAAAATGACTTTCTGATGCAAACTAAATTGAAAATAGTCATAATCATAGTAATAGCAGTTACAAATGTTACAATGGATTTTACCTCAGAGAGATCTGAATTTTAATTACCCTTATATTGATGAGTTAAAATTTCTTAAAAAGCTTCCTTATGGCCGGCCACGGTGGCTCACGCCTGTAATCCCAGCACTTTGGGAGGCCGAGGCGGGCGGATCATGAGGTCAGGAGATCAGGACCATCCTAGCTAGCATGGTGAAACCCCGTCTCTACTAAAAATACAAAAAATTGTTTGTATTTTGTACAAAAATTTTTTGTACAGGCATGGTGGCACGCACCTGTAGTCCCAGCTACTCTGGAGGCTGAGGCAGGAGAATCGCTTGAACCCAGGAGGCTGAGGTTGAGACCACACCACTGCACTCCAGCTGGGTGACAGAGCGAGACTCCATCTCAAAAAAAAAAAAAAAAAGCTTACTTATTTTATACAAATTTTTCATGAAAAATACATTTATACATGATATATATCATATACACATAATGATATCAATGAGTCCCACCCTGAAACATGAGAATTTTTTTCATTTCCACCTTAAAGGACTTTCTGAGTGGCAGTCCTGACAAACCATGATATAAAGAGTATATACAAAGTGTCATTCTTTGTCACCAACATTTTCAAATTAATTGCAGAAAAATATAAAGGCATATTATTAATCATACCAGAGGAACGGTAATAATGATGATTTTTTTAAAATTCCTGTGTATTAGAAGTAAATGGACTATATACTGCATGTCTGTACTCTGTTGCTTCTGAAAGTATTCTAGAAGTTACTAAAAAACATGAAGAACTCGATAAGCCTCATCTAAATTATATCCTTAGGGCAGTTTTTGTCATCAAAGAGTAAAAAGTCATAGTTTTTGATATTTTAAGGTAAAAATGCACATAGGAAATCGTACTAATAATTTTACAGCATTTATTTATTCAGAAGCTTTCATGTCCAAAGGCTTGGATGTGAAGATTTTTTTAAGTGATTTTTGGTTTTGCTTCATTTTTATGAAATCACTGTTACTGACTCAACAGTCATGTCTTTGTCTGGAAATACATTTCAAAACCTATAAATAATAGTAGTAGCAGTATCACAAGAATAATATTGATGTAAATGATGACCTGAGGGAAATTACTGAACTTGTCTCAGCTCCTGCCCCTTATCTATAACACTGGTTCTTGCTCCCCCTATCCTGCCCTCCCTCAAAGATTACTGGAAGGATAAGAAGAGATAATGCATTTAGAGCACTTCCTAACTCAGAGGCCTCCACACAGTCATTTAACAAATGCCATTCTTCCCTCAGCCTTCTTCATAAAATGGTGAGGCCCTTGTTGGTATAGGTCTGTTCCCCGCACACCTACACAGTTTCCACCAGCTCAGATGGAAAGTAAATGAGTTAAAAGGGACAGTGATGGCAATATGGTCTCTGTGTTACAGTTGGCATAAATATACAACAAGACACATGAATTTATGATTCCCTGTGCAACGAATACGTTCCATGTTACCAAATTTTCTGTGCAGATTCCACAGACACATATCCCCAGCATGCGCAGTCTCTGGATGGCACCACCAGCAGCTCTATCCCCCTGTACCGATCCTCAGAGGAAGAGAAGAGAGTGACAGTCATCAAAGCCCCGCATTACCCAGGGATCGGGCCCGTGGATGAATCCGGAATCCCCACAGCAATTAGAACGGTAGGAAATGCCAGCGTGTGCGTCTGTCTGGGGCTGTGCACAGACTCCACAAAGGACGGATTGTCCACGGCTTTGTGCATTCCTAGGGTCTTATATAAGGAGGATTGCCCTCCGTGCCATCCGACTTCTCATGAATGTTATGCTGTGTGTGGCAGAGAAAGAAAGCTGTTGATGGGAGAGAATTACACAATCTGTTTTTCCATTTGAATGAAACATCATGAACATTGCGATTTTGTTAAATGGTAAAACTGTGTTGTGTGGTTTAGTTTGTTTGTTTGTTTGTTTTTCTTTTACCTTTTACCAAGGAGGCTTAGGGCAATAGAGAGAAAAGAGAAGGAACAAGACAATGGAAATTCTTTGGCTGCATTGAATTCCCACATGCATTGCGAATAAAGCAGTGATGTGTTCGTTTTTTGAAATAGATGTGTGTTAACACCGGGAGATTGGAAGCTGTGATTTGGGAGTTGGGAGGTGAGATGATTGGAGTGAAGAGAGTTAATGTCATGGAAAGGAAAAGCTGTCTGAAGAAAAATACACATTTTAATGTCCCTCTTCAGCCGTGCCTGCTGAGAGCTCTCCTGGGATGATAAGTGAAAGTGTTTGGATTTTTTTTTAAGTTTTAAAACTCTGCCAAAGCATTGCTCAGTGTATCTGGGCAGCCCCTTCCGGCAAAACGCAGCAGTAGCAGAGGCAGCTTCTGAGAGCCTGGGCAGGCAGCAGCTGGCTGACCAAGTCCACTGGAAGAGAAGGCTTGTGCCAGCCGGGAGAAGGAAGCCGGGGACAGGATGAAAGCAACAACACCTTTGCAGGTGAAGTTGGGGGCCATGCGGGGAGGGACTGCAGCTGCATATACTTTGCAGCAAGACCCATGTAAAGCTGGGGTGTGGCCAAGAGCTGCTCCCCTGGAATGCAGACCTGGGCAGCCAAGACAATAAGGGATAGAGGCAAAGAATGGGAAAGAGAGCAGGAAAAAAAAAAAAAAAGCCGTGGTAAGATTGGAAACAGTCAAAAAGAACTAACGATAAAGTGTGGGGATTTTCTTCTCTCCTTGACTTTACATTCTTATATGGGGATTATGTGTTTTATATACAGACAGAAGAGTTTAAAATGGATTATTCTCAGCATCTATATTACAATTGAAAGCCAAAAAGTAAATCTGTACAGCAGTTACTGGGGTTTTAGACTCTTTAGATTGAGGAAACGTTGAATGTGATATGACATTCTAACAATCTGTCTTGAAACTGACGATTGCCATATTTATGTGCCAAAGAAAAGTTCAGGGATTATGACCAATATTCTTCATTTTATGATGATTACATGTTTCTGGTGATGATGTTTTCTTGTTCATTTCCCTTCTAAGATTTCTGACTCAAAATGGTTAAATTTGAAACTTTCTTCTAATTATATAGGGATAGACAGTCAGACAGAAATGGTGTCATTGGTTTTGTGTAACTGGCACTTGAGGCATAGTATAGACAAAATTAAGAAAGCCCTGATTCTATGTAGTTATAGATTCTGTCTGAGAGGATTTTATCAAAGATATCTGGGTATGTTTTTAGGTCAATAAATGATATATAATGGACATGCAAGCCTGGTCCATGTTTTCTTCCTTTATAAGACATAATTTCCTTAACTAACCAGACTTTGCCTGGTTAGTTTCAAAAGGAAAAACTGAGATGCTAGAGATGGTTGATGAAAATTAAATCATCTTAAAATTTTTAAAATGTTTATCAACTGCCAAATCAAAAGCACGTTTGGGTATGCATAAGCAAACACACTAAACATTTAATGCCAGTTTCCCTTCTATAAAATAGAAAACACAATATAACCAATGCAGAAGTTCCTTATAAGGAACTGTAATTTTTATGCACAATTGTTGTCTTACTTGGACCTTTAAAACTTGACAAAGAAGGTCCAGGTCTATGAGGACTCTCCTCTTACACTGACTATACAGCCCTCCAGAGTACATCCCCATGTATAGCTGTGGTTATAAATGTCAAGTCAGGCTGTCTCTGAGCCACAGCAGGCCAAGACTCTCCAAGGTTGTTTTTCTTTCTCATGTGTAGAAAGTAATGATGATCAGATTCAGTGTATTTGCCAAAGGCGGTACTGTCACAATGTACCATGCTGCAGTATCGTTTTAGACAGCCAGCCTATGCCGAGGAAACAGAATTTTGTAAAGTCATCCAGAAACTCTAGAAAGCCAAGAGTCAACAAACAGTACTTTTGAGCTATTTTAATGCAGGGAATCAGCTCTCCAGATTGCCCTCTCTCATGTGACCTGGGACATCTATGTGAACCTTTCAGTGCTGTTCTTCAAAACAACAAAAATCGCCAGGGCTCAGCTCCCATGAGATTGTGTCATTAAGGCCAGCTAGTTAAGTGAAATACAAGATTCTTTTCTTCTACTTCCAATATAACACTTGTTTGAGTATTTTCAAAACTGAAAAGGAGAAAAAAATAGAACAGAGTCACTGTATACTGCTATGTAGAAAATATGTCCTTTTTTATCTTTTTTGAAATCTCTGCGTGTTAAATCAGTGTAGAGTTCTGATGTTTTGAAAACTGTAGGAATGTAAAAATTCAGGTCTATTTAGTCAAGGTTGTAGAAAAAACGGCATAGTGAATTGCTAGTAGCTATTTTTCATGCAAAATGATTTTACGTACAAAAGTAAACTTCCTGAAATTTGAGTAGACTATTTTCTTATTCTCAGCCTTAGGCATAGCGATCTCCATGATGGCATTTACAAAAGGAACTTTAAATGCTTAGAGTACTTCTTTTAGAAAGGGACATAGAGTTTTCGTATTTTATTTTTCCAGCTTCATATTTCCCTTTGCCAGCAGGGCATTTTCTGGCATCTTTGTGCTCACCATATAAAGCTAGCAGATGGCATCACTGTGAGATCCTACCTGATATAGGCCCTCCAGCAAGTGAAGAAAAAAAAACCTGTCTGTCAACATGTATTGCCATATACAGTGATAGGACTTACTTAGTAGGCTTCCTTGTTGCCATCAGCACGTCCAGGAAAACATTTTTGCACAACACTATGTTGTATTTTCTGTTGCTTTGGTACAGTAAAAGAAATGAGGTTTAATGAAAGAGAAATCAGTCCTTTATAAAAATAAACTTTCTTGAAAGATACATGTTTAGCAACTTTGAACCAGCAAATAATAGACCTTTGCTTCACCACTGCAATCCCTTCCACCATGTCCCGTCCTTTGACTGAATAGTCAATCAATAACCTCAACTCTTCCATGGAGAAAGAGCCGAGAATGAAGAGCTGACTCATAACGAAGTCAAGTGGCCCTTCATGTTAACCTGTATTTGGGGTGATTTTTCAGAATAATATATTCTCAGAGGTCAAAATAAATTTAGATATAGCACAAAACCCTTAATGTCCAGAGGAAAAATGCAGTGACCACATTTCTGGGGAAAAAAAGATCAGGCAATAAAATCTAACCCAAAGCTCAGTCTAGTAAGTATAAGAATGCTTTCGTATCAGTCCTAACAGAAGTTTTTAAATCGAGATCTGTCTTGGAACGTCTGGTGTGTTTAGTTACTATAAGCAGAATCATCAAGCCTGTTGCCCAGGTAGCTCTCAGAGAGTTGGGGTAAGATCTTGCCAAGCAAAATCTGTGAGTACGATTATAAAAGCATGTGTCTACTTTTACAGGTATCCAGAAAGGCAGAGCTCTATCCAATAGGCTACGTTCATTCATTATTTCATTCTACAAATATTTGCAGTTCCCTAGTGTTATTATTTATTGAGTAGTTGTTATATTCTAGGCATTGTTCTAGGTCTTGTGTATACATTGTCTCATTCGATTTCCATAACAATCCTATGATTTAGATATAATTATGTCACTTTAGAGAGGAGAAAACTGAGGCTCAAGAAGGTGACATGACTTGCCCAGATTCGTATTGCTAGGGTGTATTAAGCAGCAATTTAAGGAACCAAGATTTGAATCTTAGTTCAAGACTCTACATTAATTTCATCTTTCCACTACAGCCTACTGCTCCCCTCATGTCCGACGCCTGGATCCGTAAGGACTTCTACTCTCAAGGAACCTACAATTTTAGCCGAGCAAATGTTGTATACACTCTGTTATCATATTAGCATTTTTGAAGCAATATCTACATTCTTAAATTTTCCGTAGGACTCTGGGATGCCTACTACATTCAGTATTTTAGTAGCTTAGACTAGTAAATAGCAAATTTATTTCTCTAGAGCCACACTGATCAGAATACAATTTGAGTCAAAAATATTCCCCAGTTAATTCTGAAAACACTGTCTTACAGAACATTCAATAAAAAGCATCTAAGGATAATGATCATTATCTACCAAAAGGAGTTAAACAAATTAGTACAACAATAACTTACATTAAGTGAACTTTATATATTTGTGCAAATATCAACTCTCTAGTGCAGGGTACAGCTATAACTTGAAAAAATAAAACCATAGCATCTAATGTTCCAACTCAGCCTAAATTCAAACACAAGGCCATATGTTTACAAACTGCACACATAACTAAGTAAATTGCTGAAACTGTCATGAAGCCATAGCAAAGAGTCAGAACATTTTATCACAGAATGGGACTCTGTTATTAAGAACATAAAATAGAGAAATGAAAACACTGAGAAGCGATGTTGATTGGAAGCCAGTTTGTAACCATTGGACGCTCTCTTCATTACAGACAGTCGACCGGCCCAAGGACTGGTACAAGACGATGTTTAAGCAAATTCACATGGTGCACAAGCCGGGTATGTCTGCTGCTCTGCTTTCTGATGAGGTCCTTGTGGGTTGAAGGGACTACATTCGTCTTTTGCATCGGTTTGATTCACACACAATGTCAAGACCCCAGCAAACTCCGTGTCCCCTTTCTTTTCAGCATGCCTCCTGTTCTCCTTCTGTCACCCCTCCGGTGACAGATCCCTGTGCCTCTGCCTCCCACCTGAGCTGCCAAGAAGCCTCCCCATGGAGGACAACCAGGCACTCTGGCCTCAGCCCTCCATCCTCCCCTGTCCACAGTCTAAATTGGTGTGTTGCCTGGGTGAAAAACACATTGTTCCTCTGTCCACCCCTGTCTGCTCTCATCAGGAGAGTGAGCCTGCGCGGGTCTGCCTGAGCCTGCTCTGTAGACAGGAGACCACTAAAGCACTTAGTAAAGGAAATTTGCGATCCAGAGCAGAGAGGTTTCTGGGGAAGCGAGGACAAGGGCCTGACTTTGCATGCTACGAAGAGGGCAGCAAGACGAATATGTTACAGATAAAAAAGGGCAGTTTGCAGAGGCCTGTGGTGGCACACACCTGTAATCCCAGCTACTCAGAAGGCTAATGTGGGAGAATGATTTGAGCCCAGGGGTTGGAGGTTTGGAGGCTGCAGTAAGCAATGATCACCACTGCACTCCAGACTGGACGACAGGGTAAAACCCTGTCTCTTAAAAAAAAAGAAAAAAAGAAAGAAAATGGCATTATGAACTAGGAAAAATACGTTGCTTTTCTAACAAATTTCTGTTGTTTGTCTGAAGTTCTGCTGTCTCGTTGTCCTTTGGTGACAATCTATATTACCATAATATTTATGTTTCATTTTCTAGATGATGACACAGACATGTATAATACTCCTTATACATACAATGCAGGTAGGATGGGTTTCCTTGCTCGCAATGACTATTTTATGCTCAGCAATGTTTGGAAGAACGACACGGTCACCTTTTTTCCCCTTCTGTTTGAGCACATGTTTTCAGTTCATATATTAGGAGGAGGATTTCTTTTCTTTTCTCAGAGCGTGCATAACAAAAGGATTGACTTTTCTCATGGAAATGAGAACTAATACTGGTTTATCTCATTCATTCCCACTGTTGGTTTATTCTCAGCTTCAGGAATGTTTAACCAAAGTGTGAAGGATAGGCTGAAAGGACACACTGTAACCCAGGGTACAAAATAAGATAAAGATCTTTTATCAGCAGAGAGAATGATTACAATTGTGTAAGATCTTTCAGATACACTTCACCAAAAACAAGTCAAACAAAGTATTCTGTGACCTTGTCCCTGCCTTTTGCTCCAAAATGCAACCATTCATTGAAAGAGTTTAAAAATCCCCCTTGGCGGGGCCACTTTTCTGACTCAGAATTGCCAGTGGTCACAATAGAATGGCTTCAGTTCCAGGCACTGCCACTTGGATTGGCGAGCCTTGGTATCTCGTGCAGGGGTCTGCAGGCTGGAAGGAGGGACCCCTGACAAATGTTTTTCCCTTCATCACTTTCTCCTGAGTGTTGCCTCGGGATTCTGCCCAGGGCTCCTCTCCCTGCCCAGTCACAGGCTCAGGACAGGTGCACAACTATTTTTTTTCTTCTTTCTTTAGACCAGGCTCGGAGGCTGGCACTGCTCCCCTCCCCTTCAGCAGCTGCAACCTCACTTGGGGTCCTCTGGGCAGCCTGGGGTCGCATGATCCTCCTGTTCTGCACCCCTGGAGACCACATTCAGGCCCTTTAACTATTTGGGATTGTGCTCCTATCTCCAAAGACAAATTGATAGAGGGAAAATCAGTAGAACAAACTCAGCAAGCCCTCTGGGTTTAAGTCTTGGCTCGCCCCACTGATAGCTTCAGGCCCACAAAGATGTTTCCCTTAATTTCATCCCTGCTCCCACGCCCACCAAACTCACCTCCTTTATTTAGCTCAAAAGTTGAAGTCCGACTGTTGAATCCAAGCAAAACTGTAAGTGTAGATGTTGTCTCTTTTCATTTGCTGTGGAAATGTGCATGGACTTTCAGGAGAAGCGAACGGGTACAAATAGAATTAGCTCCAATGATTGGGTGCAGGAAAATTTAGAATTTTTATAACTGTTTTAATATTGAGGTTTGTGTCACATTAGTGATTAGTGAATGGAACAGCAGTGATATATTACTTTGTACAGCCCTACAAGCTGATCATTTGATCAGTGGACGAGTCAACTGCAGCTAGTCTCTTTGCTCTCTACTAACCGTGCAAGCCATGGCTTCACACCTTGCACTTTTCTGCCTTTTTTTCTATACCATCCCTGCTCCCCTCTTGCCCTGCTCACCGAAACTCATTCAGGGCTGACTCTGGACTCGTGGGTTCCATAATACCTTCTCTGAGCAATCTACCACCTACTAGCATCCTTTAATTCTTACTATGTGTTTTCTTCATTTGGTCTTTATTATCTTTTACCAATTATTTTCCATCATAATTCTATTTGTGTCTGATTTTCCCAGGTGCACTCTAAGCATATTGAGGACTCATGTTTCCTTGTACCTTGCACAGCACTTTATAAACACAACTGTGTGCAATATTTTGTTTGACTACAATTAGCATGTCAATTTTCATATGTAAATCAGGGTTTTTAAAGTATTAGAAGATATTTGGAAACAGTTCCGTTTTTAATCTTGCTCTGAAAACTGAACTATTTTCTTAGTGTATACAATTGAAGAGAAAATTTGCTGAGTGCTTATAAGTCTATTCCTAGTACCAGTCTGAATTATTACTAGTTCTGAAATAATTGACAAAGATTTACTGTAATCAGGGCTTAGGTACAGAATAAATTTGTAATTAATAAATTAATGGAAATTAGTACATTAATATTAATAAATTAAGAAACTACCTTCTAATGTATGCATTATGAATATGCTTATTGATAATAATTTCTATGCAATCATTGGCTATTTTGAGGGGGACAAATAATTTAATTCATTTTTAAGAGGTGATTTGCTTCTGTTTTTTGTCTGCTTTTGTTTTTTGTCATGATAGGTCTGTACAACCCACCCTACAGTGCTCAGTCACACCCTGCTGCAAAGACCCAAACCTACAGACCTCTTTCCAAAAGCCACTCCGACAACAGCCCCAATGCCTTTAAGGATGCGTCCTCCCCAGTGCCTCCCCCACATGTTCCACCTCCAGTCCCGCCGCTTCGACCAAGAGATCGGTCTTCAACAGAAAAGTAAGGCATTTCCCCCCAGGGTGGCCTATGTTTCGCTTAGGATAAAAATAAGTCTACATGGCATTCAGTAGAAGAATCAGTGCACCTGCCACAGAGAGAGCGGATGTGTAATCTTGCTAGTCTATACATATACCATATTGACCTCCTCTGCTGGGATTGTAGCAAATGTTTTCCCTGTCTTCTTTCATGATACTGGAGTGCCCTAAATTAGACTTGAAGTAATATGGACACATTTTCTGCTTTTTGATCAATACATACATATAAGAGACAAGTAAATAGAAATAATGGACATGTACTTCCTTTGGCATACCAGGTTACAGGCTATGCAGTTCATTTTCTGTTTCCCCAGGTCTATTAATAAGAGACATTTTTGAAAGCAGGGAAAGTTATTCAAAAATCATAATGAGGCATTAGTTAATAAGTGTCTGTGACTTGTTTCTACCAGTTTTTCAAGCTAATACGAGTTTTCCTTTCTCCACTGAAATATTTTTATACAAACTATCTACATGAAAATAAAAATTTATAAACACTTTTTTATTGTGTTATTTTTACTGGGATTATGACTAATACTTCTACTTATAGGTAACCTTCATTGAGCGCTCATTACAAGCCAAGCACTAGGCTAAGTGCTTTTTCTGTGTCATATCATTTGATTCCGAGAACAACCCAGTGAGATACTTTCTATTTTAAAGAGGAAGAAACTGCAGTTTAGAAAATGGTAGGAACTTACTCAGCTCATGCAGCTCGTTATGTCCAAGCCAGGGTCCAAGCTCAGCTCTGATTAAACCCAAGGCCTATGCTATCCTAGCAATTAATAAATAAGAATATAAAAATTATTTCTTATTAATACTGGTTATTAAGTGTTATCATACCCATTCCAGAAAAATTGTATTCAACACCCTATTGTACCATTAAGAGTAATTGATGATCAGGCCAGGCGTGGTGGCTCATGCCTGTAGTCCCAGCACTTTTTTTTTTTTTAAATGGAGTCTCACTCTGTTACCCAGGCTGGAGTGCAATGGTGTGATCTTGTCTCACTGCAACCTCCGACTCCCGGGTTCAAGCAATTACCAAGTAGCTGGGATTACAGGCACCAGCCACCACGCCCGGCTAATTTTTGTATGGTGTTTCACCACCTTGGCCAGGATGGTCTTAACTCCTGACCTCGTGATCCACCCACCTTGGCTTCCCAAAGTGCTAGGATTACAGGCGTGAGTCACTGCACCCAGCCAGTCCCAGCATTTTGGGAAGCCATGGTGTGTGGATTGCCTGAGGCCAGAGGTTCAAGACTGGCCTGGCCAACATGGCGAAATCCCATCTTCACTAAAAAAAAAAAACAAATAAAAATTTTATAATAGAGTAATTGATGATCATATAGGGCACAGCATCCCACCAAAACACACACATCGTGTGTGAAAGGGGTCTCATTTTAATACCAATCTCCTCAGGATGAATTATGTGAGGCCTTAAAATTGAGAAACAGTTTTCTAGACACAAATTGTTATCTTTGTCATCAAAAAATAACCAAAATTAACGTTTTGATTTAAAGGTATTACCCATCTGATATGTTTTGTTAAAATTAAATATCTCATTAAAACATATGATAACCTCCTAAAAAATTCCATATGGCTTTCATATGTATTATCTCATGTAATGCTCAAAACTCCTCTGCAAGGAAGAACAACACATTATTGCTGTCTGTGTTTTACACAAATGGAAAAAAATGAAGACTGAGAAAGTTTAAGGGGTCTTGCTCCATATCAGTCATGAATTTAGTAGAAAGCTAGGGCTTGTCCCTAATTCTGTCTCTTAGAGTATTTCTATTTCCAACGGGCCATGGAGCAAGAATTTCATTCCATTCCATGGAAGCAGAATTACCCCTATCTACAGTCAGAAAATCCTTCCTCCTAAAAATCATGGCCCCTGGGAGGCTGAGGAGAGAGGATGGCTTGAGCCCAGGAGTTTGAGTGAGATGGCAGCGAGCTGTGATCACACCACTGCACTCCAGCCTGGGCAACAGAGGAAGACTCTGTCTCGAAAAAAAAAAAAAAAAAGAAGCCTTCTTCTTTAGCTCAGTAGCCTAGAAAAGCTTAATTTTGTGAAACCCTTTTTTGAAGCTTTCCTTCGTAAGTCTTCTGACAGCCTCTTGGAAGATATTCCTTGGGGGAAAAGTGCTGGTTCCCATGAATGAGATGTTTGACTCTGGTTTTTCAAGGCTCACACCAAAAGACGACCTCCTGTTCCACACTGCCTGCTCTGGTGCACGCCAACCCACATGACACTTCTGTGCTCTTCCCAAGCGATGATCCCACTTCAAGAAATAAGATCAAACATGGTGTGTGCATTACTCCTTGTCACTTTGGATCAAGGATCCCAAAGGTCACAAAGTGGTGGGTTAAATGCTCATAGTTCAGCAGAGCATACTGCCACCTATTTTAAGCACAAATATACACAGCTGCCATTAGGAACCCAGGGACTCACTCTCTGCGCGTCTACAAACCCCTCATGTGACTTTTGGAGCCAGTGGCGGGGGAATGTGGTATTTTTCACAGGTTAACTTTTTATCCTGAGAGATTTTTTTTAAAACTATGCTAAAAGTAATGTTGAAAACAGATAACTGGTTTTACACAATTGCTTTAAGCAAAAAGGATTATTTTAATGTGTGATTTATTGTTTATTTCTAGGCATGACTGGGATCCTCCAGACAGAAAAGTGGACACAAGAAAATTTCGGTCTGAGCCAAGGAGTATTTTTGAATATGAACCTGGCAAGTCATCAATTCTTCAGCATGAAAGACCAGTAAGCACTTGTCATTAAACAGAATATGCCAGCTCGCTGGGCTCCCAGGGCTCCCCAATAAACCTGAATTTCAGACCCATTAGCAATTTTTGTCACAAAGGTAATCACTTAGAAATCATGTTTATTTTGTATAATGATTTGTACATCTCATCTCAGAATTGAAAGATACATGTTCTAATATATTGTCTTTACTGACCAAATACAAGTGTATGTGTGTGTGTATGTGTGTGTATTTATATATATATATATACACACACACATGCAGGTGTATATACATACACATATATACACATGTGTATGCACACACATATATATATTTATATGCAAGATTCATTTGCATGTAACTCTAACTGTGCCTAATCATTAATCAGAGTTTAACTTTTAAAAAAGTTCATAAGTGCAATACTTAATTGCTATCATAGCTTGCTAATGAGAAAAATCATTAATTAATCTCCCCAATATACATGGACCCAGGCAGTTCCATCCCTTGTTTTCCATATTGGCTTTTTAATATTTCTTTGGATGAAGGGAGAATTTTCCAAATGCCCTTTTCATAACAAGTTGTTTTAATTGCTTCTTATTAAATCCCTCCTCAGGTTACCAAGCCTCAAGCTTCCTGATTGATTGTCATTCTAATGGATCAAGATTATATTTCACTTTGCAGGATTTTTTCCAATTATTTAATTATATGCAAACAAAAATATCTATACACTTAAGAAGAACCACTTGCCTCCTCGAAGCGCAGGTTCACACATAGGTCTTCCCTTGGCCTTCTTTGGTTTTGATTCCCCAATACTCCCTTGCATGTCCTTTGCTTCCCCTCAGAAATCAGTGTCCTCAGGATTTTCTTTGAAACTCCACAGTTCCTCTGCATCTCCTTCCAAGCCTACTTCTAGGAAAACATTTGCAATCAATTGCAATTTACTCTCATTTTTGCTTTAAAAGAATTTTAGGTGTCAGTGAACAGGAAAAAGAGAGTTTTCTTTGTGGAGCTCCTTCAAGAGTCTCCAAGAAATCACACTCATATATAATCCAAGGCCAGCCCTGTGGTTTAATTGGAAACTCTAGCCTTGCCACACCCAACATGAGTGTCCTTGATTGAGTCTTTGAAACCCTGTGTTTGCGGTTGTGTTCTGGAGAAGCATGTTCAAAACCTTATCATCAGATAATTCATACATGATATTTGTCTAAGCCTTCTTACCCTTTCTTTAAATAACTCATATCTTTTAGAGTAACAGGACTACAAAAGAAAAACTGAAAGAAAAAAAAAATCACTGATTTGCAGGCACCATTGCAAACTTGTAACCCATTTACTAGTTTCTGTGATTGAGTATCATGCTACTCTGAAATTTCCAGAATGAGAATTGAGTGAAACACAATGTCATCATTGCAGAAAATTGAAAACAGTGAAATAATATATCTCAGATTTAAATTAAATAACAAAATTTTAATGATCTTTCTAGTAATTTATGAGACTCTTAGGATAACGAACATGGTAATGGTATTGGAATGCTTTGGTAGCCGTGGTGTCAGGAAACAGGATTGGTTTTAGACGCTCTCCCACCACGATGTTTCTATTATTTAGTCATTCAGTAAAACTGACTGAGCACCAGCTACATGCCAGGCTTTATGTGAGGTGCACAGCGGGGAACAGGACACACTCTCTACCTTGAGGAACTTCAAGTCTATCATTTAATATCTATGCAAGACTAGATCTGAGTTTGTGCAAAGTAAACAGCCTCTTATATGGTTAAAACAGACGCACACCTAAAAAACCCTCCCTTTGCTCCCTTTAGGGTTTATACATTGACCCTATCATTGTTATTGAAATTGTCACATTACTCTTGTCTTTGGGTTAAAAAAGACTTTAAAGACTCCTCGTTTTACAATAGCAATAATAATAGCAATAGCAATCATTGTAAATCTTTATTGAGCACTCACTATATGCCAGGCGCTGTAATTAGTAATTTATGCCTTATCTCATGTAAAGTTTCCAGCAGCCCTATTAAGCAGACACATGGCATTTCCATGTTACAGATGAAGAGACTGAAACACACATTAGCTCGCCTTGCCCCAGGGACACATGGTGGGAGCCAGAACTAGGAGTTGAGCCCAGGCATACTGATGCCTGGTGCACTTGGTCGCTGCTGTACAGCCACTCCAGGTGTGGCTGAGCAGGAAACACATTGAAGTAGCAGTTATTTGATTCCCTTATTTGATGATTTTGCAGTATAAATTAATTTATTTATTGGCTAATTTACAATAAAGTATACTTGATTTACTTTATCAGAAACTTAGGCCCTAAGTAGTTACCACACAGGACCAGTAGATGTGACTGGTTGTAAGACAGGAAACTCTGGAGCCATGAGTGTGACAGAGATTCGAGTGTGGATAGGTCTCTGCAGCCACAGGAGAAGATAAGTAGAAGGAACTTAGAAACTTGGAAGGAAGTGAGAATGGCTATCTTATGGAGAAATAGAAAGAACCAAAAATGTTAACCCTCCTAAACAATTTTGGAGAGGACCAGCCTTAAGCAGAATGGTTTGAGCTGGCCATATGGGACATGTTGGCCAGCCTTTCCAGTGTAGGACCAGCTCATCATCTTTTTAAAAAAATTAGTCCTGACTTCGTTTCAATTGCCTCTATAAATTAGAAAACAAAAAGAGCCAAGTGGGCCGTGGTGATGTAGAGACTGGCCGCGTACTGATATAGTTTACATAAGATTCTGAAGTGTTGAAAATACAGGCTAGAGGTTGAAGAGCAGGCGTGCTGAATGAGAGTGGCGTCGCAGCGATGGCCAGCGCTGAGGGGTATCAAGGTCTTATTCATGCATTCTCATGTCTTTTGACTCCAAGATGCCTTGGAAGCATTCCTTTGCTCTTTTCATTTTCAATTTTTGAAAAATATACACAACACCTGGGCAATTCTGTGTTGCTCTTTTGAATCTCTACATGGCCTCTCCATCTGCCCACTTTTCCAAAGGGTCATCTTGGGTTTTCCCCTCTCCTGCAGTGGACTCAGTGTCGCCTGCCAGGAGAAGTGCCACTGCTGCTCCTCTCTTCTGGCCCACAATTGTCCGTGCCTGGGCTACAGTGACAGCCACCTGATTCATTTCCCTACCTCTCCAGTCTAGTCTCCACACCACAGCGAAGGCAATCTTTAGAAAATCTTTATAAAACCTCCAGCTCAAAATTTTCTCTGGCTCTTCACTGTCCTTCGAGCAAAATCTGAAACCCTGAGCATAATTTATAGAAGACCTGTGACTGGGCTCCAGCTGACCTCTCCAGCCTCATCTCTCCTCCCACCCTCCCTGCCTCGCTAGGTTCCAGCTGCACAGAGAACTTTCAATTCCCGCATTGCTGGGCCTCTGTAAAGGCTGCACCTCCCCACCAGGAAAAGCTCTCCCCACCACCTCTTCCTTCACATGGAGAATTCTATCCCATCCTCCAGGTCCCAGCACAGTCCCACCTCCCCCAGGGAATGTGCCTGACTCCTCTGCATTAGGTTGGAGGCTCTCCCTGCTGTGTGCCCATGGCACACTGTGTTCCTCATGAGATCTTGAGCTTCTTGAAGGCGAGGGCTGTGACTGGTCCACCAGTTGTATCCCAACACCTGGGACGATGCCTGGCCTGTAGCAGGTGTTCAGTGAATATGCATTCGTGGAATTTCTAAGTGAATGAAGGAACACAGGTTTCACCCTTGCAGTCAGTGGAAAAAGTTGGTGAGGGACTGAATCCTTGTTCTGTTGTTTATCCATGAAGCCTATATATTTCTAGTGCAAAAGGCCCAGTGGGTCTCAAAACATTCTTGGAGGGGTTTGACACACTGCTATTAGTAGTGACTCATAATTCCACGATTCCCTGGGATACAGAGAAGGCAGGGGGGTAGTACTGTTTGAACAAAAATCTTCCCAAGACCCTGGCAAAGAGATCTTCCTTAGGAATCAGTGGCATATGCGTTTATGTTCTTTAACAGGGAAAGTAAAAGTGAGCGCACTTTTTTGAAGCTCATAAATACTCATGTGACTGTAAATTTAGAAATGTTAATTAATTGGGCCTAATGTTTGATCTGGAAAAGTACTTAGCAGTCACCAGGAATTTGCCTTGAACTGACTCGAACCACAAATCAGAACCGTATTTCCACAATTTAATTTTTCCATGAGACAATCATAAAAACTCTGCTGGGATTATATTACTAAAACCTTTATATCCCATTGCATTGGATATGTTTGTAGGTGAGTAATGTTAAATTTAAAAAAAAAAATTAATAAAGCATTTGTTTAGGACCTCTGTATGCTTGATAAAGTAAAAAAAAAATATATGAAAATGTTACCCTAACCTACAATAACTAAACTTGAACATAATGATAAAAGCAGAAGAAAATAGTCATTGAAAACACTGTAGCAGAGTTGAAATGCAACTTAAACCCTTAATGAACTTAAGCTTCTTTATCAATAAAGATTGTCAGTCAATACTTAACTATAAAAATTTAAGGAGTTTCATCTGATGACCATTAAGAATTATCCCAACTAATAATGTATATAGCATTTATTGTGAAACCACAATAAATATAAAACACGGTAGTCAATGTCATTAAAACTTAAAATGGAATGAGCGTAATTTGAAAAACAAAATAGCCCTGGCACTTCTTTTTGTTTAGAACAACGTATAGAAAGCACATGCCTCACTGAGAATACTTAGTGGAATCTCGATAACCACAAAAGCAATTAAATGCTTTTAAATTATAGAAAACACTAAAATTTTTAAAGTTGTTCACCCTTGGTAGCTTTTAAGTAAGGATCACTTGTGATTTATAGTTGTAGCTTTTCTTGAACACGTCCTCTTGCACTGATGACTAACAAAGTTAGTTTTAAACGGAGGTTTGCTGGTGGGTTTTTTTTTTTTTTTAATGAAAAGAAACAACAACAAAAAAATCACACCAAGGCTAGAAAGATGCATATCAGTATCTTTGCTCTTTTGCCTTTTATGAGCAATTAGAGTAAACCATAATCATACCTCCTAAATGAGTTTCTGAGTGTTAATATTAGTGCTGTACTCAAAGGAATGTCCATGTTCCACATGGAAAGTGTTAAATTACTGAGATTAGTGATTTGTGTGTATATCCATCTGTTGACTGACCATCTGTATGTGTGTCACTGACTGTTGCGAGGCTTCTGTGTTCCTTAGCAGTGCCTCCAGGTCACCATAGGACATTTAATTATTGCATGACTTAAAAGATTCAATACGGCAACCACAGCAAAGAGAAAATTCTAGTTCTGCCACTAACACTTCCTTTAACACAACTCTGCTCAAACATGTGCCTTTCATTGCATTCCAAAGTTATCGATAATTACCAGCTATCATTGTTTTGGGTGTTTTCTCTGCTAATTTCTATTGGCATGCATTCTAGATAGTTGCCCATTGTAACTATAAATTGACTATTTAAATAAACAAAAGCATAATTCATGGAAAACTGCCATTCTAAGGTATGATGCAAGATGGTAGATATTCTGCTTCCTTTTCCATATTCTATCATAGAGATGCATTACTATAAATCAGGACTTGGTATATCCATTTGTTACATATTTTCTTAATGTGGGAGTCAAAGTGAAGCTACATAGCTAACAAGTCTTATTCATTTAGTAAGTTGGCTGCCCTCTGCTGTTCATAATGTTTCTTAAACAGATTCGTTTCCTCTAAGAGAAGTTTCTATCTCCCCTTGGCAAAACAAAATACTATTCTTGAAAACAGAAGTTATAATAATTAATGATATCATTCAGTGTGTAACATTAGAAACTATGAAGTTTAAAAGAGTCAGAGGTTAGTTTTCCTGTAGAAGAAATAGTATGTCTCTCTAAACAGAAGAGAAATTACTGGAAATTCTCTCTCCTGTCAGTTACCCTAAAAACCAGCTCCAGCAAAGCCATTTCACGAACAATTATGCATCTATAATGATCTAAATAATAATTGGAGAAAAATAGTATTTTATGGACATTAAAATCTCAATTAATACTATTGCAACTATTGAATCAAATATAAATTGAATTAAATTTTTAAATTCAACAGAAAATAGCAAATTGGTTACTAGAATATTTTGTCTCTACCAATTTCACTATTACTTCTGAGGTGTAAACCAAATATAATACTGGCATAAAGAAGGAAAAATATCTCAAGATTTCTAGGCATTTTCCTATGTCTAATAGTAGGATGTTCTCTCTGAATTTATTTATTACAAAAATAACATTACAACAATAAAGCAAAATAATATTTAAAAGAAAGAAAAAACAAACAGTCGCAATACCAGAACACCATTGTAGTCGTTTGTGTATGTGTGACTTCTTTACTGTGTTCATGCAGAGACAAGCTTTGTAATACCTTTGTAACTACTGTACAGGTGCGTGGTTAGATTCCGTTTTGACTGCTTGGTATCTCATTGTAAGCATTTCCCAGGGACACTACACAGTCTTTATAATTATGATCACTACATCTTTTGGATAACTTAGGCTTTTGCACTATTTTGTCACGATGCCTCAAACTTTTCTATCATTGTCTGTAATTACTCCTATAATCTTTTATTATAAAATATTGAAACAAAGTCACATCACTAAAAACACTGTGAGTATAATTTATTAGTAAGTGTAGACTGTGTATCATTAGCAAAACTTGTAAATGCAACGAGTCAATAAAACAGTAGAACAATGTCAAAATCATGGCTTTTGTTGGAATATGGAACATTTCAAGCTCCCAGCACTGCGAAGGTTACATAGCATTTTTTTCACAACCAAGATGTCGCTATTCAGTTTAAGTCCCTGAGTTTCTTTAAGAATTGTAAGCAAATGATATTGAATTGTTCTGAAGCAGTGAGCACTTAATAGTCCTCCTAGAATATGTCTTGGGAGTCACAGCTCCTCTCCTAGCCAGAGTGAATGGCTTTTAGGGAACCATATAATTTTTCTTAGAATTTTTTTTCTGACTTAAGATACTGTACTCTTCAATTGTACCACATTTAATTAGTGTCATATAGTAATTATCAAAGAAGTAATAACTTGTATATAGTACTTTAAGCTCTTAGATTTACTACAAAATCAGCAGCCTAAATCAATCTAGTCAGCCATGTATTATTTGAAAATATTAAGGACACTGCTGGGTAAGGTAAACACTCTACATCTGTTTTCTATTACTAGAATAATTGTATGTATTTTCTCCAACTGTTTATATTAACACTGCTAGTTTTTTCATCTTAAAAACAACATTCAGAAACCTCTGCAGGGAAGCAGGTCAATTATAAAACTGGCTTTTTCTCTAAATTAGAACATCGAGGAAACCAAGATGGGATTTTACCCCAGGCTCCCTCCCCTTCCCCGCCATCCACGGTATTGTGAAGAACCAGATCCCCTTCTCAGCTCAGAGCAGGCAGCCGGGAGGTGAATCCTGGGGATCCACTCCTGGTGGGCAGGGCTTCGCAGCGGCCCGGATCGCTCCCGAGGCGTCTGGGTCCCTAGGGACACTTCGCCGTCCGGAGGCCTCTCCCCTCCCGGCCTAACGCAGGCACAGCGCGCTGCCAGGGTGTCCTCGCGGTTCCGCCCAGAGCCTCCATCTAATGAACCAGTTTCTGCACCCCTCTTTCTTGCAGCCCCCTCTCCCAACAACTCCGACACCTGTTCCAAGGGAACCTGGCCGGAAGCCTCTTTCTAGCTCCCGACTCGGAGAAGTCACTGGTAGCCCCTCCCCTCCGCCCCGGAGTGGCGCCCCCACACCAAGCTCGCGCGCCCCGGCTCTGTCTCCCACCCGGGTGAGCTCCTTCCTTCCTTACCTTTCTTCATGCCCGGCAGAGGTGCAGGTGCAGCCCTTGCTTGCTCAGAGCCTGGCGACTCCCACTCCCCCGGGTCCCGCTCGCACCCATCCAGGCCCCAGAATCTTCTCATCCACAGGCCCCTGAGAGCCCCCCAATGCCCTGTCCCCCTCCCCCCAGCTCGCCTGTCTTCCCACCCCTCCCGCACCCTTCCCCATCCCAGGCTTACCACCTGCCTGCACCCGAGTGAATTGTCTGCAGACTGCGGGCTCCCATGCTGGGACTGCTAGCCACCAATGAGGGCAGGGACGATGAAGTGACTCGCCCAAAAGAGCTATTTGGTGACTGGGTTGAGCCTATTCCAAACATCAGGCGTGCCAGCCAGACCCAGTCTCGCTGCCGCAGAGAGTGGTCCATAGTTCATGCCTCAAGCGTAAGTGGATCAACTCAAGCAAGAGTTGCCCACAACTTATGCCAATCAGAAACGATGGACGCAGGAAACAGCTAGGGACCCCCTGCCATGGAGCTCGCCTTCACATCCTCATGCTACTCGTTTTACTTTACTTCCTCCGTTCTCTCCTGCTGAGGTTCGTGGGGTGAGAGTTGATGCATGTTTGCGTGTCAATGCGCGCGTGAGTTTTTCATGCCACACAGCGTTTCCCTCACTTTGCTCAGTGTGCCTTTTCCTTCCCTTTTCCTTCACATCTGCTCTAGACTGATCGCATAAATCCAGATGACATAGATTTAGAAAATGAGCCCTGGTATAAATTCTTTTCAGAACTGGAGTTTGGACGCCCGGTAAGTGAGGCTAGACTATTAATATAAGAAAACTAGGAGTATACTGTTTGATTTCTAAAATACAATTATCAGTAGACGTGGGTGTCATTCAGAGAACAAAGGCCGAATGCATAATGTATACACACACTTGGTACAGCGTAGTCCAGATTCATTTCTGTACCAAATGGTCAAATGTGCTCAGACATTTCCTATGTGGTTTGTAGGTCATTCATTAAGATTTCTTTACATCTAATTCATTACAAGTTCAAAATCTTGAGGTAGTTTCTGTGATGGAATATTCAGACAATTATTACAGCTGTATAGAAGATTTGTATTTGTTTACAGTCTATTTGGTCTAGTTCAAGCAGAAGAGCACCTTGACATTGAGTCCTGTTTGCTGAGCAAACATCAGGCACCTGGAGAGTGCGGGCTTCTGTCTTCATTATCTCCTCGAGGCCTCCTGATGTCCCGCCAAGAAGAAGAAAATGGGGACTGGAGGGGTTAAGTAATGTGCACAAAATAGTAAATGGCAGAGTAAGAAGTTAAACGCAGAGCCTGTTAAAGAAAAATGAAAATCTCTGGGCAGTTCTCACTATAATATACTGCCAGAGTAATCCCACTACAAAATACAGTCACGTGTTGCTTAAGGATGTGGACGGGTTCTGAGAAATGTGTCATCAGGTGGACTTGCCATTGTGCAAACATCGCAGAGTACTTACACAAACCCAGATGCTAGAGCCTGCTACACGCCTAGGCTGTGTGCTATGGCCCGTTGCTCCTGGGCTACAAACCTGTACAGCAGGTTCCTGCACTCCATACTGTAGGCAACTGTAATGCAATGGTAGGTATTTGTGTACCTAAACATATCTAAACATAGAAAAGGCATGGTAAAAATACAGTCTTATAATCCCATAGGACCACCATCATATATAGGTGCATCGTTGACGGAAACGTCATTATGCAACACATGACTGTACCTAGTTTACCATTAGGGATATAAGGAAAGAAAAAAATCAGGAAGTCCTGTGGATCTTAATTTCCAGACTTGCTAGTGAAAGCCATCACAGCTTCTCTAATCCCCAGACTCCCGCCAGAGGAAGCCCAGAGGTTGGGCCTTATTGCTTAGCCTGTTTGGGATAAAGAGTCAACTTGAGGCCGAGCACGGTGGCTCACACCTGTAATCCCAGCACTTTGGGAGGCCGAGGCAGGCGGATCACGAAATCAACAGATTGAGACCATTCTGGCCAACATGGTGAAACCCCGTCTCTGCTAAAAATACAAACATTAGTTGGGCATGGTGGCGGGTGCCTGTAGTCCCAGCTACTTGGGAGACCGAGGCAGGAGAATCGCTTGAACCTGGGAGGCGGAGATTGCAGTGAGCTGGGATCACGCCACTGCACTCCAGCCTGGGCGACAGAGTGAGACTCCATCTCAAAAAAAAAAAAAAAAAATAGTCAACTGGAGGTTCAGTTAACAACTTCCCTGATTAGGAACTGTATCCACCAACAGCAGTGCATTTGATGTGTGTCAGTTACACACGTTTTTATGCGTTTTAGACTCTTAAATAACCTACCAATTACACTGATAGTTTTTTTAGAAATCAGGATATAACCATTTCTATACCATATGCTGATTTATATACTTGCATATGGACCATATATGGTTTACTGATTGGTGATGGTAGTCTCTTTTGTCCATTAAACTGCAAAGGAGACTTGGTTAGACTCAAGGTAGCTTATTGAACTGAATCAAAAGTGACTGTAAACGAATATAAACCAAAGGATTTTTCTTAGGGTTATTATCTCATAGGAGGAATGTTTTCTCTCATTTTTTCTCATTTGTATCTTAGTGTGAATGTAAATGTATTTTATTTCAAGGAAAAACATTCTCTAGCTTTATTTTATATGTATTGTTGCTGTTGGTTAGAAAGTTTATAGGGACGGCCAGGCGTGGTGACTCACACCTGTAATCCCAGCATTTTGGGAGGCTGAGGCAGACGGAACACTTGAGGTCAGGGGTTCGAGACCAGCCTGGCCAACATGGTGAAACCCCTTCTCTACTAAAAATACAAAAATTAGCTGGGCATGGTGGCGTACGCCTGTAATCCCAGCTACTCAGGGGGCTGAGGTGGGAGAATCACTTGAACCCTGGTGGCAGAGATTGCAGTGAGCTGAGACGGTGTCACTACACTCCAGCCTGGGTGACAGAGTGAAACCCTGTCTCAAAAAAATAAAATAAAATAAAATAAAATAATTCAAAAAGAAAGCTTATAGGGACTATTCTGTACTGAGCCTAAGTTATCAGCATTTTCCATAATCATTTTCAGTCACACATGGAAACTCACCAGCATGCTATCCACTTGCTCCTTTAATGTTTCTTTAATTTACCTTGCATTCCTCTGTGGCCAGAGACTAGGAGTGCTAATGAAATTTGACAAAATGAATTTATAAATATACTAATTGAACACTAGCCAATTTTCCCAGTGCTTGAGAATATTTGCAGACGTTGCACACTTCCTCCCAGCTGCCCCCATTTTGCTCCATTCATGTCATTCTGTTTGTGTAGCTGGTGCTGTCAACACTCAATTTCTAACTGTTGTCACCTTTTCCACATGTTCATTCCTTGCTGCCATTGACTCTCCTCCATTCCATCCCTACACTTCTGCTTCTGTGGTGCGTCTACACCCAGCCTCCTAAAAAGCCTCTGGACTATGTTCAAGATCATTCTTCTGGTGTTTTCAATGAGGTAAAAACACGTTATTCTCTCTTTTTCAGATATCTCCCTTAGAGGCTGTGACTGTGATTCTGCACATCTGTGTTTTACAATTCTCTGTAATGTCTAAGCTATTTTTGAAAAAATATCTATCTTTGCATCATTATGTTGCATCCAGTATCATTGCCTGGACATTAATTATACCAGAGTTGTTGGCTATCTCTGGACTCTGGGTGAAGAATCATTCCAACCACAACTGCTAGTTATACTATTCTATGTAGTTCTGGTATTCAGCAGCGTGAAAATTAAAAATCAAAAGTATTAGTCTTAGTGCATATATTAACCACCTCTTTTTATGAGACAGAGTAAAATACTACAAGAAGGCTTCTTAGAACCATTCTATTATAATGCTTGGAGTGTGGATAATCAGATGCCTATGTCCCATATATTTCTAAAATTTATTTTTGTTCTTTCATTTTCCTAAATACAACTTACGGATTGTATTATCAGTCAAGAATAGGGCTGGCAAATACCTGGAAATTGTGTATCACAACTTCCCAGTTTCATACCCATGACAGACATGACTACTCCTTTTCAACACTGTAATCCAGGCAGCCACTATAACAAATTATCATTGGCATATAAAATGAAATGCGTTTGCAATCTCTACTTAAGAGCCTATAATAATCAACTAGGTGAAAAATTTATGGCAGCCAATGTATATTTTTATTTGAATCAGAGTTTTATTTGAAAGAGAGAATGATACAGGCAGAAATGATTCAGAGTCAAAAGCTTGTTAACCTGCTCTCTGCAAAGAAAAGCAGAAAATTACTTTAGAAAGTGGATAAATGACTCATTAGAAGACACAAGCAGAAATGGCACTGTTTTGCTAGCCATCAGCTATATAAAAGCCTCCTTGCAAGGAACTCTTAGAAGCAACTAGCATGGGAACGAAGTAAATAAACTGTTTTTTGCACATTAGTTGCTCTGTGGTCTTAAGTGAATACTATAACACAATAAATATCTTATTTTCATTAAAAGTCTTAAATATGTGCAACTGGGAAACACAACCAGTAGAACCGTTGTGTTGTAGGAGGTACTACTGACACATAGTGGTGACCACTGGAATTGCAGGTATAGAGTCTCAAGAAAATATGCAAATTTCTAGCGTCTCAACTTGCAATTTCAAATTATTTACCCTGTGGTAAACATCAGAGTGTGTGTTAAAACTGAGAAGTGATCAAAATATTTATATATTAAATAAAAGGTAAAATAGAGTAATCAGGAACATTCTGGGTTATTGAATTCAGTTATTTCTAAAGGCTTACATTTTATAGCCAGGCAGGCAGGCATGTAATCTGAAGAAAATCAAATAAAACAAGGGGTTATATTCTGTATGTTATGTTACCTTAATATCTGCAGAAAGAGTCTTATTTCAACATATGAACAACCCAAGAATTTATTTTGAAATTCAATGTGGTCAGATATTTTTCTCAGATATTTCTAGGGTGTTTTTAAGGTAGTTGGTTCATAGATAACTGAAATGGAATTTAGAGTGCATCATGTCCAATTCACTCATTTTTCAGTTAAAAAAAAAAGTAGAGTGCAATAATTTTAAGAAATAAGTCCAAAATCACATGGTAAGATAGTGGCAGAAAAAAAAATATATCTCTCTTAACCTTCATTTCTGTGCTATTTCCTTTATATCACACTTTTCAGCACTTCCAAGATATATATTTAGAGGATAAATCTTTTAAAAACAAATTACTTACTTAATATTATTTCTTGTTAACTATTGAATTCCTGTGAAAAGAGTTCTGTTAATTAATATTACACAATAATTCTTGGGCATAAAAATAGTAGAAACTTAACTCTATGCATTCTATTATGTGATGGTAGTGGCAAAAAAAAAAAAACAACACATAAAAAGCACTTTGCCAGTAGTTGATCTATTTGCCAGTTATCTCTGGGATTGAGAGGGGGTGCTGTATGATTCTAATAGCATATGTTAACTATGTTATTAATTTCACATTATAGTTTTTCAGAATGTAAGAAAATATATTCTCTTAAGGTTCTGGATTTTGTCTTTAATAACCTTTTGTTATTAAACATTTCTGGTAAAAACAAATGTAATTGATTAGACATTACCTTAGCTACCGTTTATCAACTGCCTGGTATATACCATGAATAACATAGATTTTAATCCATAACTGGAAAACTGGCATTAATGAAGAACAGTTACGGATATTTAAGCAAAATTTAATCTCATAGCTACTTAACAGAAAGAGTGATTCAGTATCTGTACTTCACTAAATTGACCTTCTAAGTGTGTTAAAATAATGGTAATATGTAAATAGTAGATCATAACTGGTAAAATTTGTAACCTCTTTTCTGGAGATAATTTTCATTTTGGGATGAGTACACTTCTTACAATTATTGTACAAGTTTTTCTCTCAGTCATCAATCTAGATTTTTTACTCTTATCTTACAATTTAATACTGAACTTTCTCTGAGTGTACATGAAACCGCAAAACTGGTTTTCATTTATTTTGAATGTAGAAACCAGTACAAGGAGAAATAGTAGTTTCTTAGCCTAACCCTAAAACACAATCAGTTCTTACACTATGTTTTATTTCACATTACAATATTGTTTAGGCTCATTATAAGTTGACAATTCAAATTTTCTGATCACTGTAGGGTTGTTCTAAGAGTGTTGTGAACTTCACACTTTTTGGTGATCAGCTGTGTGTGAGGGTGTCCCACGAAAGCCGTGATCTGCACAGACGCCGATGCTCTCAGGCTCTTCAGTGTCGCTCTTCTGCAAACGAGTAGAATTAATATTTCTTAATTGTAATATAACGATCTGATTTTATTTTACTTGTTTGCTTTCTTTCATATTTAGTATCTATTTTTCTACCTTCCCAGTGTCTGATTCAGAGCTCAGCAAATTAAAATAACCATGTACACATATCAGACTAGCAAACCAAACTTTTCTCCTGATTTTATATTTGTTGAGAACCTAGAAATCTAAATATTTTCTAGGAACTAAAAATATTACAATCCACTTTTTCTGTCTAAAAGGAGGATGGGAATATTCTCATGCAGAGATGCTTTTGTTTCTAGACAAGATTCCATTTTCATTTAGTAAGATAGAATTAAATTAAAATATTAGTTAATAGAAGCGTAAGTTATGCAAAAGGGACCTTGTAAGACTGATATACATACAGAATTGCAAAATTGTATTGTTTTAATTGATTAATTGGTGCTAATTTACCAATTAATAGAAAACTGAGTTATAGAAATAGTTTGTAAAGTGAGATTTGATTTCCACTAAGTAGATGTTTAATACTCTGATAAAATGTTTCTAGATGATGGCAACTTAAGACAACATTTGTCAAACCTTGCCTTTCTGGCTGACATTTTTAAGCTTTCATACAGACAAATGTTTTTAAACTAGAATTCCAGTTCTTCATCAAACCAAATTTTATCTGTGATGAATTGATCATCAAATATGACCAAAGGCAAAACTATCTATACTTGGTATACATCTCCCTATACTTTCTTTATACTTTTGTTTTGTTTTGTTTTGTTTTGTTTTTTTGTTGTTTTTTGTTTTTGTTTTTTTGAGATGGGGTTTCACTCTCATGGCCCAGGCTGGAGTGCAGTGGCGCCATCTCGACTCGCTGCAACCTCTGCCTCCCAGATTCAAGCAATTCTCCTGCCTCAGCCTCCTGCGTGGCTGGGATAACAGGAATGTGTCACCATGCCTGGCTCGTTTTTCATATTTAGTAGAGACAGGGTTTCACCACGTTGGTCAGGCTGATCTTGAACTCCTGACCACAGGTGATCCACCCGCGTTGGCCTCCCAAAGTGCTGGGATTACAGGCATGAGCCACTGCACCCAGCCATCTCCCTGTGCTTTCTGGACATCATACCACAGTGTCACCTCAAACACTTGATAGCTCAGTGTCCTCTCTTGCCTTTTAGATATTTTAGCAATTATCCCAGCAGATGCCATGGAAAATAAAAAATTCATATTATCATTTTTGCTTACTATCTATTTCAGTGTATTATTCAGAATGAAGGAAAAATTTAAAAGCGCACTTTAAAAAAGTTATATTTTGCTTCATTAGCTCATTTATTTTAAACTAGCCCTGAACTCACCTAATTGTAAAAGTATAACTATTTACCTGATTGAAGTACCAGGTACTTTATTTAGTTTCTTCAAGTCAAACTCTGTGGGTTTTATTTAAACGTCATGTCTATGTTGACAGATGAATGGTGTCTTAAGTTCTGCTTATGTGTTACATTCTGAAGACAATACTTGGTAACAACAATAACAAAAACTTTAAAATGTGATGTTTTATAAGGATTGAATGATGACTACAAATTTTTTAAAACATCAAACCATTCCTTTCTGTAGGAAATTTCTATTTACAGTCAACAGGTAAGATTCTGCAGTTCAGGCTGTAGGATAACTTTAGCTCTTATTTCAGTGTCCCTGAGAAAATATTATTAATTTCCCCCCATGCAATGCTTGGGTTGTGGATAATTTGAGCTACACAGAGAACTGCAATGCATTATATCAGAAGGGAAAGCAGATAGGTCCCAAGTAGAAATCAGGTCGCATGATCTCTCTTTGGGAAGACATTTTTATAGTCATAATGAATGGTACTTTCAACCTCAATTTTTATAATATTCTTTTTAGGATACCTAATTTAATGTTGACAAGTGAACAAAATTTTGCCACGGTAAAATTTTTCATGGTACTATTATCCTATCTTAACAGGCCTCCTTGTATCAGTCCTCTATAGACAGAAGCCTGGAAAGACCCATGAGGTAAGAATCTTATTATGTTGTAGCAGAATATTCTATACCAGTGGTTTCTTTTTCAACAATAAAATTATTCAGTGAAGTAGTAATGAGTATCATGTATCACTCATTTTTATTTGAAGTACCATGCCTCATGAAGTTGTTTTATTTTGTTTCAGCATCATTTTATATGATCATTTCAAGAATTTCTAAAAAATTAGTGAACTAATTATAAATTCCTTCACAGACTGAGAAATCCTTCTCTTCCCTTAGTCCCCTATACCCAGTTTTCTTTTCTTTAGATGGGAATTATAAGTAACTAATTTTCAATGTTGTTAAATGGCCCTTATAATAATATATTTGAAAAAAATTATAGATTAAAAAGTGTTATACACGTATTTGTTAATCATACTTTGACCACACAAATCAGAAATACTGTTATTAATACTACCAATAAATGAGGCATAAGTACAAAACATATTCAATCCTAAGAAAACACTATGGTTAAATACTATTGTCCCCACTTTATCTCTGAGGAAAGTGACACCTAGGCTTAGTAACTTACCAAGTTTACACAGTTGGCAAGGAGAGAGAAAAAAAAGAAATTGAGGCAAGATAGCTTGTCACCGCTAGGCCTAACTTCCCTCAGAGTTCGCCTGAAGTAAGTTCCATTAGCTTTAAATATCACACTTTTTAAAAAATATTACAAAATTCATGGCCAGGCACGGTGGCTCATGCCTGTAATCCCAGCAGTTGGGAGGCTGAGGGGGGAAGATCATGAGGTCAAGAGATTGAGACCATCCTGGCCATCATGGTGAAACCCCATCACTACTAAAACTACAAAAATTAGCTAGACATGGTGGCATGCCCCTCTAGTCACAGCTATTCAGGAGGCTGAGGCAGAAGAATCGCTTGAGCCTGGGAGGGTGGAGGTTGCAGTGAGTCGAGATTGCACCACTGCACTCCAGCCTGGCAACACAGCAAGACTCAGTCTAAAAAAAAAAAAAAAAACAAATCACAAAATTCAGACATATTCAGACATAGTTCAATAGTAATATTGAATAATACAAACTCCCAGCCATATTGTAACATCAATAACAAATATTTATCTAGTAGCATTAATTTACCCTTCTATGTAGATTTCTTTGTGAATTGGGTCAATCATAAATTGGGTTTCTGAGTGCCATCCAACTGCAATAACATCCCTGAGAAAGGAACTCTGGAACCCCTCCTTTTTATCTTCTGCCTCTATCTATGCACCTAAAATATTTGAATTTTAGAGTTTTAATCTAATCTACAGATTGCCGTAAAGACACACAGACCCTCACATGACAGGACAGTCCCAGCAAAAACAGGTCTAGGAGATGCATCCTCTTCAGAAGAGGACAAACCAGTTCTGAGGTCTGCCTCTCCGCTTGCTTCCGTACATCCCAGACACATGTATTCACTTTACCATTTGTAAAACTGAGATAACAGCATATACCTCATCGGTTTGCTGTGTGGGCTAAATAAGACAAAAACATAAAGAAAGCACATAGCATTCTGCTGGGCTCCATAGGAGCTGGGGTTGCTGCTGTTGCTATTATCACTGTTGTCTACACAAGTCTTGTCTAAGAATCCAGTGATTTCATGCACAGTGTGCTGTGCCATATGTGGCTTCATTCATTAACATTGGTCTTAAATGATACTGTACTCAAACTCAAAACCATGACAGAAACTCCCTGCTGTTCTAGACTATTGACAGTATTTTATGCAACTGAGGGGAAGGAATCTTTAATAGTTAATTTGCTGACCAGATTACTGGTACTGATTGATTGACTGACTGATGAGACAGGGTCTTGCTCTGTTGCCCAAGCTGGAGTGCAGTGGTGCAATCATGGCTCACTGCAGCCTCAAACTCCTGTGCTCAAGCTATCCTCCCACCTCAGCCTCCTGAATAGCTGGGACTACAGGCACATGACACAACTGGCTAACTTTTTTATTTTCTGTAGAGACAGAGTCTCACTAGGTTGTCCAGGCTGGTCTCAAACTCCTGACCTTGAGCCATCCTCCAGCCTTGGCCTCCCAAAGTACTTGATTACAGACGTGAGCCATCATACTCAGCCTTCATTCATTATTTAAATAAAAAATGTTGGAATTCCAATATAACATCTTCTAAAGCTAAGATGATAGAGATGATAGGACAAGCTGCAGGCAACCCTTGAGGTGAGAGAGATTTTCCTCTCTTGATGTCTTTTTTTTTTTTCAGTTATTTCCTGTATTTGGTATGCCCCTCTGGATATATTCATGTTGTTAGAACTCCGCTTTATAGAGAAAAGATACAAGATACAAATTATAGCACTGAATTCTCAATCAACATATTACACTATAGGAGAATTTTGACGTTCAAAGATGTTTAAAAACTTAGGTTCACACAAAAACCAGCAGGTGGTTTTCTTAGGAGCATTATTTATAATTGCTAGAAGTTGGAAGCAACCAAGATGTCCTTCAATAGGTGAATGGATACATAAACTGTGGCGCATCCATGTAATAATAGAATGTGACTCAGCAATACAAAGAAATGAGCTATCAAGTGACAAAAAACACATGGAGGAGCCTTAAAAGTGTATCACCGAGTGCAGGAAGCCAACCTGAGAGGCCACATTCTGCATGATATCAACTGGGCATGGTGAAAAGGCGAAACTGTGGAGGCCGTGTGGAAAGATCAGTGGGTGCCAGGATGAGCGGGAGGAAGGGAGGGATGAAAAGCTGGAGGACAGAAGCTTTTTATGGCGGGAAGACTATTTTATATGATTGACACATTAATGATGGACACACATCATTATACATTTCTCAAAACCCCTAAAATGTTTAAGACAAAACATGAACTCAAATGTAAACTATGGACTTGGGGTGACGACGCATCAGGAAAGATTCATCAATTGTGACAATGTACCCACCAAAAGAATATGTAAATGATAAGGGAAACTGTGCAAGAGGAAAGGGACTATAAGGAAACTCTCTACACTTTCCAGTCATTATTTCTGTAAGCCTAAAACTGCCCTAAAAAAATTTAGTTGTCCGGGCACAGTGGTTCACGCCTGTAATCCCAACACTTCAGGAGACTGAGGCTTGAGGATTACTTGAGCTCAGGGGTTTGAGACCAGCCTGGGCAACATAGTGAGACTCTGTCTCTACATAAATAACAAATTTAAAAAAATTAGCCAGGTGAGGTGGCACCCACCTGTGGTCCCAGCTACTCAGGAGGTTGAGGCGGGAGTATCCCTTGAGCCCAGGAGTTTGGGGCTGCAGTGAGCTGTGATTGCACCACTGCGCTTCCAGCCTGGGTGACAGAGCCAGAAGCCATCTCAAAATAAATAATAAGGTCTATTCATTTTTTAAAAGATCCTTCTAGAGAAATCATGTTGAACATCAAGGGATGAGTTCCTAGCAATGCAGTTTTGGGGATAGAGGTTTAGGAGTTACGCCATTGTCACTAGCACGTTCCACCGGTTTTTCTGGTGCACACCCGAACCTCCTCCAGTGCCAATCAAACAGATCTGATTCCTTCTTTCAGTTCTGCAAGCATGGCCAGTGACTTCAGGAAGCGGAGGAAGAGCGAGCCTGCAGTGGGTCCACCACGGGGCTTGGGAGATCAAAGTGCGAGCAGGACTAGCCCAGGCCGAGTGGACCTCCCAGGATCAAGCACCACTCTTACAAAGTCTTTCACTAGCTCTTCTCCTTCTTCCCCATCAAGAGCAAAAGGTGAGCATAGTAAATGAAAACACAACAATTTACTAGTTTACGTTTTAGCCTAGAGCACTGTGTGAAAGCTGGCCCAGTGATAGTGGCATGTGCCAGCTCTCACCTACAGTGTCTGGAATAAAATATAGTTTTAGAACAATAGCCTTCTTCCCACCCAGACTGACTCAAGCTGGCGAGCCACTTAGGTTGCTTAAAGAACTCTGACTAGCATCTGCTAATGCTTTTTTCCCCCAAATAGATCCCTTTCTAAACAAATTGAAAGTATCAAATAATGTATCATCAGGCTACTAAAAGATGTATTTTGTAAACATTGACATATAGTCAAAATTTTCTAATGTTTCTACAACTAGCAAATTAGTCAAATTTATAGGATAAAAATTACAAGCAGCAACAGAGCAAATTGTTGGCTAAAATATACATTGGTTTGGAGGGTTTTAAAAAATTATTCAATTCTAGATTTTAAAAAAATCCGACCTATTAATTTCTTTAGCCATTTGCTGTATATTTTGGGCCACCTTCACATGAACAGTGGAGCATCCACCTCCTGCCATGTAACACAGTGGTCAATTCACAGCAGCTCACAGTCAGGACTAATTGGTCCCAAACCATAATGATATCACTGAGGAATCACCAAGCCTTTTTTTCTGGATGGCCCGTCTCCTCTCTGCAAGTGTAGGGAGCTCACTGTTGAAAGAAGTCACTCCTTCTGGTTTCTGGAAGACCATTTAGTGGTATTCCTTGAGGACAGGAATATTTCTGAGATGGAGAGTGAGGATTGAACCAGCCCCTACAGGGAGCTAGGGCTCTACCAAATGTGGGACCCCACAATCTCCTCTAATATCTTGGGATTGAAAGAGAAGAGAAAGAGATTTTGAAATGTGTAAAGAAATTGAGCTCTAATGTAAGTTTCTATAAAACCAGACCAATTCAGCTACACCTATCAACTATAGTCACTAAAACCATTGCCACATGGTAGTTAAAAGTGGTAGCTGATTTGTGTGCAAAAGGTATTCTGGTCGTGATGATTGGACTCTGAGTAGGTGGATGCCTAGCCCTTTTAAGGCCTTGTAAAGCTGTGATATCAGCTGATGGTTCAGGGCGTGTGAGCCCCATCCATCACATCTTTCCTCTGAGGAGCAGAGATGCCTTATCAGATTCAACTCACTTATTCAAATGAATATCTTAAGGTAACAAGTAGGTCATGAAATGCCATTGACCTATTATTCTTGGATACTAGCCAAAAGTTAAAAGGGTTCTGATAAATGTAGATATTTGTTTCATCACAGGGAATGTTAAATCAACTTCCTTTCCCAGACAGTACAGATCTACCTAATGTGCTTATCTACTTTTAAAGAATTTAGAGAACATTGTAAGGTATAAGTATTGAATAGAGATATTTTCCTCCATTAGATTTTATTTCTAGGAAGAAAATGTCCTATTAGATATAATTTGGCTCCTCATTTATTAGTTGACTCAGCAAAGCAAAAGAACATTTCCATAGCTATTCAAAATTGAGGCCAAATGTAGATCTCTATTATCAAATTGCAAATGATTTTTCAAAGAACTCTTCCGAGAAAAAAAGCATGGTATATGCACCTCTGATGAAAGTTTTGCATTATATTCAGTTTTCCTATGAGAATTTTGTACCTAATAAAAGGTTAAAGGTAGAGCAATTTAAGAGGTAAATTCGTTTGTTTAAAGAGCTTTAGCTATTTTTTTCTAGAAAAATGTTAGCAGCAATAGTTCACAGCATTTTGATTTTGCAATTTTGGAGAATACTTTGCCTTATAGCTTTTAAAATCTAAAACCCACAAAAAATTATTTGATATAGTCATGAGAGTATTAATTCGATGTAAATGTATAAACCCTTCTTCACCTATGTATCATTACGAATCAAATGAGGCTCAAATTCCGGCCCTATTAAATTGCGTAAGGGTATAACACTTTTGACACTAATTGTTAAACCTTCACTACCAGATCATGCTATCAGCTGAAGCAGCACTATTGTGTTTTGGCAAACAATATTGTCAGAAAGGTGTATGAATTATGCAGTAGGAGTAGGTGTATTTGCTTACGTCGGTTGCTTCTTATACACAGTTTTGTCAACTCTCTCTGCAAAGCTACATTCACTGAAAAAGTATTAGCTCGCTTTAGAATTAGACCTTCTTCTCTAGAGTTGAAGCTCCATGTGTGAACAATCAGCACCTAGATTAAAACACACTAACTGCTTTCTCCTTGCTATGCTGTCTGATGCTTTACTGACATGCTCTCCTCTCTTTGTGAACCTTTTAACTTCTCCAAATGTCTCTCTTCTACCACGCTGCTCTGGATTAAAAGGTGGGGATGATAGCAAAATATGTCCATCCCTTTGCAGTTACTCAGGGCTCAACGGCAACCCCTCCAGTGAGTTAGATTACTGTAGCACTTACAGACAGCACTTGGATGTCCCTCGGGACTCACCAAGAGCCATTAGTTTCAAGAACGGCTGGCAAATGGCCCGGCAAAACGCAGAAATCTGGAGCAGCACGGAAGAAACCGTCTCTCCCAAAATCAAATCCCGGAGCTGTGACGATCTCCTAAACGACGACTGCGATAGCTTCCCGGACCCGAAAGTCAAGTCGGAAAGCATGGGCTCCCTGTTATGTGAGGAGGACTCCAAGGAGAGCTGCCCCATGGCGTGGGGGTCCCCCTACGTCCCGGAGGTTCGCAGTAACGGCAGATCAAGGATCAGACACAGGTCAGCCCGCAACGCCCCGGGGTTCCTGAAGATGTACAAGAAAATGCACCGCATCAACCGCAAGGACCTGATGAACTCCGAGGTGATCTGCTCCGTGAAGTCCAGGATTCTGCAGTACGAGAGCGAGCAGCAGCACAAGGACCTGCTGCGCGCCTGGAGCCAGTGCTCCACGGAGGAGGTGCCCCGGGACATGGTGCCCACACGCATCTCCGAATTCGAAAAGCTGATCCAGAAGTCCAAATCCATGCCAAATTTAGGGGATGACATGCTGTCTCCCGTAACCCTAGAACCACCGCAAAATGGCCTATGTCCCAAGAGGCGGTTTTCCATTGAGTATTTGCTGGAGGAAGAAAATCAAAGCGGCCCCCCCGCTCGGGGCCGGCGAGGCTGCCAGTCTAACGCCCTGGTGCCCATTCACATTGAAGTCACCAGCGATGAGCAGCCCCGAGCACACGTGGAGTTTTCCGACAGCGACCAGGACGGGGTTGTGTCCGACCACAGTGACTACATTCACCTAGAGGGGTCATCCTTCTGCAGTGAAAGTGACTTTGATCACTTTTCCTTCACATCCTCCGAAAGCTTTTACGGATCCAGCCACCACCACCACCATCACCACCACCACCACCACCGCCACCTCATCAGCTCCTGCAAAGGCAGGTGCCCGGCCTCCTACACTCGATTTACCACAATGTTAAAACACGAAAGAGCCAGACACGAAAACACCGAGGAGCCCAGAAGGCAAGAAATGGACCCTGGCCTTTCTAAACTTGCTTTTCTAGTCAGTCCTGTGCCTTTCCGGAGGAAAAAAAATTCGGCTCCTAAGAAACAGACTGAAAAGGCAAAATGTAAAGCATCTGTGTTTGAGGCTCTGGACTCTGCCCTTAAAGACATCTGTGACCAAATTAAAGCTGAAAAGAAAAGGGGGAGCTTGCCGGACAACAGCATCCTGCACCGCCTCATCAGTGAGCTGCTGCCAGATGTTCCCGAGAGGAACTCATCCCTGAGAGCGCTGAGGAGGAGCCCCCTGCACCAGCCTCTCCACCCACTGCCTCCCGATGGTGCTATTCATTGTCCACCCTACCAGAATGACTGCGGGAGAATGCCCCGCAGTGCCTCTTTCCAAGACGTGGACACAGCCAACAGCAGCTGCCACCACCAAGACCGTGGCGGTGCACTCCAAGGTGGATGAGCTTTTCTTTCTTTTTCCTTGTGGTTCAGAGACCCACCCTCCAGCTCTTTCATTTTCCATTCCAACATCTCATCACTCCCGAGCTGGGAGACCATTTGGCGTCGTTATGTGTTGTGAAGCAAAAACTTGTTGTGCAAATATGTCTTACTGAATATTTCTCATTTGCCCATGTGATATTTGGACTTGATGTGTGGCTTAAAGTGATCATCAATTCACAAAAATTTACTCTTTCGAAAACGAGAGGGAAGGCCATTTTGTAGCTCAGCATTAGGGTTGAAACAACCACTACTCACATTGAGACAATAAATTACGTTGTGACATGAATCAAAACCTATAGTTCCACAAATAGCCTTTTAAAAATGTTTATATTAACGTTAAAACTTTATATTCATTCAGTTAATAAATAATTTGTCACATTCTATATAGAAGATACTATATCAAAACATTCAAGAAGCAAAACTGAAATATGTGATTAGTAATTGATGGACACAAAGAAATTAGGGTTTGTTTAATAGCTTTCTCCATTTCAAGGACACAATGGTGATAAAATTTTTGTGAATGTATCTTTAAGCTATATATATAAAAGTCCCATTTCCACCATTTAGTGTATTCATTTTCTCTTTTCCATTACTTAATTCATTCACTTTCTCTTTCTGCTAAAACAGTCCTGTATTGAAATTTGAATTACACTATTCAGGCTAACAGTGACTCTAAACTCTATTTTCATAGATAACTTTGAAGTGGCAACACAAGAATAAATAGCAATTGAAAGGCAGAGGACTATTTTTGAGATTTATATAACTTACAGCCCAGGGTGTTTTAATATTTGTGACCAATTATTTTCATTAATTCTTACAGCACATCTGTTCACTACGTAAATTTTAAGAGGCTGGAATGAACATTCCGGGCTGAAAGTTGGTCAACAGAGAAACTTCTATGCACCAGACACTACAGAGTGCTTTACATACATTATCTAATAAAACTGGCATAGGCCTATGAAATGGGTGTTATTTCAAAAGCCATTTTCAATTTTGGAAGTTGGGCCCAGAGAGGAAAGGAAATTCGTCCAAGGTCACACAGAGAGTAGATAACAGAAAAGAGATTCAAACCCCTAATAATTCAGAATTTATAGTATAAAATATAATCTCAGACAAAAAAAAAGACATAATTCACAGTTCATACTAGTGTCAAATATGGCTCGATTGTTAATTAACTTGCACAAATCTACTTAGTCTTTATGTTTGCTTTCACTTTTGCTACACTATACACTTACGTTTATCTTTGCCTACCCTTAGGCTGAAGCAACATGCTTCAAAATAATAAATTAGAATTTAAAAAATCAATTTCTACAATTCAAAATTTTCACTAATTGAAATGTGTCAGAATCTCATTTTTTAATAAATTAGCTACCTTCTCCAGGCTTTTAATATCCTAATATAACCATCTCTCAATTTTATGTGCAGATAGGAGTACATTTTTGAAACGTAACTTGGAAGGGCTTTGAAATGCATTTAAAAGTATTTTGTTTTTTAGTAAAATATTTACTTTCCAATTGTGTTTCACCCAAGTGAAAAATAGCTTATATTCCCTGGGTTAGAAAAAGTAATTTAAAATTTATGATCATTATGAGGCCCTATGATCATAAAAGTATATTAACTTAGAATTTACATCATCAAAGTAGTCAAAATCCTAAAACAATGTTTTCTTATTATGAATCAGCACTTTAAATTCTTTCATAGATGGATAAAATAAATTTTATTTTTAATGCTTCTTGTTAGTCTGGATAACTAGATATATTTAAGGGATAAAAGAAAGAATTGACAAATATTGACCCAGTTGTACTGATAAAATTCTATAACATAGACTACTGGAATACATTTAATGTCTAGTTACATCTCCATATGTAAGTCACGTAAGTGCAAAAGGTATAAGATACTATTAAGAACTACATGCAATCAAAATTTTGTAATGTGATTATTTATGCTTTGCTTTAAGATGAACAAAAATAATTCAATATTTCATAAGCAATTTGGCAACTGACATGATGCTTTCTGTTTATCCCTTTTTTGCTTGGAGTAAGAAGAAACAATATCTCTTTGTTTCTTTGCTTTCTGATAAGGTGTTTATCATCTGGGCACAAAGGAAGGTCGTAGATAAACAGCATGGCATCTTGAGATTCAATAAGTATTTAAAAACAGAGGAAGAGCGAAGAGGGGAGAGTAAGGCAGAAGGAGAATGTTCATCACCACCCTCCTGTCATCCTCATACTTTCTTTGGTTTTATCTCTTTCTTTTTCATTACTACAGTCTTAAATTACTCCACAAAATGTTTCTTTTTCTACAAATTGTTGCTATTTTCAAATTCTCCATCCTCTGTAAATCTTATAATAGTAATTATAAATAAGAAGCAAAGGCATAGAAACAGAAAGCTTTGGAAAAAATTTATATGAAAAATCCCTCTAACTATAAATTGTCTTACTGGGTGTGGCAATATAATTAATCAGCAATGTAGTAATCATATTTATATAGACAATTATAATTCTGCAACCTCAGATATTTTTCCTTTTGAAATGCTCTTGTTTTGTGTCTTATTTCACAACTTTGTAATGAACTATGAGTTTTATGCCCATGTGTTCGATAACGGTGTCTCTCCAAATTTGGGGAAAAAAGTAGTGGCCACCAGGGAAAATGGCGGAACAGGTTGGCTTGTAATTAAGTGGATACTCACCATGACTGGCCCTGTTCTTTCCAATAGACCGTGAGTCCCCTAGAAGTTACTCATCCACTTTGACTGACATGGGGAGAAGTGCACCAAGGGAAAGAAGAGGAACTCCAGAAAAAGAGGTAGTTAATTTAATAGCATTGGAGTCTTTCACAGCAACACACTTGATACAGCACTTACCAGCCAAAAATTATCCCAAACCAGTAACGAACTCGGACAGGAAATGTGAAAATACTGAGAAACTAGAAACAATTTTCCTTGGGGCCTGAGCATAGCAACTCTGACCCTAGAAGCAGTCCACACCCTGACCCTAGCTGTGGGTCTTCCCTAGTGGTGGCCCAGTTTTGGCCATGAGGCTTCTCCGAGTCTTGACCTGATGCCCATGAACTTAACCATTATGACCTAAAAGTGTCCTGAGTTAGGGCACCTCGTGGAGGCAATAGGTTTCCTCTACAATTTCTTGGCCCGCTGGTCCAGGAGAAAGCCTGATGTCAACTGTGTTGTAAATCAATACAGAGCCTACAGAAATCATTTTTGCTGGCTTCCTTTTATTGGAGAGGATCCCTAAAAAGAGCTTTTAACCAGCCCAGTTCTCGGGATACTGCCCCTGGGAACCACCCACCAACTGAACTCTGTCCAGGGCCCTGAGCCGGGGCTAGAGTTCTTGCTCAAACTGCCTTGGAGCCATGACGGCTGGATGGAAACTAAAAGCTGGACTTGGACTGGTAGCCGCTCCAGAGGATCTTATAGGCGTCTGATGTAGTCCAGAGCCTGTGGGATCCCCAAAGAAGTTAGAAATGGTCCAGGATTCCTAAAGTTCACCAGAGTCATGGGGGAAAAGAATGGAGTGAAGGGATTGTTGGTTGGTGAGGAAGGAAGAGCTGGCCTAGCTAGCTATAGGGTACAGGGTACCTCAGGGAGATCTGTGGCCCCCAGAGTTTGAGGATGGGCACGTGTCACATCACATCACAACTAAAAGACGAGTGGCTGGTGGACAGAGTGTTGAAGGATTCCTGAGCCCTCTAGGGAATGCAAGATGATCACACCTATACTTTTGCCCACTAACCAGCCTCCCAGTGATAATTGAGCTAATATTTTTTGCTAATATGTTAATAAGTGTCTAATGAAGGGAATGATTACTTCTTTTATGACATCTGGTCCTTTTATTATGATTCAGAGGGAGCTGTGTCAATCTCCATAGAACATAGAGCCATTGACCCTCCACATTTATCCTAGGAAGAGCCTTTGTAACAGCCAAAATGATGCCTAGGATGCAAACCTCTGCAGGCATTTTATTCTCTCATTATAACATTAATCTACCTTAGTTCCTAAGATTAAATATGATGGTGAATAAGCCTTCTATTATATTCCTATTATAGCTTAAATATCTAAATGAAGAATGAATGGACTTATTTATAAATTGCTTACAGGATTAACATTACATATGTTTGATGATTCCCTGAGGTTTCCTTTTTCTTTAAGGCACATTAAACTACTTTCTTGTAGAAAATTCAAATTTTAAATTAGTGCTAATTGTTTATCTTCCTTTTCAGAAATTGCCTGCAAAAGCTGTTTATGATTTTAAGGCTCAGACATCTAAGTAAGTAAGATAAATACTCATCATATGATTTAAGGTGGTTTTAAATGTTAGTAATGCTTTAAGAGATAAGCATTGCAGTAGGATCTGTTACAAATGAGGTCTAATTCCCAATGCAGCAATCTACTCTAATTAAATGGTTCCTTCAGAATTACCTTTTATTTTAAGTTTAGTTGAGAATTACTGAGTTTTAAATTACATTAAACATGTTAGGTAGAACACAATGAATTCTAAAGGATAGGAAAAACAAAAAGAATTTAGGAATATTTGTTTTTAGAATTTTGTGTCAATAATGAATTAATGAAGTATTGGGGGCCAGGCACAGTGGCTCATGCCTGTAATCCCAGCACTTTGGGAGGCCAAGGCAGGCAGATGGCTTGAGCCCAGGAGTTCAAAACCAGCCTGGGCAACATGGCAAAACCATGTCTCTACAAAAAATACAAAAATTAGCTAGGCATGGGGGCATACACCTGTATAGTCCCAGCTACTCAGGAGGCTGAGGCAAAAGGATCGCTTCACCGGGAGGTAGACGCTGCCATAAGCTGAGGTTGCGCCACTGCACTCTAGCCTGGGCAACAGAGCAGGACCCTGTCTCAAAAAAAAGAATGAATAAGTAAATAAATAAAGTATTGGGGAGTAATTAACACTAGCTGGGGGAATTTGATAACATTTATTTATCCAAATATTCCAAGCATAGTTTGTGGGGTTGATGACTAGAACTTAGTACAAAGATTCCTGTATTGAAGTCTCCATCCTCAGCCTGCAAAGCTCAGAGATTCTGAGCAAAGTTTTCTCCTTTGGTCTTTTGGTGTCGGTGTTTTCACCATCCTGAATTGCAATATTTCTTTTGCCTTTATTCTTTGCTCAGCAGATAGGCATGTGGTTGCGGAAGCACATAAGCAGACTTATATATAAGAGGGTGTTGCCCAGATTTTTTGTGGCCTATGTGCACAGACCTTTAAGAAACTTTGTTCTCCAGTAGAATTCAAGACAGATATTGAATTCATTGTAAATTGTCATTAAATTATTATATGTTGTTTACACTGAATATATATATATATAATAACCAAAATAATTTACTCATAAAAATGCATATAATATGAGTTAATAGCTCTAGAAACTGTCTCTGGCAGAAGACATATATAAATAAATCACTCAGAATTTGGTAATGCTGCTGAGATAGGAAATGAACTAGATAAGAAAAATCCTGTTTAGAAATTAAGATGTTGAACATGGCTTAAATCTGGCCTGAAGAAAAGCTTACATCTTTTTTTTTCAAATTAGAGAAATAAGATGCTTTGTTTCTACTGTACTCCGGTCCTAACTACTGTTCTGTGGATATGGTGTGACAATTTGTACAATGCATATCAGTTTTATAAAATAATGTTACGGAGCACACGTTTCATTTCTTCTTTGTAAAAATCAATCCATAGCTTTCTTAAATATATAAAAACCTGAGGAATGGCAGGGGATGTGAAGTAGGAAGGGTGTCCACCCAAGGCTCACGAGGTCTTCTGAGAAGTCTTAATTTTAAAAAGCAGCTGGGCACGGTGGCTCATGCCTGTAATCCCAGCACTTTGGGAGGCCAAGGCAGATGGATCACTCGAGGTCAGAAGTTCGAGACCAGCCTGGCCAACATGGTGAAACCCCGTCTCTACTGAAAATACAAAAATTAGCCAGGGGTGGTGGTGGGTGCCTGTAATCCCAGCTACTCAGGAGGCTGAGGTGGGAGAATCACTTGAACCTGGGAGGTGAAGGTTGCAGTGAGCCAAGATCACACCACTGCACTCCAGCCTGGGTGACAGAGCAAGACTCCATCTCAAAAACAAATAAAAATAAAAGTGAGGGGAAAAAAGCAAATGGGACTTTAAAATTCTAGGTCTGAGATGAGAGGGACACAGTTTTGAAAACTTAAGAGTAAGACTTTCCTGTGTCTTAAGGACTTCAAAATTTTAAATGCAACCTATACAAATACAAAAGAGTCTTTTTCATAGCTTTGAAAAATTGGTTGCCTCTGATTCATATGTTCATATTATATTTTAAAAAGCTAGTCTCATTTCCAGAAACAAAACATACCTAGTACAAATGAAACTGTTGTGTTGTGAACATTAAATATCTTGCTTTGCTTTGTTTTCTGTTTTTTACATTAGGCATTTGCACAAAAGAAGGAAGCACTGTATTTGAATGTAAAGCTCCATGAATCTTCTTTGTTTTTAGGGTTACTGAAAATTTAACACATTTTCAATTGTGAAGATTTTAGCACTTCTAAATGTGTGATCATTCTTTTAATATACCACCATTTTTTCGATTAATTCTTTTAATCAATGAGAAGTGTTCTCCATCAGGTATAAATCTCTCTCCATCAAACGGCCTATACTAATAAATGATCCAACTGAAAATTCTGAACCAAAATTTTTTAAAAAAAGATTAAAAAATGAAAATTCTGAACAAAACAATGCAGAAGATTCCAGAGTGGGAGGGCAGATGTATTGCAAAATGAGGCTCTTGGGAGAAGATACAAATTAATCGCCCTCCATCCAAGAATAATTGCGGAGGCAAAATAATGAACCAACCTAATCACCTGGGTGATTAAGCCAGGAAAAATTGATGTAGTGAAGGTGATAAGTTTAGGTGTGAATTATTCAAAATGCATAATGTCATTATAACTTAAAATTATAAATACCCAAATCAAATATACCTACAATTTTCTTAGAAACAGCCAAAATTGAAAAATATAGTGTCTTAAAAATATTTTTATTTTTTGTAAATAAAAGATAGAAAGGCAAGCATTGGCATATGTCTTTGCACTTAAAACACATTCTTCTTGCCCCACTGAAAATTAAAAGTGTAAGATCTTTTCTGTTACACAAAATAAATTCCTTATCAAGATATTCTATTAAAATACCTGTCAACCAACTTCAAAGATCCACAAATAAAATTTGTTCTGGTGTTGGCACTTCTATTCTGAGGCTACATGATATTTGTTTTCCTTCATGTAAGCTTCAGTACATCAAAAGGGGCTGGGGGGCTAGTAACTAACTAGCCAACTAGCTTCAGGACAAAAAAAAAAAAAATCAGTGCAGAACTATTCCATCATTTTTCCAAGCTTCAAAATGCCTCTTCTCTGAACTAATGGTAAAGTAGCAAGAGTCTGTCCCCTCCTTTAAACTTCTTATTAATCTGTCTGTGATTTATATCCAATGGAATGTTTATACTTACTCTGTTTGAAATCATTTCTAAAGTTATAATGTTTTAAGTGCATTCTAAGAATTTGCAAGGATCATTCTTATCTAATCGGACTCAATATCAATTGGATTTTTTAATATTGTAAGTATATTTGCCAAACAAATGCAGATCTAGCGAGGGTGTTGATCTTGAGAATTATTGCTGTACATCACAAAAAGACCATGTCAACGTGTCTCTTCCAGGGAGTTGTCATTTAAGAAAGGAGATACTGTCTACATCCTCAGGAAAATTGATCAAAATTGGTATGAGGGAGAACACCACGGGAGAGTGGGCATCTTCCCGATCTCATACGTAGAGGTAGGTCCTCTCCCTTTCTCTCTTGGATGGCGGTGGTTTCAAAGGTCACCGCAGATTTGAGAATAAATGACTATTTCCTTCATAGAAACTCACACCTCCTGAGAAAGCACAGCCTGCAAGACCACCTCCGCCAGCCCAGCCCGGAGAAATCGGAGAAGCTATAGCCAAATACAACTTCAACGCAGACACAAATGTGGAGCTGTCACTGAGAAAGGTAGCCCAGCTGGTTTTTTGTTTGTTTGTTTTTGTTTGTTTGTTCTTCAGTGGGTTTGAAAAGGCTGTATATTTTCAAAACTAAAATAGGTTATCTTTTTCTTTAGACATTTTTATGTTTACCCTATTTTCTACAAAGGACTCTTTAAGGCAGCCCAGAGTCACGGTTCCCTGCTGGTCCCTGTGTCCTTTTAGAGGAGTTCCCCGTGGGATACCAGGCTTCTCCCTCTGTGGCTTAGTCTGGGAAGCCGGGCATGGGGCTGAAAATCAAGGACTTATACATTCGGGAGCACAAAAGGAAAAAGCAGTTTGATACACTTCAAAATATGTTGTTTTGCTGCCTTATTTTTCAGTCTTTTAAAAACAAGATATTCCAATCCTTATCTTCCTCTATCTTGGAATCTAGGAATGGTCCTAGGTAAAGAAGATCCTTCCTCTTGGGGGAGCCGCTTTAAGAGCCATCTCTGCAGTGCTCTTCCCTGGATCATCCTTCTTTGGGCCTCATAATTGACCCAAATTTCTCTAGCAGCCCATCCAATCCTAGTATCTCTTCTTAATAATATCAAAAGCCTCGAGGCCGGGCATGGTGGCTCACGCCTGTAATCCCAGCACTTTGGGAGGCCAAGGCAGGTGAGCGAGATTCCATCTCAAAAAAAAAAAAAAAAAAAAAAACACAAAAAAACAATCAAAAACCTCTTTTAACCTGCTAGTTTACATAATTGAGAATGATAAATGAATTATTCTTATTGCTTTCTAAATATGACATATATTTGTTTGAGGTAACTGCCTCTGCACACAACACAGGCGAGGTAGTAATATTTAGAGTGGCTCTAGGACCTCCCACACCTACTAGTGAAATCCTTAGCCAGGTGCGATGAAGAGCAATACCACAGTCCTGGTTTGTTCTGGTCCTGGCAGAACCTTGTCTCATTCTCTCCCATCAGTCTTAATTCTGCATCATCAGCCGATTCCTTCTTTCCTATCCTCTGGGCTGCCCCACCTAGCATGAGAACCACAGAGCATTACATGAACTCTGTCTCCTGTTCCATGTTCTACAGAAAGGCTTCACCAATGCCTCTTACAGCTCACACAACAGCCTAGCAACTACCTGTTCTTGGTATACTAGAAAATCGGTGCAATTTTCAGATTTGGGGAGACTGACTTTTTTTTTTTTTTTTTTTTTTTGAGATGGAGTGTCACTCTGTCACCCAGGCTGGAGTGCAATGTGTGCTCTCAGCTCACTGCAACCTCTGCCTCCCAGGTTCAAGCGATTCTCCCACCTCAGCCTCCCGATTAGCTGGGACTACAGGTGCCCGCCACCACACCCGGCTAATTTTTGTATTTTTAGTAGAGATGGGGTTTCACTATGTTGGCCAGGCTGGTCTCGAACTCCTGACCTCATGATCCGCCCGCCTTGGCCTCCCAAAGTGCTGGGATTACAGGCGTGAGCGATTGCATCCAGCCTGAGACTGACTTTTCTTGAGTATGTTCTGCTCAGCGGTGGTGAAGCACACAAAATCAACCATCCAGCGTTTCAACACAAAGAGAACTTCCAAGTGCTACTCAAGGTCGAAGTTCTTCTTGGGTAGCACCTGAAGAAGGGTGCCCTGTTGGGCTGAGATTAATGACTGTTTCAGCTCCATCACACCATCAGGTGCCGCTGCCCGAGCTTCTGTATCACCTGCTGAATGCAGCTGCAGTTTTTGCCCGGTAGCATCAACTTGCCTGCCTACTTCTAGGCTACGTGTAGTTTTGAGTTAAAGTTTAAACTGAGTTCTGCAGCACTGGCTCGGTCATGGCAGGTGGAAGTGATTCTAGAAAGTTCTATCATTGTGAAAGCCAAGGGTTCTATTCAAATCTTTAATGACAAGTATGGAATGGTCACCAACTACTCAGATGGATGCTGGGTTTCCATTGTCAGGGTGAAGACCAGGGGAATGCCAGTCTTGTCACAGCTATTGATATTCTAGGGCGCTCTCTTTCCCCCATCCCTTTAGTTCACTCTGTCACTACTTAGCGCATGTAGATTAAAGAAGAAAAGGGGCCGGGCACAGTGGCTCATGCCTGCAATCCCAGCACTTTGGGAGGCCGAGGCGGTCAGATCACTTGAGGTCAGGAGTTGGAGATCAGCCTGACCAACATGGTGAAACCCCTATCTCTGCTAAAATACAAAAAATTAGCCGGGCCTGGTGGCGGGCGCCTGTAATCCCAGCTACTTGGTAGGCTGAGGCAAGAGAATTCTTAAACCCAGGAGGTGCGGGTTGCAGTGAGCCATGATCACACCACTGCACTCCAGCCCGGGTGACAGAGTGAGATTCCCTCTCAAAAAAAAAAAAAAAATAGAAATAAAAAAAGAAAACGGTGTACCATTCGATGTTCTCCCTTCTAGAGGTGTTTTCTGTAACCCATTTCAGACAGACCCTCACAGCAAGCTATGGTGCACTTTCTGAAGCTCTTCCTACAGAAGGCCAATGCACTGAACCTGCCAGAGATAAAATAATCCTATTGTCATTGAGACATTACCTTTTACACTATTCTGCTTTTTGAAATAACTTAGACAAATAATTTCACACAATACCAGCATAAACAAGTATAAACCCGTTCACATTAATCAGGCATCCTTAGGGAAGATTCTGATGGCCTGAATGGACATTTCAATTACATATATGTTGATCATGTGTATTTTTCTAGTAAGCACTAGTACCTTACTTGCCCTCCCCTGATTAAACAAAAACTGAAGGTATAAAACCTGCCCAAATGGAAACCTATTTTTTCATAGAAAACATTGACAATTATATTTTCATGTTATTCTATCTCTGTTTCTAATGCATTTTTCTCATATTCATAACAGGGAGATAGAGTTATTCTTCTTAAAAGAGTTGATCAAAACTGGTATGAAGGTAAAATCCCAGGAACCAACAGACAAGGCATCTTCCCTGTTTCCTATGTGGAGGTCGTCAAGAAGAACACAAAAGGTGCTGAGGACTACCCTGACCCTCCAATACCCCACAGCTATTCTAGTGATAGGATTCACAGCTTGAGCTCAAATAAGGTAAGAACATACTCTATCATGTTAATGTAATATTGGAAGCTCCAAGTAAGATAATCGGTGTGTGACTTTAGGATATTAGATTAGAATATCATATCTATTGCAGAGAAAGAGATTTACATATTATGTTTCTACATGTGTGAGTGCCACATCAGTAAATATAAGTCAGTGTTTCTCAAATAGGTGCTGGCATAAAGATTTAATGATTAATTTTGCTCATTTCATTTTCAAGTTAAAATATCGAAAGAGAAAGAGAAAACGAGAGTATCATGAAGTCTCGTATGATATATATCTGTACTCCTGTGTACATAAATGTTTTCTGAAATAATTTTTTCCTAAAGCTTCATTTTTATATATGTAAATTTTATGTATATAATATAATCTTTACATATAAATAAATATAATCATATATTCATACATGTATATACAATTGTGATTTATAATTTGAAATATAAATATACACAACACAAAATACTATGTATATCTCAAAATAGTATATCACAAGAACACCGGGTTATTAGGTTGACAAATCTATACAAGTTTTTTATATGGAAAATGAGCTAGAGCAAAAATTTTTAATTAGAGTCTATAAGTCAAGATGTTTATTAGTTTAAATGAAAATGTTGTCGGTTATTATAAGTCCTCAAGTTTGTTTTATCAGTTTTAGGACAGTTATATGCCAGTTCTACTGTTTCACTTGAGCGGGCTAAAGATGATTATCTTTCTCAATACGTAATTTAAAAGAGGCTTTGCTTCTTTAATTGGTGAATGTAAAAAGGCTATTTGTCTGTACTCACAATGTGAAATTTTTTCTTATTTTTCTGATGAATTATATTCTTTTTATGAAAGGCATGTAAGGGTCTTTTTTCTCATTAACTTCTAGGAATAAAACTTTAAATTGCCAATGACTTCCAAAATGTTTTAAGTACTTCTCAACATTCAAAAAATGTATTAAGTTGCCTAATTTATTAATTATTTTAATTGAGATCAAGGCTAGGACATGAAAAGCTAAACCATCGAGAGCTGGTAAAATAAAATCAACATATCAGATGTTACTAAAGTGTGAAGTCACTTCATGTTCCGATGAAAAAACTGTTTCAAGATAGCATCCCAGTGACCTAAACTACTTCTTGAAAATGAGCCTGAGAAGGATTTTATATGAGGAAATGATCTAAGAATCTGCCATCTTAAGAGAGGCATTTTTTTTTAGAAGGCTGAAGTCTTGGCATTTTATTTATTGTGATCCTCTTTGAAGACTGAGTTTCAGTTGCAAATAATTACCCTCAACCCTGTATTCATGGATAATATATGGAAGAGTTTGGTACTATCCAATTTTGTTTGCTTGATTGGTTATAGTTTTCCAGAATCTTCTTAAGTATATTTACTTCATTACCAGACCTTAGCATTTACAGATCAGCATCCTTCCTTCAGTATTTTCTATTGATAAAGAGAAAAGATAAGAATCTTCATGCATATATTTGTCTTATCCACCATTCAGTCATCTTTAAATAACTATCACAGAAATTTCAAAGCAACTGTACCTTCAAATAAAATGTTGTAAGGAAGAAAAGCATGTATGTACAAAAGCTCATTAAACATCTAACAAATTCTTCCATATGTCCTAATATAATATTTAATGGCAATATAATATTTTTGATCCCAATGTTTTCATCTTTGATGTGAATACAATTTAACTGTAATTGAATATATTTTCAAGTTTTTAAAGTAATACCAGATTTTAAACAGAGGCATGTACAAATTTCACTAATAACCAGTTTTTTATTGCTCACTGCTGGGGAAAAAATATGTTGAGAAGCTTATGTCCATAATTAGGAAGAAATACTTAATGGTTTTATCCCAACTGGTAATCCATGCTGTGATGTCACAGGCTTAATGAAGAAAACTTCCCGGAAGTGACAACCATTTTTAGAAAGATAAATATAATGTATTTCTAAATGATAACATCCAAAATATACTAAACGCTACAGAACCTATTTTCTAACTGATATTTACAAACAGAGAACTCATTAATAATTTATAAATCACTCTGGTGACACATTTAAATCACATTTCTTGACATACTGTCTTTGTCTTAGGGGAGACTAAAATGTATGTTGATTTTATTTCTGATATTTCTGCTTTTAGTGCATTAGAATCCAATTCTGATGCTTTTGGAAAACAAAATAATTGTATGGGTTTTGTATTATAGGTATAGGTTTGTGATCTAGTTATACCAGGATGCTTCATTTGGCTTTCGGTATAAGCAAGTCCATCATAAAGCTAAGCAGTTTAACCTGCTGACATGTATTTCGGTGACTGTGGTGGTGACGGCACAGCGTAGTCGCAGCATCAGATAGCAATGGTGATGGTGGCAGTAATGACAAGGGAATTCAAGATCTTTCTTTCTCATCTACATAATATTCCTGGCATAACAGAAAGTGAAAGTGGAAACCTGATGGTCTGAAATTATTATATATTTCACAGACTTTCCAAATCTAACTATGAAAACTTCTGTGTTATGTAACAAGGGGTATAAACTAGAACTCTAGCTAGTAAGGGAACTTCTGTAGACTGCTGAATGAGACTTGAGTGGTTTATATCATTGAAAACTCAGCATCTACAGGACTTAACAGGAGTGGCTGTCTACCTAGGCGCAAACCACACGTGCAGTCTCACTGTGTGTCAGCAGCTAAGCAGCCCAGGTCCTGAATCCTGTATTAAGATGCTCACATGAGTTTTGTGATATTTATGTCATCCCACGATAAGATGACTTAAAAAAAAAAAGCTAAATAAATCTAATTAATACCCCACTCCTACTATAGGACACAGGAGTCAAAAGTTAAGTAGGAAATGCATCACCCACTCACACACACTAAGTCCCCAGGAGCAAGAGGGCTGCTTCCCTGTGTAAAGTGTTATCCTAAACAATCAGCTGGAAAGTGTATCTCCAGAATCTTTTTGGAGATGTTTTTCTTTCCAAATCAAAGACATCTACCTGGAGAGACCTAAAGTGAAAGGTCCCTTCTCAAGGCTTTTAGGCACATAGCAGGTAGCATTTTCTCTAGTCCGGTAAGGGTAGATAAACGTATTCCAATGTTAGTAAGTGGCACTTCTGGAACTACATTTTTTAATTTCTAATTTTTATGGGTACATATGGGGTGTATATATTTATCAGAACTACTTTTAATACCTTTGCATAAAATTTCAAATGTATTGTTTCATTTACTATATCCAAAATACATCAGTAATACTACGTATGTAGAAGTAAGTATATTTTACTTCAGAAGATTAAGCTTCATAACTCATACCTCCTCTGATTTACATAAATGTCAAGCTTTGAAAGAGAACGGGAGCTGAAGCAGAAGTCCTCCCTCCCGTTAGCATCAAATGAGCTTTCTATGTAAATATTTACTTTGGATTTTTTAAAACTTTGAAGCCGTAGTTATGTAAGCTCAGCTTCATTCTGATCATGGGTTCCTGTCTTTGAGACATAGTTTTCAGAACTTATTCACTTAGAAATTTGTTAACATATAATGATCTAAAATACTTTATTCATATGTTGTAATCACCTTGCAAACATAAGTGAGAAAATTGTCAGCGTTTAAAAGATTGGGCTATCCTGCAGGACAAGAGAACACTACACACATTCAGGAAATAAAATGACTTCACTATTAGTTTTCATTCTACATTAACATTTCTCTGGAGTCATTTATACTCTACTAAGTCAGTATCTGGAAACCTGTAATATCTTTTCAACATAGTTTAAAGTAAGTAAGCATTAAATCTCTTAAGGGCCAGGCGCGGTGGCTCACACCTGTAACCCCAGCACTTTGGGAGGCTGAGGTGGGTGGGTCACGAGGTCAGGAGTTCAAGACCAGCCTGGCCAACATGGTGAAACCCGTCTCTACTAAAAATATAAAAATTAGCTGTACTGGTGACATGCGCCTGTAGTCCCAGCTACTCGGGAGGATGAAGCAGGAAAATCGTTTGAACCTGGGAGGCAGAGGTTGCAGTGAGCCGAGATCACACCACTGCACTCCAGCCTGGGTGCCACAGCGAGACTCCATCTCTAAAAAATTTTTTAAAAAATTAAAAATAAATAAAAATAAATCTCTCAAGGTTTTACTGTCCTGGTAATCTCTATATCATCTTTATCTTGTTTGACATTTAAGACCCCTTCCAAAACTAGTAGAGTTTCATTTGTGAAGTAACTTTTCTAATTAACATAAATGATTTTATGTATTTAAATTTCAGCAAAATACCTTCAAATCTAGATATCTTCTAAATGTCTTCAAATCTATGTTAAACATAAAATTATTTTCATATTCACCACCGCATCTTTTCTGCATTTCTCCATCGCTATGTTTTGATGCATTATTATTATTTTCTTAGTTTATTTTTTCTTAACTTCATAATCCGTGCTCATTTCCAAGTTGGCTTCCAGTGAACCAGCCCCTCCTCCCACCCACAAAGTCTCACCTGGCTCAGATAAAGGAGCTCTCCAGGGAACTGGCCAGGGCTGGTTGTCCCTGACAGCCTCATGTCTACCAGCAAACCCTTTGGCCCCAACACCACCTCGTTTCCTGGACAACTTCTTGGGTGAATTGGAGAAGCTTGGTGCTTTAACCTTGTCAGCTGACCAAGCCAAACCAACCATCCTAGAGGACGCCATCCTGGAAATTAAGGAGGAACCTGCTGTCCTCCTCCCATTGTCCCCAGCGACTGCACCTGCCGAATCACCTTCCACTCACGCGGGTGTGGCCTCGGCTGCAGCCCAGCCTTACCATGCAGAGCCTCTTCAGGATCCCAGAACGACAACTCAAAGCAACTTTGCAGAGTTGAGAAAAATGAGAAGGGGCTTCTCAGACCCTAAAAAGGCACCAGAAGTCCTAGGGGATAATTTTGTGGCCTCTGCGTGCACCAGCGTGGGTTCCTTGCCTGTACCCCTTCCGGTCATTGGAGAGGAAGATGAGGGCATCTATGAGGGGATTGTGTCAGGCATCCAGAGAGGGCCGCCAGAACCTCAGGAAGGAGACGCCTGGTGGTGTGGCCACGATGGGTCAGAGGGCACCCCACACCTGCACATTGAAGAGGAGGAGGAGGAGGAGAAACCCAACTGCCTAAAACACCCCATAGCCACCCCCACAGATCCTAGGACCCCCAAGGAGGACAGCAATGCAGCAAAACCCAGTAATGAGGTATTTTAATTTTGTCTGATTATGGAAGAACTAACCGGCCTTACCATGATTAGCTATTAGAGTTAATCATATTAATAAATACCTATTTTGACTAACAGATTTTTTTAAACAAAAAACACAAATACTATATAAGATGGGGGTGGAGTGGGTATATGAAAACACACCATATTTAATTAAATGATGTAAATATGTGATATAATTCCATTATCCCATTTTTCTTCAGGACCATAAACTTATATTGTAAAAGTCTTTGTAATTGATATAGTCTTTGTAATCTTCCAATATTAACAATGATAGCTAATAGTGGAGCTCTTACTGAGTATCAGACACTATTCTAAAAACTCCACATCTTTAATCGTCAAAACCCAGTGAGGTGTGTGACATTATCATCCCCACTTTAGAGAAGAGGAAGTTGATGCCCAGAAATTTGTCCTATTCCAGGATGAGAAACTGTACACCATACCTTTGACATAACGGCACTTTGCAAAAATAATAATGCTAATAATAAACAAAGACAACAGAAAAGAAAAACAGCACTTCTGTCCCCTTTCGATTTTCTAAAGAGGTCGTTCTCTTTGTGTTGACTTCACATTGACTACTTAAGAACTGGGTACTGTATCTTCATGTTATGAAGAATCTTGAACAGTGGTTTTAATCAACAAAGGCAGAAAATATCCAGAAACTTTAGCTTGCAAACCTCTCTCTTAAAACAAAAAACGAGCCTGCAACGCCAGCACTTCCAGAGGCCGAGGCAGGCAGATCACCTGAGGTCAGGAATTTGAGATCAGCCTGGCCAACATGGTGAAACCCCGTCACTACCAAAAATACAAAAACTAGCCAGGCGTGGTGGTGGGTGCCTACAATCCCAGCTACTCGGGAGGCTGAGGCAGGAGAATCACTTGAACCCGGGAGGAGGAGGTTGTAATGAGCTGAGATCGTGCCAGTGCACTCCAGCCTGGGTGACAGAGCGAGACTCCATCTCAAAAAAAAAGAGAAACTTAAGGCCAGCTGCGGTGGCTTACGCCTGTAATCCAGCACTTTGGGAGCCCAAGGCTGGTGGATCATCTGAGGTCAGGAGTTCGAAACCAACCTGTCCAACATGGTAAAACCCCCATCTCCACTAAAAATACAAAAATTAGTCAGACATGGTGTTGGGTGCCTGTAATCCCAGCTACTCGGGAGGCTGAGGCAGGAGAACTGCTTCAAACCGGGAGGCGGAGGTTGCAGTGAACTGAAGTTGTGCCACTGCACTCCGTTCTGGGCAAAAAGAGCAAAACTCCATTTCAAAAATAAAAAGAAACTTGATCCCACAAATGTACCCTGTGAATTAAGAAGCAAGTATAATTACTGGCAATTATAGAAATTATGAAATAACAGAAAGGATGGTTCCTATTACGCTACTATCCAAGTCAAATTCTTTCATAGTTCCTGTATTTCAAAATAACCCGGCCAGGCCTGCATTTGTGTAAAACAAACACCTTATTTAATAACAGATAGATAATTCATTGCAAGGAGCCAAACGTGTCTCTACATCAATTATTTCAGTAACTAATATTCCTTTCAATTCAATCAATCTGAAGGTGTGATTAGATGTGTGGCTTTGCTGACACAGACAGTACCCTAGGCCGGCTCATCCCAGCACCAGCTCACACCCTGCACGCGGGGCCACGGCTTCCCCAGCTTTGTGACACGCTGACTATAGTTGGCAACCTACTTTACACGCAAGTTACAGTCATTGCAGGGTTTTAAATACTTTTTTCCTTCACTTTTAGAAGGAGCCATCATATAAATATATGAGAAAATGATAGAATATAGGTGTTCCTATCTCCAGCCACCCCCATGCGAAAAATTAAACTGATCATACCATTGGGGATTTTGAATCAAATTCAAAAGAGGAAGTTAGTGGTTTCAAAGCAAAAAATTTGTCATAAATATAACTTCCCAAGGTTATTAGTAACTTTAAAATGTTGGAAGTTGAGAGGAAATTCCGTAAAGAGCATGTAACCTCATTCTGAGACAAGCATAATCACCTCTCGTCTTTCCTCGATATTTAAGCCTCCGTCATTTTCTTCGGGAGAGCAAGCACCCACACCCTTTCCCAGCCACCTGCTTTCCTCCCCTCCATTTCATTCTCTCTTCGCCTCTGTTTCTGACCTGGACTCTACACTTTCTCAGCCCTGCTCACCTCCTCTCCTCCCTAAATATTCTTATCAACAGGAGATCAATCCACCAAAATTAAAGGTAACTGCATCTTGAGTGTGGTTTATTGCATGTCTTCAATGAGCTTAATTAGTAAGATGTATGCATTCAGATTTGCGCCCTCTCACAAGACCTACGAAGTTACATAAATACTGATTGCTAACTTTTAACATCATGGGCGTGGCCTCTATCCAAACATTTAAAAGACATATTTGCATAGCAGCTATACCCAGATTGAGGAGAAAAACAAATTAAAATGTATATCATAATAAGAAGTAATGATGAGATTGTTTTCAGTTGGCCGTCAGCATGAGAAGCATCACATTTAAGGTATCTTAGCTCAGTGCCTGCCATTCTCCATCACCTCTCAGTGGACTCATTGTCTCCCGTCATTTCCCACCGATCGGCAGGTTCAGCAGAGCCTGGAGACAGGATGATCTTTGGCATTGACTGTCTTGAGCCTTGTTCTTCCACAAAAGTGACGTAAATTCATGAGGATGTGGGAAGGATCATCCTTTTGTAGCACTTCACAAAGCATCCATCTCTGAGACTTGCAGGCTGACAGTTCCGCTGGTATTTAACCTAAAGATACTATTTTTAAAAAATTATTTTAACAAAATTAATGACTGGCCTTGGAAAGAGATTTAATGACAACCACAGCATGAAATTAGTCCATCACTGAAATGTTTTCCTTCTATGTTCAGAATGATCCTAAAACATTTTCCTTTGGAAAAAAGGTGACAGACTTCAAACAATAGCTCACCCTCACATTCAGTCTTTTGAATGTGAAATGAGAGCCTCTGCACATAAGTAAAAATTTAGGGCTCTAATACAGCTAAGGTTCTGTATTAGGAAGTGCCATTTATACAATCTCAAAACCACTACCACCAAACCCATTCGCTGACATAGTCTATCTATGTGCTCCTGTTAGGCGTGAAAGGAACTTTGTAAAAAATGAAACACTTTAATTGCTTTTGCTCTTTGAGGTTTTTTTTCTTAGCTGGCAGAAAATAATTAGGAAATGTTTTAAATAATGCCACTTTATATGATGCCTAAGGCTAAGAATTTCTCTTTTTTTCTCTTCTGTCTGTGGTTTTATTTTTAAGGCCAAGGTATTTATTTCTTGTCTTTTTTTTTAACTTGTTCTTCGGTTTTTAAGCTTAGTCAATAAGAGGGAAAGTAGCCTTAGAATCTGAGTTCTCTAATTTGGAAAGACGGAGGACGCACCATCGTAGCATCAGGACAAAGCCAGGATTTAAAAAGGTTTACTCTTCTGCAAGAACAAAATTCTTCTCGTATATTCTTTAAGTTTCCGTTGTTTGCAGAATGACATGAGAGAATGGAGGTATTCACAATAACTATGTTTTAAAAGAATATTTTAATGACCACATGAGATACTTCTGACTAACTCCAGCAAATCAAAGTGATTTTCTCTGTTTTATCTCCTATTTAGGAGGAAATCTCAATTTTTGAATCTCCCACTGAGTTTTTTTAAACCTTATAAATCTATTTTGTAGTCATTGAAAGAATATATTCACTGAAGTTATTTGTGCTTGTAAATTTAAGTACAAATTGAATCAACTCGTAATTTTAGGCCATTATAGTTTAATTCTGCATCTGACCCAGTTACAAACTCTGCCAATCTGAGTCCGAAGCCTTTTTATTTCTTCCATTTCAAGAATGCTGATGCTCATTGTAAAGAAAAGAAATAACCCAGCACTGAAAGCAAAGAGAAAATAAACTCTTAGTAATGTTTTAATGACATAGTATAGCACGCATGAAATCATTGTAATAACATTTTTATCAACCCCATCAACCATTGTTTAGTTAACTCATGTTAAGTCAGTGCAATTTCATTCTTTAAAGTGTTTTCTAAGACAATGACAATCTCCATAAAAGTAAATGCAATCCAGAATCTTCCATAAACGTAAAAGTTCCTACCACTTTATAGATTACAGATGACTGAAAGATACATAAATTATGTTTAATGTATAAATCTGAATCCAATATTTCCCCCAGTCTTCTGAGCATCTGCTTTTAAAATAATGATTTTTTCATAACAAAAAATAGTATAAATTGGCTGGGCACGGTGGCTCATGCCTGTAATCCCAGCACTTTGAGAGGCCAAGGTGGGTGGATCACAAGGTCAGGAGTTCAAGACCAGCCTGGCCAAGATGGTGAAACCCCGTCTCTACCAAAAATACAAAAATTAGCCGGACGTGGTGACAGGTGCCTGTAATCCCAGCTACTCGGAAGGGTGAGGCAGAGAATTGCTTGAACCCGGGAGGCAGAGGTTGCAGTGAGCCGAGACCGTGCCACTGCACTCCAGCCTGGCAACAGAGCGAGACTCCATCTCAAAAAAAATAGTATAAATCTCAGCTCCTCTATAAGCTGAGCCTCCATTTCCATCCGAGAGACTATTTTGCAAGAGACTTGCCGCATGTGGTCTCAAGTTGCAGCGGAAGCTCTGTGAGGAGAGTGAGAGGCTCTTTTTTAGGTTTCTTCCAAGTAACTCAGTGGTTGTGGTCCCACCAGGAAGTCTCGTCACCCTAAAGCAGTCCCATCAGAAGGGGATCCCCGGCGCACGGTTTTCAACATGAAATCAGGCCCTGATTTTTCCTAATATGTTCACGTGCTCTTTCCAGCTGTTATGATCCACATCATTCTAAAAGCTAAATGGGGTTATTTTTTTTCTCTAAGAGCTCTGATATGCATTGAACCCCTGTATTAGTCAAGACTGGGATAAGCACAGTCCCAGAAAACTCAAAATAATTATAGCTTAAACAACGTAGAAATATATTGCTCTTACACATAAATGAAGGGTGTCCGGGACTGGTATGGTGGCCCCGCAGTCATCAGAGAACCCAGGAGTTTCCATCTGATGTGGGCTCATCGCCATCCTCAGAGAGAAGCTTCCGCTATGGGTCCCAGGTGGCAGCTCGAGTAGTTCCCTTCTCACACGAACCAGCAGGAAGGAGAAAAGATGGGAGATTACACCTTCTCCCTTGAAGGCCAAGTCCCAGAATTGCATATATCCCCTCGGTCTCAGCTTATGACATGAGTACATCCAGCTACAAGTCAGGAAATGTGGTCTTTATCCAGAATGGCCATGTGCCTACCCAACAGCCTGGCCCCATTACTGAGGACCAAGAAGAGAATGGATGTGGAGAGCATCAAGCATCGTCTGCCACGACACTTAAGCAACGGTGCCAAACACATTTCATCCCGAGAGGCTGGGGATTTGAGGTCAATCATTACTGAGAATTAGGAAAACTTTTCTAAATGAGAGTTGAGAAAACCACATGCTTTTATTTAAGCGTGTTTTATTCCTCCGGAAGTTCTCTTAAGCCAGATCAAATACCAGGCAGTACACTGCCAGATCCTGTCCGCTATTGGAAGGAAAATAAAACCTACACAAAAGAAGGTCAGCTTACTCACTGTCATATGAAAGATCTTACTCTGAAAATAAAAAAAAAACACCAAAACAGTCCAGCCCACAGGTTGGCACTTCAGTAGTTCATCAAATTTCACCATGTTTCCCCCCAAAAAGGCCTTATTTTCTTCTTATGTGTTAGAAAATTTTGCCTCCAACAAATGTCTGATACAGTCCATGAAATTTGACAGGCATTAAGCCAAATTCTCCTCTATCTCACCTTGCATCCCTTCAATAAGATGAAAAAGCAGGGCAGGTTTGAGAGCATCTTGAACCCAATTGCTAAGCATTCTATGAAAGACATAACATTTCTTGGCCGGGCGCAGTGGCTGACACCTGTAATCCCAGCACTTTGGGAGCCCGAGGCAGGCAGATCACTTGAGGTCAGGAGTTCAAGACCAGCCTGACCAACATGGTGAAATCCTGTCTCTACTAAAAATACAAAAATTAGCTGGGCCTGGTGGCGGGTGCCTGTGATCCCAGCTACTCGGGAGGCTGAGACAAGAGAATCGCTCGAACCCGGGAGATGGAGGTTGCAGTGAGCCGAGACTGTGCCATTGCACTCCAGCCTGGGCGACAGAGCCAGACTCCGTCTCAAAAAAATAAAAGACAAAAAAAGATATAACATTTCTTATATGTTCTTGGCCTCTTCCCTATGCCAGCTTTCCTCTGTGAACCTTTTTCTGCTGTGCCTGTGGGTGCCATGTTAAGATGGCAGCTGGTGCCTGTGGTGTGGAAACTGTATAAGCAGCTGGAGAAGCTGTGGACCCTCCCTGCCCTGCTGTTGTGCAGGAGTTTGGCATGCTGTGTGTGCATGGAAAAAGCCAGCCAGGAAAGCTCCTCCTGAAGTCTGTGTGACGAAGATGAGAGCTAACTAACTTCTTGTACATTTTCCAGGCTGACGTAAAAAGCGAGATATGTGTCCTGGGTAAGCCTCCTCGTAGCCCAGTGATGTCTAGGAGATTCTGCGGCTCACCTGTCAGAGGGCTCAGCGGTTCCCACAGGGTAGGGTCAGCATGCCCCCACTTTGTGGCAGGCATCCTGGCCACCTCCCCCGCCCCCAGGGCTGGCTCTTCCTTAGTTGTCTTTGCTGTGAACTGGCCTTAAAGTGAGGCTGGAGACACCCTGAAGATGAAGCGACCACCTGGTGATGTGCTTCCCTTTTAGGTGTGTGTGAGGTTTCCAAACTCCACAAAGACATGGTCAGATTCTCTACTCTACAAATAAGAGTGTCGTGTGTTTTGTGGTCTACATCTGTCTCATGGTTCTACACTAAATCACTGCTTTCTAGTCACCGTTTCTCCTGCAAAGAAAAAACTGTTGCCAAGCATCTACAGTGCCGAACTCACACACTTCCGGTCATGTTTGCTTCTGTGTCATTCAATTTGGATTTTTTTTAAATCCATGATTCTTGTCTAACATCTTCTGTTTCTCTGGTGATGTGCACTACATCCTCTCAGTCTGCCTTTTGTCCCCATACTGCTGTCTGGATTCTATCCACTTCCTATTTCTTGCCAGCTCTGATTGAACTTAAAGGTCAAATTACTTTCCCTTAGCTACTTCGTTCCATAGTATCTACAGTACTTTAAAATACATGGACTCTAAATGGTACTTACTATCAATTCTAAGGAATGCAGCCAAGGAGTTTGGAAATTTTCATCTGGACATAAGTCAGGATTCCTTTCCTCATTTCTGTTTTAATGGACCCGGATTCAACCTTGACTGGCCTATCGCATGGCCGTGCTTCTGCATTTCAAGAAGTTCTCAAGGGCTTGATTTCACAGAAGTCTTCATTTTTTATTTCTAAAGAAAAGTCGATATTATTCTGCATTCATGCCACTTTGTGCTTTTTGCATTGCATAGGAAGACCTCATTTTGTTGCTGAGGCAGAGCTTTGTGTTGCCATAGAGACAGAAATGCCAATTTGTAGAGACTCTTAGACTCCCCCGAATGGCCTTCCAGAGCCAAAGCAAAACATAAGCTTCTTTTGCAGTGAAAAGGACCCATCTATAACCCTCCTGTGGGTCCACGAGATGGTATGCTTGTGTTCCCCTTAAGGTTTTTTTTTTATTTTTTGCCTGATTTTTACATTATGTATTTGTATGTCAGATTACACGTGTGTTTGTGTGAACCATAAATATTCTATTTTTTTAGATTTATGCAAAGTTGTGTTTTACCTTCATAATTTAAGAAGGAAAAATAAGCCTCTAGAAACATAAACGTGGTATTATTAGGAGAATTTCATCGAATTCTGGTGGGCAAATATGACAACTAATATTTTATAAAAAAAGATAAAAACACTTTAGCACTGCTTATATTGCTTTCAGAGATTTTTTTGCATTAGTGTTTAAAGTAACAGTCAATCCTTCTTTAAGAATTATTTGATACTAAATATAGCTAATCCTCCAGAGATAACTGCAGAAGCTTTGATAAATTAGACGGCTTTTCAACAGACTGTAGCTCACTAAGATCGGAAAGTATATATTTTACTGATGTTACAGACTCCATGATGTTTCAAACCAGCTTCCTTATGAACAGCAACTTGTGATTGGTTCTGGCTTTGGAAATTAGCATGTGTTTAAAACTTGTCTCTTTTGTATCCGTTTTTGACAACATTAAAAAATAGCTACAGAAAAATACTTACATAGTCAGGGCTACAGAAAAAAATACATATTTAGGATACGATGAAAACCGCAGCATGCTTCACTGGATTTTTCTCTTGTTCTACTCTTAAGATTCATCAAGGAAATATAAGCATAATATAATTCTTGTTCAAAATGCCCAGCACAGTGATTGTAATGTGTCAGTTGAAAGCCATCTTTCTAGGTTCAGCTCATGTAAGCCTCTCTGAATGTCACAAGTGTATATTGTTCTATATTTATCTTAAAACTGCTAAGAAGTTAGGGGAAATGGAAATGCCTGCACAGATAGTCAAAATAGAAATGGACACGGACCAAAAATGCTGGTGGCTTTACAAGGGATGCTTTCTCAAAAATTTAAAACGTGGGGAGGGAAGAACATGGTTAGGAAAACAGATGACTGTCTATTCCACATCACTCTGCGGCCTTTAAAATAGGCTTTTAAAATTTTTCCAGCCTTGGGAACTTGGATAAAAAGGGGCAGATAAAGCAGAAACAACTCTCAGCTTGTTGCTGCCATTGCTCACCACTAGGTGGCGACAGAGTGCAGCTGCATTACAAATCTCTGCTTAAGCGACTTGCCATTTGAGTTACATCACCAAGGGGAAAGGGCGAAAGACAGTCTCCCCAGATAATCTATTTACATCACCTTATAGGACATTTGCACCTACCTCAGCGTCAAAATTAAGATGCTGATTTTAGCCAAGGTAGGCCAAGTAGTCCATCATAGTAATCTTTCATGCAATAGCGTGCACATCGAAATTACCATTTTGTTTCTTTTTCTGTTTGTTTTTTACCTATTTGTCGTATTAAGAAATTATCCAGTATCTTTGGGTTTTGGTTTACCATTCTGCAAAATGGAGTTGAATTGTAACCATTATTTTTTTTTACGTGACCGAGACACATGAGAATTAACCAATCAATGTCAGTGTCCCAGCTCTCTGTGTAAAACTGATGACGGACACCTTTACACAGCAGAGGAAATACATCTGTGGAAATGTGTATCCTTCATGGAATCCCTGAGGGGACCCGATTAACCCTCATCTTGTCCAACTCATTGATTTCAGAGATAGGGAAGCTGAGGCATCCCCAAGGTTATATGGTGCTTAACGCCCAAAACAGAAAGACGCAGATGAGCCGTCTTAGATAACTGTTCTTGCTACTCATTCCCTACTAGTCAAATGCCTTTAAAATAAACTATTTCAAGTACTGTAATTAGTCAGCTTTCCTCAAAACTGTCTCCTAGTTATCCACATTAACATGGAGGTGATTCTTGTTAAAGGTAAGCTTTGAAAAGTTCTAAAACTCGCCATTATAAGACACACACAACTTCTCTGCTACGAAAAGTCTTGATTGATTCTGGCCTCAGGATGTGAACAGTATAGAAAACTGATGATTTGTGTGTAAAAAGAGGGGCAGGGTTTGAAAGATATGAAGGAAGGGAAAAGAGAAATTGGGAAACAGGTAAAAGCAAGGACGGGGGCCGGGCGCAGTGACTCACGCCTGTAATCCCAGCACTTTAGGAGGCCAAGGCGGGAAGATCACAAGGTCAGGAGATCGAGACCATCCTGGCTAACATGGTGAAACCCTGTCTCTACTAAAAATACAAAAATTAGCTGGGCACGGTGGTGCGTGCCTGTAGTCCCAGCTACTCGGGAGGCTGAGGCAGGAGAATCGCTTGAACCCGGGAGGCAGAGGTTGCAGTGAGCCAAGATCACACCACTGACCTCTAGCCTGGTGGCAGAGTGAGACTCCATCTCAAAAAAAAAAAAAAAAAAAAAAAGCAAGGACGGTGCTGGCTGCCCCACACAGGAACATACGTTCTCCAGCCATGGACGTGGGATCCAGGAAGCTGCAGGTTTGCAGCAATCACCAAATTTTCATAATGGTCAATGGGACAGTTCAGTTAAATGATTGATGAGGTGGGTTGAGTTAAAGGAATTAAACTAGTAGAATTATAATGATGATAACTAAAAAGGGATATACGGACTTTAAAAGTTGATTGTTTTACATTAATGAACAATTTGATTTTTAAAGTGGTATTCACATTTTAACAAAAGAGCAATGAAATGAAACTAACCAGTTTTACAAAGCATTGGATGCCATGATGTAGAAGTTGAAACTTTTACTCAATTTTAAAATATTAAAATGGTTTAAATGTGTGAAAACAGGGATGCCAATTTTAGAGCATAATGAAATATATTTTACACAACATTTTCTCTTAAGACAAGAATAAATAATATTTTCTTATTCATAACTTTATTATGCACTGCAAATGGTGCTATGATTGTTTTGGGGAAAGAGTAGTAGCTATCTTGGTATATGATATGCAGTCTGGCATATTAGACATTTTCAAGTTACTTTTGAGTACAGTATTTTTCAGTGACTAACATGTACATTCTCAAAATCATATGGCTTTAATGCATACTCTTTGGCCAGAAGTTTTACTCCTGGGAATATATTCTAAAGAATAGTTCAAAAGAAGAAAATAGCTCTTTGCATAAAAAATGTGTATAGCATTGCTGTTTATGATAGCAAAAAAAAAAAGACTAGACCAATTCTAACTTCAAAACTAAAAAAAAAAGAGAGGAATGGTTAAGAAAACTATGATATGTAGACACACGTGGGAGAACATTATTCTGCAGACATTTGAAATAAGAAAGAAGACTGAGAAAAAAAGACTGGAAAGTTATTACAAAATAATATTAATGGCAATTGATGTATACAAATCTTACTTCTGCATGAAAGTTTTATACATATATAAAGTTTTATTGGACTGGAAGAGAACTTGAAATAGGTAATATGATACAGGCTTATCAATGACTTACAATTACCATCTTATATATTTAAATTGATTTAATAATATCTTGAATTAAATGACCTTTAAGATGGTTGGAAAACTGGTTAGTCATAATTTTTCTTAAAATATGAATATCTTCCAATTTTAATAATAGATACATCATTAGTAGTCATATTGATTTACAGGAGTAAACTATTTCACTCTTAAGTCATAATTGTGTGCAGTAATTCTTACGCACTCTAGTTTTAAATATTCTATCCACAGACTGTTGAGTGAAATTTCTAAGAACACTGTTAATAAAGGTTTCCAGTTAACCGAGTCAGAGCTTACAGTTTTAGTACTGTGAGTACCTAGTCTTATGCTAGATAGACAAGTAGGATAGAAAGGGGGTGGATAAAGAATTTAGGAAGTGGGTGAATCATTGACTCGTAGACTGAAAGGAACCTCAGAATTATCCATCCAAGCTTGGATCAGTGGGGTTTCTATGGACAATTGGCAGCAAGAGATTTCAGCCTATCAGTAATCCACTCATAACTATGGAAATCTAAGAACTGGTCCCAAAGTCTAAGGACATGGATCTAATAGCTATTTCAGTAGTCATCAAACAGTCACTTATATAATTGCCATGCAAATTCTGATTTTACCCTGTAGCTATCATTTAGAAGCAAATGCTTTTGAAATGGATTATGAATGATTTGTTTGCATTTCTCCCCTAAAAGGTAAAGTTTAGGTAGTCAATATAAATTACACTGAGTTTATATATTCAACAAACATGTTAACTTTCATTCACTGAAAATATTAATGTGGGTATATGGGATGCTAAGGCTTGTCATTTCCAATATTATAAGTATCTATTACAGATACTGGTCTTGATGCTTAGTTTAAAAAGAAAAGAAACTCTTTTGAGAGTTCAGTGCACTGGAAATTTCTACCAATGTTTCTCTTCTAAGGTAAAATGTTACATGTTACCCGGATATTGTTCGTTGCATTCCAAAGTTCTGTTTTCTCTTTTTAAAAATGCATGTTTTCTCTCCACATTGAGAACAGAAAATGTTAATTCAAATGTAGCATGGGATGTCTGCCTATTGATATTTTCCTCTGTGCTGTATGTGAAAATGTTGTCTGTGAAGGAAAGATTGAAAGAATGAGTGTGGATACTTTGCTGTTAAACTAAATGTGGTTTATTTTCTGCTTGTTTGAGAAAACGCTGGAGAATAAGGTTGTATGAAGGTGTCTATATTTCCTATTCTAGTGGTTTGCCGTCTATGTTCTTGCCTTATTCCTGGCCTTTGAAAAATCAATGGGACCAAACCCTGACTTTTCCTTAAAGCTTGAGCAGACTAGATTGTAGACATGTTCAAAACATTTGACCTTGCTTATTTTGCTTTAATTTAAAGCTCCCTTTAAATATTTTAATTATTAATCCTGCAGAAAGCTTTTATTTGGTTTTTTTCTTCCTCTTGGTTTTTTACAACAGGAAATATTAAATGTCAAGAAAAGTACCATGCCATTATCCAAATTATCTTTTAATTAGTACCAGTTTAAACATTGATTACATTGAAAATCATTTCATTTCAGCCACAGCGTCCTGTGTTTACTCATGAAAATATTCAAGGTGGGGGGGAACCGTAAGTATTCTTCTTATCTTCTAAATTTGAGACTAACCTTGACCCACAAAATGGACAACTGTACCAAAATGTAAGATGTATGGCTTTGCACGTGAAAGATCAAACTAACATGAGGCCTCTTAAATTACGAGAAATTGTAATAGTCTCTCCATCTTTTATGACAGTGACCAGAAACTAATTTTTAAAAGAACCCATAGTTCTCTGAGAAGATTTTAATTGACACACTAGGAAAACTTCCCAATGCTTCAGTGATTCCTAAGATGGATAACTCTGTCTCCCTCTCTGCTCTGCTGGCTGTGTAACGAGTAACTGCGAGCTTCAAAGACATACAGAACATGTTCTAACCTTACTTTTACACCCACTGGGAGACGGTAAAAGTGGACCTCAGTGTAAAAAAGACCTAAAGCGATCATTCCATCATTCCAAAGTTACATGCTTAGAAGGGTCATTTGAAAAGGGCAGTATTAAAACACTCACTGTTATTCAGTTACATGCGATTACTTCCACAGCACCAGGAAAATGCCTTTTCAAACTTTCCTTTCAAATTCCTTCTCCTTTCTGATACATGAGTTAAATCAGCCTGAAGGTGTCACACGTTGTCTTGAAGATTCTCTCTGTGTGTTTCTTTTTCGGGCCCATTTTGTCCCTGAGAGACGTTCAGGAGTTATCAGCTTCCTGTTGGCCTCTGCCCACACTGTGAGTCGAGAGTGAGACCCCTGGGAAGGCTTATTCATGGACCTAACCCCTTGTCCCCCATATCTGAGCACACACTGGGGATCCTGACCCACTGCCCACACTCTGCTCACCTGGAGCAGAACAGGCTAACAATAGCCTCCTCCTTGCGGCAGGTCCTGGCATATGACCTGGTGCCTTTATCACCATCAAGTCCTTCCTTGCTCCTCACAGACCTGAAACTTAGCAAAAAGCAGCTCCGGATGAGACTGGCTCTCACAGAGCACAGGCAGAAAAGTGTTCTTGTTGCGGGAAAGTCTGTATTTTGGAAAGAACAGGTTAGCAGTGATAATCATTTGAAATCTCACTGAAGGTTAGGTGCAGTCACTATGCCTGAAATCCCAGCACTTTGGAAGGCCAAAACCCAGGAGTTCAAGACCAGCCTGGACAACATAGCAAAACACCATCTCTACAAAAATAAAAATAAAAAATTAGTCAGGTGTGATGGCATGCGCCTGTAGTCCCAGCTGCTTAGTAGGCTGAGGTGGGAAGATCACTTGGGCCAGGGAGATCAAGGCTACAATAAGCCATGATGATGGCCCTGCACTCCAGCCTGGGCAACAGAGCAAGACCCTGTCTCAAACAAACAAACAAACAAAAAGATCGCTTAACTGGAAAACACTAAATACGACTTGTCATTCTAAAGCTTTTGTTTGTTCTCTTATTTACCCAAACGATGATAAGATCACATGATAAAAAATAAATTCCAGGGCTGTTTAGGTTTATTGCATTACCAACATGTTATATTAAACAGCTTTCAAAGTGTTTATGAATGAAAGATATGTTACATTTTCAAAGTCCTGATTTGTATATTAGAAAACATTGTTTATTAAATTTATATTTGATTATAGCCTGAATTAGTGGGATTTTAGGGTGTTGCTTAGTTGCTTTCATTTAAAAATAAGTTTTGAGCCAAAGTAGGAACATAATGTTATGTCACTACAATTCAGAGTTTTAGTGAAATATGTTCTAGAAAAAGTTGCAAGTTATCGAGAGGGCTTCCAGTCTGGCTCAGCATTTCCTGTTTAAAAGACACCTTTCTTTTTGAGGCATCCTTACCCCACCACCATCACTCACCTCACCAACACATCTTTCACAACAGCATTTTTTAACATTGGATTTGTCTTCATTTCCCATTGTGCAACACTGGCTTTGAAAGCCAGGAGAGGCAGGAGGATTTCCTGAAGGTGTGTTTACGTTTCCATAAAACTCCGTGGGTTTTCTTTTGTTTTGTTTTTGTTTCTGTGGTCTAATTAAACCAGAATGGTAAATAAATTTGGACAAACATGCTGGCTTTCATCAGACAAAAATGAAGCAGGAGTCTGTGCCAATTTTGTTGCGTTAGCTCTGAGACCTTGAGATTCTTTCCAGCAGCTGAGGTTTGCAGCCTTAGGTAACCGGTCTCCATGAGTGGGTGGAGATGAGCCTGGGCAGGGTTCAAGCCTGAGAAGCTCAATAAAAGAATCAGTTTTCCCAAAGTGAGAAATGCCGTGTGTATCCATCAAAACAGCAGCCCAGGAACCACCATCTCTCTCAAATGTGAAACTGGAAAAGGGACCGTGAACTTTCCCCACAGATACACAAAAGATACCACCCCTTCACCTGAGCAGCCTCCAAATCAAATTCTTTACACAAGCAACAAAATAAATGGACTACCCCTAGCAAAGCTGGCCACATGCAAACATCCAAATCAGGTGACGTTTCTGTATTCCACACCTGCCTGTCTTTTTGGCCACTACTCTGGGATGCTAGCTGCCTTTCTCTGCCCTTCCCCATAATCACAAACCCCTCTCTCAAGAAAAGGCCTCAGAAGCCCATGCTCAAAAGGATATAAGTGGCTGTAAGGTCTACTGGAAGGATGAAGTTTTAACAGGAGAAGAAGCCTCTAATGTTGAAATTTCAGGCTTTGGTGCCAGGCCAGGGAAAACAATATTTTCTAGGGGATGTTGTTAGGCATTCTCTGAAGCCAACTCTATCCAGCTCCCCCAGTCCAAATGCTGGATGAACGGGGGGAAGCCAGTAGGTCACTGTTGCTTATTAATGACATAAGATTTGAGTTTAAATGATAGAATAGTTTTGTTCTACCAAAATATTATTTTCTGACTCATAAAGTAATTAAAAATAAATCATTCTTGTTCCGGAGCGGTAGTCAAGATTATCAACTTTTTTAAGTTGGCATGAAAAAATCTAAAATACCCTAGAAAGTGGTAATTATTTTCTCACATTAGCAGAATGACATGACTGTTACAGAAAGCAGCAGAAACAAATTCCCAATTTTTAAAAACCCCCTCACAGTACTGGTAATATTTTAGTACTATTATGAAGAAGTTTTCATGTTAACTGCCTATCAAATTCTTCTTGACCTTCTCAGCTACAGTAATTTCGCCTTCATTTTCCAAAAACACCAGCCCATGTTACTATTTATTATAATGTATGGTGTTTTCTTACCACAAATTCAGTGTCTGAATTCATTATTGATCAATTTCCACCACAGTATATGCTGTCAAAGAATTCAGGCCGGGAAAGGAAAGTGATAGCATTCTATCAATAATTCTTTTTTATATAAAATTATTTCAAGAGAGAGTTTTAAAATCAAATACAATTTTTCTGGGACTCATTTTAAAAAGAGACTTATGTCCATAGTCTGCTTGAAATGGAATCAGTAATAACTGCACATAGAATACATCTACTCAACTTCATAGGCTAATTACATCAAATCTTCCAATTCTACATCCTCAGAAAACACTGATCCAAACCATAACATTAAACTGATCTAAAGAATTCCTCTTAGTAAAAAAAATAATTTTCCTTTGTATAGTAATTCACACAGAGTGATTAAAAAGACATGTCTGACACATTTTGTCTATCTCCATTTAGAACCTTTGAAAATTCAATTCTCAAGCCCCCATTATTTGCTTCTGATTATGGCTAGCTAAAATTGTGATTCCTTCTTGTTTTTAAACAGTTAAATAATACAAATATCACTTATTTTATATTTTGTACTATTATTTAATGTCTAAATGATAGACGTTAGATGGCTGGACAACTGAAATGCGGGTCTGACTTATACATGTTGACATATTTTAATCCAATTTATGAATGTTACAATTTTCATGGATATTCCTCGTGAGTTTCAAAATGTTGTTAGAGTGTTCTAATGCCTGTGAAGATCTACATATTGCTATGTACCTGCTTACCAGGCTTGTACCATCCAATAGAATGCTATTTACATGCTTACCAGGCTTGTACCACCCAACAGAATGTTGTTAAGAATAGGAATGTTAAAGGAAGAATGAATATTGTTCTATCTTCTATATTTCATGAAGGTGTCAAGATGTTTTTAAACACATTCCCTTGTCCTGTTTAAGGTTTCAGGCTCTGTATAACTATACTCCCAGGAATGAAGATGAGCTGGAGCTCAGAGAAAGTGATGTCATTGATGTCATGGAAAAGTGTGATGACGGCTGGTTTGTGGGTATGTGCGCTTCTTCCTCAGGCACCTTCGGCTATTTTGTAATTTGCTTGAGTTTGCTCACTCCCGTGGTTTGCTGTGATGGCCGAGCTTCCTTTGAATTCGTAATGCCTTTGATCTTTCAGACATTCATATGCACAATGTAATCCCAAGGCTATTGCATTTTTAATATAGTTTAGTATTCACTGCTTCAGCTATGTGTGATTTTCTGCGAGCTTTATTTCCAACTCAACTGAGAGAAGACAATTTCTTTAAATAGCAAAAACCAGGAAAGATTGAGATCTAAGAACAACAACAACAAATGGTCCCCAGAAGAGAAATATCAACGCTCTGTGCTGTGGAAAATGTTAGTTGTCCACAGTGAGAATCTAATTTCAGAGGGAGTGAGATTAAGTGAACAGCTCTCCCGTTTCCTAGGTCTGACGTAGATGCCCGAACATTCAGTGACTCACCTTAACTTTAGTTTGTGGTGGAAGCAGAGAGACGTTCCATTCTTCCCACTTAAAAGGCAACTTCATCTTTACCATCCTAAAAAAAAAGACGAGAGGTCTTCTGGGAAAACATTTGTAGACAAAAGTATTTTACACTGGGCCACAGAAAGAGGTGAAAAGGAAACACAGGCTGCAGGGCAGAGAATGGAAGAGAGGAAAGGTGAGAGGAGAGGAGGGCTCACTCTAGACATCCATCGGTGGCAAAATCATGAAAGAATTGAGGCCCTGGTGCGGCCACAAGCCTCTGATTTTATTTCCATTAAAAGAAGAAAAAAAGGCCGGGTGCGGTGGCTCATGCCTGTAATTCTAGCACTTTGGGAGGCCGAGGCGGGTGGATTACCTGAGGCCAGGAGTTCGAGGCCAGCCTGGTCAACATGGTGAAACCCCGTATCTACCAAAAGTACAATAATCAGCTGGGCTTGGTGGCAGGTGCCTGTAATCCCAGCCACTCAGGAGGCTAAGGCAGGAGAATTGCTTGAACCCAAGAGGCAGAGGTTGCAGTGAGCCGAGATCATGCCACTGCACTCCAGCCTGGGCGACAAGAGCGAAACTCCATCTCAAAAACAAGGAGGAGGAGGAGGAGGGAGGAGGAGGAGGGAGGAGAAACGTAAAATGGCTTGCCTAGCCAAGGAAAAAGAAAAACAGCCATCAAACCAAGGCAGTAAGTGCCAGGATATAGGAGACAGATGAAGCTTGAGAGACCCTTATCCGGTCCATCTGCGCTGCCTAAAGAAGAATTTAGCAATTTAGTGCACCAACTTTTACAAGAAGTGTCCAAGGAATTACATTATTTGAAACCAGAGGCGAACATAATTATGATAGCCATTTGTGCGTGTGGTTAAACACACACCATGTTAAAAATCATGCCACTGATAGAACTCCCACACACAAATAGTGCTTAATCCTTTTTTTCATTAATGATTTGTAAATTGTTGAAAAATTGTATACTCGATGAAGGACTCTGGCAGTGCTGTTTTTAAATAAATGATGTGGCACTGACCATGATCTTCTGTAAGATGATAAAACTGTTGGAACAGCGACAGCCTGCCACAGATGATGTCTTCATGTCGCACCTGTGTTGCGCGGGTTGCTGGTCCCTGAGAAGCTTTGCTCTTAGGATTTTCCACTCACCCTGTCACCTGT